>NC_000002.12:104459314-104762345 GCF_000001405.40 Homo sapiens
TTCATTGACTTCTGCTCTTATCTTTATTATTCCCTCTGTCTCCTTGTTTTCTGTGTATTTTGTCTTCATTGTTCAGTTTTTTTGACGTAGGAACTTAGCTTATTAATTTGAGACCTTTCCTGTCATCTAATGTAAGCATTTAATGTTGTGAGTTTTCCTCTCACCACTGCTTTGCCTATATTCCACATATTTGATATGTTATAATTTTCTTTCATTGAGTTCTATTTTTTAATTTTCTTTCACATTTACTCTTTTATTCATAATTTGTTTAGAAGTGTGTTGCTTAATTTCCAAATGTTTTAAGATTTTGTTGCTGTCTTTCTATTAGTGACTTCTAGTTTGATTGCATAGTTATCAGAGAACATGCTCTGCATGATTTCATTTTTAAAAAATTATTAGATTTGTTTTATGGCCCAGTATATGGTTTATCTACTAAAAATAACCATGGGTTCTGGGTATATATTCTTTTTGTTTTATGTGTTCTACAGTTCTTCTATATCCTAGATGACTTTCTGTCTAGTAGTTTGATCAATTACTGAGAATGAGTCATTGAGTCTGCAACTATGATTGTGGATTTTTCTATTTCCTCTTACAGCTATATCACTGTTCTTCATATAGTTTGAGGCGTTATGTAATTGGTACACACAAATTTAGAATCATTATGCCTTCTTTGCAGTTTGGCCCTTTTATCATTATGTAATTTTCTCCTAGCATAAAGAGTGCTGTAAAGTAATTAAAATTAAACATCACAACAAAACATAAAAAACATCCCTTTAAAGTTACAGCAATACAATAATGCTTGTTATCATTATTAATATTTAATGTGTCCTGAATCTTCTAGCTTGTGCAATAAGACAAGAAAATAAAATAGAACATATCTGGAATAGAGGAGATGGACATATCTCTTTCTTCTTTATCCAGATAATTTAATTTACTTCCTAGAAAACCAAGGAAGGAAATTAAAATTTTGTGAATTGATAAGAATTTTTTAGTTTGTGACTAGCTATAAAATAAATAGACAGAAATAAGTAGTTTTCTATACTCAGATATTTAGAAGAAAATAGAGAGTGCACAGTACAAAAAAAATAAAATTTCTAAAAATCAACTTATAAATGTGTATTTTAAAAATCCTCAAGACTTTACTGACTTAAAATAAGACCCAAAAAAGCAGTGAGACATACCATGATTTTGATTAAAAGATTATTTACAAATAATTTAATACTACCAAAATATAATAATACATTTATTAGGATTTCAATGACATTTTTAACAAGACAAAAATTATTCTACAGTAAGAAATGGGTAAGAATGGCCAGGATTATTTAGAAATAGTAAAATAATGAAAGAGGACTTGATCTACCTAGCACTTAAGTACCTTAAAAAGTTGTAATACCTTGTAGCTTTATGCTGTAAACAGTGTGAAGTTGGGCCTAGAAAAGCCAGGCTGATTAAAGGTATGCGATAAAACTTCAGAATTAATTGTAAAACATAGAAGTAGTTAGTATACAATAAAAAGTTTTTTTTCACATCAGTGGGCAGAGCAGACCATTTAATTGAAGTTTTCAGAACAGTTCCCATAGAATGGTGCATTATATTTTCTTCATAAATTTAATTTGCTTTGAATCTGGGAATATTTGCCATTTCTCTCTTTTTTTTTCCTTAAAGAGACTAGCTAAAGATTGTAAATAAGATTTTTCTTAAAAAAACAAAAGCCCTCAGACTTATTCATTGAATCTGTTTTTATTGTATTAATGCCTTTCTCTTTAACTCCTGGTTTGTTTTACTCTTATTTTTCTAACTTTAATATGAATAATTTGTGTTATATTATTCTTTCTTATTTAATATCAAAAGCAGTTTATACTACAATGTATGTTTAATTAGAACTGTGCCAACATGCCATAGATATTAATATATGTGAGCTTTTTTATTTTTGAGACGGAGTCTTTCTCTGTCTCCCAGTCTGGAGTACAGTGGCACGATCTCTGCTCACTGCAAGCTCCACCTCCCAGGTTCACGCCATTCTCCTGCCTCAGCCTCCTGAGTAGCTGGGACTACAGGCACCCATCACCATGCCCAGCTAATTTTTTGTATTTTTAGTAGAGACGTGGTTTCACCATTTTAGCCAGGATGGTCTCGATCTCCTGACCTCGGGATCCACCTGCCTCGGCCTCCCAAAGTGCTGGGATTACAGGAGTGAGCCACCACGCCCTGGCCAATGTGAGCTTTTATTGTAATTATTTATTAAATATTTCATAACCTCCATTCCCCCTACCCCTTCGGCACACATTATTTGTCTTTACATTTATTAGAAAAGATAAGATTTTACAAGTATTTGTTTATACTTTTGTTATTAACTTCTAGTTTTATTGCATTGCTGTTAGAGAATGTGTGAATTTATTTACTTATTTATTTTAGTATTATTATTTTTTTTTTCTGAGACGGAGTTTCACTCTTATTTCCCAGGCTGGAGTGCAGTGGCGTAATCTCAGCTCATTGCAACCTCTGCCTCCTGGGTTCAAATGATTCTCTTGCCTCAGCCTCCCGAGTAGCTGGAATTACAGGTGCATGCCACCACGCCTGGCTAATGTTTTGCATCTTTAGTAGAGAGGGGGTTTCTCCATGTTGGCCAGGCTGGTCTCGATCTCCTGACCTCGGGTGATCCACCTGCCTCAGCCTCCCAAAGTGCTGGGATTACAGGCATGAGCCACCATGCCCAGCCTGTGTGAATTTATTTCGTGAACTATATTGAGGTTTGCTTTGTAACTAATATAATCATATTTAAATTGTCCATAGACATGTAAAAACGTGTGATATAGTCATATTAGTATAATTATGTATCTATTACATTACAAGAGTTTTATGATTCAGACCTTATACACCCATTAATATTTTGCCTGAGATCTTTTAAGAATCCATAAAATTTGACAAAATCTCTTCCTTCTGTTAATTTTTGACCAATTGTCCCTTTTGTGTTTCTGAAAACATTTGTTTGTATAATTTGATGCTATGCAATTCTATCCATAAATTTTATAAGCATTGCCTTCTTTGGTGATTATATCCTTAATTTTTAAAAGAAAAATTGGTCCTCTGTTTTATCTTCTGTGTGATTTGCTTTCTGTGATATTAATAGAGAACATTAATTCATTTTCATCTATTATCATAAGTGATATGCGTGGTCTCTTTTTGTTATTATGATATTTTTATTTACTTCTCCCTTTTATTTTCTGTTCCTTTTTTTGGTAATGTAAACTATAATTTATATGAGTTACTTTTCCTAATTATTTCGAAGTTACAGATCCTGTTTTAACCATACTACTTGATGCCTTTAAGACATCTTTCTGGCCTCAGGGTCCTGCCCCTGGCTCCATCAAGCACAAGGAACGCTTGTCAGACCCACTGATCTGCTGCTTGTTGTAACCATGCCTTATCGCCCAGCCCAGTGACTTTTAGGTGTTGTTATTTCAAAGCTGGAGAAACATATTTTGAGTGAGTGCTTGTTTGTGACCTGCACTTGCCCCTTCAAATTGAGGCAATTAGGCTTCTTCCAGATTCTCTACTTATATTTTGCGGAAATGTACTTCTCCCCATATGAGGAAAAGTATGAGCTTCCTCTTGGTGACTTCTTCAAATCCAGCCCAGCTGCACAATATCTAACTTGCATTTCTAAAAAATTCTTTAATGCAACCATAATTTCAACACTGATTTTCTCCCCACCCTGCCTCCTGTCTGTATCATCTTTTGCTCATATTAATTGGACTCTGTGGAGGAGGAGTTGATGTTTGTGCTCAAGGTGGCTCTTTATCTAGCTAAGACTGATTCTTGAGGCCATGTGTGGAATATATTGTAGAGGAAAGCAAACTATGAAAGAGTTTTAAAAATGCAAATCACATTTTAAGCTTCTAAAAAAATTTAATTTCTCATACTCAGAAACATTTTTTAAAAATATAGACAGTCATGCAATGCTGAATGATGGAGATATGCTCTGAGAAATGCATTGTTAGGTGATTTTGTAGTTGTGCAATCACAGAGGATACTAACACAAACCTAGATGGTATAGCCTACTACACACCTAGGCTACAAGGTATGACCTATTACTCCTAGGCTACAAACCTGTACAGCATGCTACTATACTGAATACTGTAGGCAATTGTAACACAGAGTAATTATGTATGTATCTAAGCATATCAAAACATTAAAAAGGTACAGTAAACATAGAGTATGATGGAACCATATCATCATATATGTGTTTAGTCATTGGCCAAAACATCCTTATACATTGAGATGCATGAGATGCATGACTGTATCTCAGTGTTTATAAAATGAGTATAAGAACAACTTTAAGAATACAGGTTTAGTATCCTAAATATGGATATGATTTGTTCATCTTCATATTTTAAGCCTAAAATTTAAATTCATGGAGAAATTCTTATTTACCTCATATTCCTCCATGAGAGGATTTTTTTAAGTAAAATGAAGTACCATAAAATGATTAAATCTCTTGGATTTAGGGACACAAGTGCAGTTGTGTTTCATGGGTATACTATGTAGCAGTAAAATCTGGACTTTTACTATACCCATCACCCGAATAGTGTACACTGTACCTAATAGGTGGTATTTCACCCTTCATCCCCCTCCTACCCTCCCACCATTTGGAGCCTCCAGTGTCTATTATTCCACTCTGTATGCCCCTGTGTACTCATTGTTTAGCTCCTACGTATAGGTGAGAATATGGAGGATTCTTGCTCAGTGCAGTGGCACAATCTTGGCTCTCTGCAACCTCTGCCTCCCAGGTTCAAATGATTCTCCCATCTCAGCCTCCCAAGTAGCTGGAATTACAGGCACCTGCCACCACACCTGGCTAATTTTTGTATTTTTAGTAGAGACAGGGTTTCACCATGTTGGCCAGGCTGGTCTCAAACTCTGGACCTCAGGTGATCCACCCACCTCAGCCTCCCAAAGTGCTGGGATTACAGGCATGAGCCACACTGCACCTGGCCAATAGTAATATTTTTAAGTCATCAAAATTAAAATTTAACATATGTAATTTTATATATCCTCTTTCATTTCTCTAGAATCACGTAAATGATCAAATCTCATTACCCTATTCTATTTGCTATCTATGTTTAGGTTATTTTAAGGGGAATAAATATATCTTAGCTTGAGAGCTTCCCTAACTTAGGGTCTTTATATTTTACAAAGGCTATGTATTTTATATCTCAAGAAAGACTGCTTTATTTGTTTGCCAATGTAATAACTGTCATAAAGAGCTTTATCATTCTGACAATTTCCTTCACGTAGGTCAAAACAACGTAGCAGACATTTCTTCTGGGCTGCAAATTTTCTTTGGGAATGATTATGATTGTTTAAGTTATTTTTAAGATAATTCTCACCTCTTCTCACACTGTTTTCTTTTTTTTTTTTTTGAGACAGAGTCTTCCTCTGTCATCCAGGCTGGAGTGCAGTGGCACAATCTCAGCTCACTGCAACCTCTACTTCCCAGGTTCAAGCAGTTGTCCCACCTCAGCCTCCCGAGTAGCTGGGACCACAGGAGTATGCCACCACTCTTGACCAATTTTTTTATTTTTTATTAGAGACAAGGTTTCACCATGTTGGCCAAGCTGGTCTCGAACTCCTGACCTCAAGTGATCCACCCGCCTCAGCCTCCCTAAGAGCTGGGACCACAGGCATGAGCCACCTTGCCTGGCCAGATACACTGTTTTCAACCCCAAAATAACAATAGGTCAAAACAACACTGAAACAAAATAGTTCATGTTACTGCCTTCGTACTTCTAACTGAAGTCTAATTTTAGTGAAATATTTTTGAATTGTAAAGGCTAGAAGTTTGTAACCTTCAGCATAATTGAACGTTTATTTTCCTACGATTAATTCCGTCTAGAATGACATGTGCAAAATAATGCAGTCATAGTAAACTTTGGAAGGAAACTTGGAAATCATTTTGTCAAACTATCTTATTTATAGATGAGAAACTTGGGCCCAGAGAAGTTCTATGATTTGTATAATGAAAGAACCATAATGTTAGCAGCATTTGTGTTTTCCAAGCAAAACAGGACTAGGCAGAAAGTTGAATTGGTTCCCTGAATAATTCAGATCAAAAGAAGCTGAGGTATCTGAATTCAAAAAGCCAGATTGTATGTTTGCCCTCAAGTATCAGGACAAATTTTATTTGGAGTTCCGCATATCCACACCATTTGCATGCCTTCTGATTAAACACTTAGTCAATGGTGACTATTTAAGCATAAGAAATTCAATTCTCATTTTCACTAACATTTATTACCCATTTATTATGTGCAGACACTGAGCTGAGTACTATACATACTTCATGTCATTGAAGTCCCGCAGTTCCATAAGGGAGGCAATATCATTATTTCCATTTTGCAAAAGTAGAAACTCTGAGCTCTTATATGGAGAAAATTCAGTACTCTGCTAAGGTTTACACATCTAATAAGAAAAGTAGATGCTCAAGGGGGAAAAACACTTGCATATCTGACTCCAAACTATACTTCTCAGCCTGTATGCAGACCTCAGTCGGTGAAAAGTTTGTTGGAGACACTGGCCCGGCTCAGCCAAGAGTTTCTTGGGTCCCTTTACCTGTTGTTGGTGTGTCCCCCACCTCTTCCTCTATGGCCCTGCTTCTCTGGCTTGCATCAGGGCAGAAAACTGCCCTTCAGCTCCTGATTCCCCTCTCCAAAGTCTGGCCAGTGTCAGATATGAAGACTGGCTCCCGTACCCCAAGTCAGTCCATCTCTCAGGTTTGACTTATACTCCAGAGCTCCCTGGCAGATCAGACAGACTGAGGATGCTCGTTTGCCTAGCACGACTCCCTGGCCTGGCTTCCCCTTTTCTGTGGTCTGCTTACCTCATCTTTCACCAGTTTCTCCTGGAAGCTCTTCCTTCATGCATCGATTGCACAGAAATCTTCACATCACATCTTCTTCTCAAAAGCCTAACCTGAGATGCTTGTGCTTGTACCCCAGATGATGGGAAGATGTGGACTCTGGTGGAAGGCACATGATCAGATCCCTTTGTTTTCATGTTTGCATCTCATTCCTCTGTTGGATATTAAAGAAGTGTTCCTGAATCATGCAGGAATAGTCTCTGAGGAAATTATACTCTTCTTCCAACTCCACACAAGGAGGCCTATTTGGATAAAATTTTTCCAGAAACGATTACATACTTTTCTCTTTCAGCCCTGCACAATAAAACATTCAGTCCCTTGACTCTCCACATTCTCCAAGCAAATTAAGAGTTATGTCCAACTTCACTGAAGATCTTGCAGAGCCCTTCTGAGGGTGGGTGATCCAGAGCACAGTGACCAGTTGGACAGCAGTGTGTGTCTGTGCATACCTGTCCCACGGGCTGCCAAGAGTTGCGTGAGCCTGACCACATCCTCCCTGCTCACCAGGCTTCCACCACTCCCCAGCCTCTTGAGGGAGAACAAGTTTCCCTGGCTTGATGAATGATACCCTTTGGCCCTGTCTCTGCTTGTGCCACTAGCTTTGTCTCCTACACTAGCTACCTTGTATTTGATCTCCCTCACTATGAAATCATCCATAATTCCCCAAACCCAACCTGACACCACTTTTGATTATGGTCAGACATTTTTTTCCCTGGGAATTCATCCAGAGCTCTCATCCAGAATTCTACAGGAAATCCATTTTCTCCACTTATAGTACTGAGGCAGAAGCAGTGGCATCACATTTGACTCATCCACATGGCTGAATATCATTTTAAATTGGTCTGTCTGTTTGGTGACAATTCATAAACCCCGGGGATGTTGTCCTTTAAAATGAACTTCTTTGGTCAGGGACCTCAGGATCCTCTAGTCTGAAGCAATACTCTTCCTCTCCAAGGAGGAAATGTGCCACCCCAATAAGAGAATTCTATTTACCCGATTATAATGTATACATGTTTGGAACCCACGTGGTTGTACTCAATAGACATAGGTGGACCTCTGGAGTCAGGAGACAACTTACACAAACATTACTGGGTCAAGCCCTTTGCTTACTGGAAGGCATGGACACTTCCAGTTACATTATCATGCACCTTCTTCAACACTTACTTTATCTTTTTGCTTGACAGAGACTCAGAAGTGTGAAGAGATCCCCGAGGCTCTGTTTTTTTCTTTATATAAATTGAATAGAGGCATTGAAAAAAGAAACCTATGAGAACAGAGGTGAAGAGGCAGCTGTGGCTTTTCCTTGAACTCACCTTGGTGGTCATTCTACACCAGGGGACAGACCAGAGATGTCAAAGGACTAATGGTCCGATTCAGAGGCAGAGATCACAATGTCTCTCTGCATGGTTGCATGCCTATGGGTTTCAGTAGAAATTATTTAATCATGTCTCATGTGAAAGCTCAATTTAAATACCAATTCTCCTTATTTCACAAAATGGAATAAAGCTATGAGTAAGAGGATTTACACCCAAGACAACATCGCCATTGACACTCAATCAGGCTTTCATAAATAAAGTCATGAAGAATTCAAGGCAACTACTTTGATTATTTGAGTCAAAAATTTATAAGTGTATTTTCTTTTCCTGGGAGGAATTTAAGAGCCAGTTGAGGAGAGGAGAGAGCCATATGTGGACGGTGACCCAAGAGTGTAGTGGCTGAGTGGAGCCATTGAGCCAGGCAGACTGAGGAGAGAGGAACTCACTGTGGCAGTGTGTCAGACACGGGCTTGCAGAGGTCAAGTTTTCACTGCATGGGCCAAGTCAGAGATGACATGCAGATTCTAAATCAGTGTTATTTGGTCCTGATGTCTTAATAAATAGTTACAACTATGCAATGGTGATACTTTTCATTTTGCCTTAGTAACAATCTGTTGATATATAGGAAATGTCTGAAATTCTGAGTCTAGACAAAAATTTGTGGCTTCTACCACGATTTAAGACATTTAGTCTCTGCTTGTTTAGAAATGTCTACGTGGATGCTGTTCTGATGCTGAGACTAACTGGTCAGATAAGACCCATAGGATGCTTTTGGTTCCTCAAATCTGCAACCTCATGAGGGAGAGAGATCCAAAAACTAGCCCCTGTGTAACCTGTGATTAACAAGGCCCTGTGAGGAGAGCCCAAACAGAGGTCTCTGTTGCAGAGAAGATTAAGAGAAAGCAACCCACCCTGTCCCAGGGAAGCATGGGGTTTGCTAGAGTAGGCCTTTTAACCATGTCTTAAGTAGCAGTGGAGAAGGGGCTAAGGCAGCATGGTAGTGCACACAAAGACCCAGACTCAGGCACCGGGAATCAGGGGCCCTGAAGCCCTGGGTGTGTGGCAATAAAACCTGCTTCTTTAGTCTAGGTGTACATCCACGTGCATGAACAAAATAATTTCATGTCATGGGAGCATGGATTTCTCTTAATTATTTGCCTTAGTAAATTTAAATACGTAACTGTGCATTCTGTTCAATTCAATTATACCACCAAATAATGCAAATTGATTTACTAAAGTATAAATTGTAGGTTTTGTATTCTTTAGCTGGTAGACTTCAAGGCAGTGGTTTAAAATGTTAATACTTAGACTTTTGCCCTTTCAGCTTGGTAAGGAAATATAAAATGTGTACTTTGCAATAATGAAATAAAAGGAGTCTTATTGGTAGACACCACTTCAACCTGTCCCAGTCCAACAGAAGGCCATACATAACTTCCCTCTCAGGCTTTGGAACTCACATGTCCTCAGATGAATACAAACGAGGGACAAAAATCCTTTTGTGTCAAGCCTCCACAAATGTTGAATCAGTTACCAGTCGATTTAAGAACAATTGGAAGCTTTTCCTGTTTTAAGATGGAACTGAAACAATACCTCGTGATGACTAGAAGTTGTCATAATTGTTTTAATTGATGTTATTCTTGTGTTATCTCCGTTTATTGTGTATTTATATGCGTTTGCTTATCGCAGGTCATGCTTGGAAATGGGCTTTCAGCTCCATTTACATACACAGTTAACAAATCAATCACGGCATGTATGTATATTTCTCAGCCCCACTTGTTTATATCAGATGGGCCTGCCATATGTAGTCTCTATACATTTCATGCCCACATGTTTATATCACACAGATAATCCATCTGAGATTGATTTCAACTTCACTTTTAAGTCCGGGGGACTGACAGAGCAAATATGCATCTTGAAATACGGGCTGAAGTTGTTATTTTGCTACAGAAGAACAAAAAGACCTAATGCGTTTTTTTTTTTAACTCTTTGTTATGGATCTATTTAAAGTGATGTTCCTGCAGCTTGTTGTTAGAAATTGCTGGAGAAGAAAGTTGCCATCAGAACACTGCAGTTCTCTAATTTCACACTAGGCTCTCCTCTCACCCCACCCCCACTCCCCCTACCAGCACTAAAAGCAAAAAGATGGTGTAAACAAAGCCACAGAGACAATCACTTGCAGAGCAATGCATTCTAACATTAAGCATTTATATCACGGCTGATGGAGAAATGGCATGTTCAATTTACACTCTATTTATAAATGATAGACGTCTATACACACATTTCCTACCTGTCTTTCATATCCCTATATCCAAAACAGGGCAAATAAACCAACAAATGTGCAAGGAGATATGAGGGAGAGAGTGTGCCATTGTTTCATCTATTCCATTTACAAACTTACAAGCCACAAATACACATCAGGGAAATGTGTTTTTCTCAGAGGTTCCTAATGTTGATGTGTTAATTCAGACATAATCGCAGCCACGTGGCCGCTCTTGCTACAAGGCAACACCTTTGTCGCTTTCACTGGGGTCTGTGCCTGGTAGTGCACAGGATTGGGTGGACAAAAACACACTACGGAGATCTGACATCTTTGCACCATAGATTATTTCATCATCCAAATTGGAAAGTAATCTCCTATATTTGGACTTTTGTGGGAATAAACATGTGAAGAGCAAAGTATCTCCTTTAAGGGATGGGCCCTTAGAAGTTGCCTGGCTCTTCTATTTCCTTTAATAAATATCCAGATCCAAACATTAGGCAGGATAGTGGCATGTAAGCAAATCTTCTGGGGGACAGAGGGGGATTGCAGTGTGCAAATACTATGAAAAAAACCTGAAAAAGCTATTAGGGTCCATTGTGTCATTCCAGCTGCTACACAGACATACTTAGTACATGTGTCAAAAATGCTTACTAAGTTTTTCTCTTAGAGGAAAATAAGCCATAAGTACACAATAGCCTTTGTCTCTTTCAAAGCTGGATAACACAAGAGCTCTGCACATCTGTATCGAAGGTACCCGTGGTTCTGCACCTAAAGCTCTCACTCCTGCTCCATATGGTTTGCTCTAATATCTCTGGGTGCCACTCACCTAACTGACAGGGGCCACACAAAACTCAGTGCTGGGGGCACAGGCGGATGCAGACTGGGCAGACACAGCCTCTGCATCAAGTGCCTTGAGTGTTCCTTGTTCCGTTCCAAAAGCTCACACTTTCAGAACTTTCTGGAGTCACATTATATGTTCAAGTCAACAGACATACTGGACACTAATGACCTAAAAGGCTTCACAGTGGTTGAAATGTTTACACCACAGTTGCGGGAGCCAATGAGAATGACCACTTTGCAAATACTTGGGATGAGAACCAAATGTGCAGAAAGAGGTGAAGTTTTCTTAGGAAAAATAACCAGAGCCCAGAGAAGACTACAAAATCCATATAGAAAATAGAATCATTTAATTGTAGAGATCGAGGAGACCTCAGGGAGAATATGGTTCAAAATAGGACTGGAGGGACAAAGTAATTATTTGTAGAAAATTGCCATGTTCATGGCCAGAGACAATGCAAGGGGCCAGGTCTCCCGACTCCCAGCAAAGAGATCTTCATGCCAGGCTATGCCTTCCTCACCATATACACATGCACGATTCCTCTCCAGAAATCTTTTTCATGAGGTTCCAGAAAGAAAATAAATTATATGAATTAAATTATGTGATAACATATGTGGAGAACAACTGATTTTATGTAAATAAACTCAACAACAAATTTATCAGTGGAAAGACATGTAATGATTCCCTGTGACCTGAGGGCTTTTTCATTTTAAGCTTAGCCTATAATAATATTCTAAGACAGAGTTGAAACTACCAATGTCCTGCAAAAAAAAAAAGGTGTTTGTAAGGATTCCCAAGTGAGCCCCCTCTTTTTTTGTACCTGCTGTGGTTCAACTCACATCATCATAATATTTCTCATGACAAGGATCCCATTCAAATATCAAATTATTCTACTGTAGGCCTATGATTTGTCACCAAAATTATGTATTTCTAATCATTCACTTGCAAGAATCCTTTGAATTTAGAGGATCAATTTTGTGAGTAGAACATAAGTGTAGCATTGCAAATGAGAAAAGCCAACTTCAACATATCTCTGGTGGAGAAGTGAGTGAGTATTGGCTGTGCCTGGCTATATGGTGCGTGTCTGCAACCACATCCCTTTTGGTGTTTATGACAGATAATCTAATAAAGCATAGTGCAAAATAGAATGAGCGGCTTAGTAAAAATTTAAAGCAAATGAGATGGTTTCATTAAATAACTATTTTTAAGTATACATCAGTGGCAGAGTTTTAACAAATAGTCATGGTTTTCTTTTAAACAAACGATGCAGTAACTAAATTAGTACTATAAACTCAAGCGCTGTTGCAAAGACAAGAGATTGAGTCAGACAGAAGGGAATTGGCTACAGCGTGTTGCTCCTTCTTACCCAGACTCATGTAGTAGGTGGGCTTTCCCTGCATGGCAAGAGTGGGTACAGGGAGAGGGTTGGCTGGGAGTTGGTTGGACTCTGCAGTGACAGGAGAAAATTGTTTATTTTACTCATTTATGAAAAATTGGTGGAGCCCACTTGATGCAGGCACTATGCTAATTGCCAAGGTTATAAAAACACGTAAGACAGGGCTTGCCTTGAAACCATCCTGTGGGGAGGAGTAACAAGTGCTTAAGACAAATAACTACAACACAATGAGCTCTTTTGTGTAGAGGTCAGGGGCCACAGAAAGCATTATCAAGATGTTACCTGAACCTTGAAGGTTTAAAAGTAGATCTCAAGGTGGCTGGTTGAGAGGAAAGCATTCCCTTAAAGGTCTAAAAGTAGATCTCAAGGTGGCTGGTTGAGAGGAAAGCATTCCGGGGAGGAGCTAGTCCAGGGAAAGCTCAGAGGCCTAGAAAATGCAAACACATAGGGTGAACTTAATGTTGCTTAAGTATGCGATTATGATTGGTTTGTCCCTTAATCTTCAGGCTTTGGGTATTTTCTAAATGCTATGTGATAAACTTTTATCATTTGTATAATCAAAAATAAAAAGAGCTACTGCTCCAAAAATCAAAGAAAGATTGACAAACGAGCTCATGCATGAATTTGGGTTTTTCTCTGTACCCAATGCTAAGAGTCAACAGGGTTTTTAAAAAGGCAACTTGGATGGTCAGAGTTGCTATTTAGTATGTGAAGCCAGCATCGGCCAAGATGTAAATGGCAGAAATAATTCCCAGAAGGTGTAAGAGATTTGGAATTGACTGGATTTACAAATCAGAAATTCAGAAACATTTTTTGTAATCTTCAATGCCAAAAGTAATTTCCATAAGACTACCTATAACATTCTTTAAAAAAATTCAAATATCTCCTAATTTGAGTCTCAAAATTTCTAGCCAAATACAGTTAGAATGCTGTGTTATTGATCGTTAGCGTGGAATAAAGATTATCTAGTACAATCTGATCGCAATTTATTCTTAAGGACTTATTTCTTTTAAGGATATAAAGACACATCATTCATTAATGTAATTGAAAAACATAAAAAGCCAGCAAATACAACAGTGCACTGTTTAAGGGGTACCTGGTTCATGTTCATATGCAACATGCTTTTCTGCATGGTAAACTTCTGCTCAGTGGTGGTGAGATGACCTTGGCCATCGACAGGGCCTGGGTTATATTTAGACTCTATTTAGACTCTACTTACCAGGAAATGCAATCATGAAATGTGTAGTATCAATATTTGTGAATGAAAGCTTGTCTTTGAACAATCTATTTGGAAATTTAGAATTATTTTGAAACATGCTATTTTCACAAAGACACCCTGGTAAGATCAACATAGCATAGTATTAAAGTACTTTTATTTTTTATGAATGATTCAAATTGACTGGATTTTAATGAACAATTGGCAGTTGAAAGAGTTTGGGATACATATAAATACATGAAAACTGTAGGACCCTTTAAAGTAATTTCACTGTTTTCATAATAGACAAGCTACAGAATATATTAAAAATCAAGATCATGGGAAGTGAAAAGAACATTTTGTAGCACCAGAGATTTCAAGAGAAGTTAAGTTTGTAATGGGAACTAACCAGGGCTGCTGGTTTCTTGAATGGAGTAGGTGAAGTGTTGCAGAAGTAATATGCATCGCTTCCAGTGGAAGGAACTAAATGAGTCATTATGAAGACACTCATTACTGGCTGTTTCACTTAATGGCTCCATGAAAAGATGTATCAAGGGCTACAAACTTTGTGACCAATGAGAGAGTGGAGAAATAATGAGGTAAACTTGCCCAATCTTTAGGCAGATAAAAATTCCAATAAGCCACAGTAGGGGGTGAGTGTTTGGGGTTGTACGTTCCTTGGTTCCAGGTGCCAAGGGTTTTCTAAAGCCTGACTGAAACCAGGAAATGAGAGGGGGGCGAGGGGTTGGGGGAGAGAGAGAAAGAGACAGAGAGAGAGGGAAGTTACTGGTAATACGATTTTATTCCTTATAGAAAGCATGTTTCAATGTTCTTGTCACATACTTGTTTAGACACTATTGAGTGTTATGTTTCTGTAAAACATTTCAAAGGTTGATGGAAGTTGTACATTTCACGAATTATGAAATAGTACACTGTGCACTCTCTAATAACAGATGTAATAAATGTATTTTGACGCTTATTTAAGAACACTGTTTCTTCTCTTGACAGTATAATGTAAAGATGTAGAATGGGAAACCCTCAGACATATATACTTGTTCCCATTCACATAGATCCCCAAATCAATTATTTAAGCAGAGTAAGAGGATTAAATGACACATCAAGCTACATATATAAGAGAGGACTTGATTTTAAAATTCCGAACCCATCCCAATTAATAACGCATTAAATTCAACCTCAGCCATCTCTAGGGAAGAAGCGTCCACACAAGCCCTCCCTCATCTTCTCGAACTTCTGATAGTGTTAAAGCTCATCCTGATATTTAACCTAAATCTGCCCTACTGCAGCATAAGCCTATTACGTCTTGTTTTGTCCCCATTGACTAATAAGAATAATTGGTCCCCATCCTCTTTATAATATCCCTTTATGTGGGAGTAAAATAGTTATTATGCCTCCCTCAGGTCTTCTTTTCTGTAGATTGAATGTGTCCAGTTCTTTTAACCTTTTCTCATGGGTCACATTTTCTAACCCTTTTATCATTTCTGATGCTCCCTTCAGAGCTCCCTCTCATTTGTTCTGTCTGTGAAAGGAGGGATGCCCAAACCAAGCCTCCAAATGGAACCTGTCCAGTTCAAGTCAAACTGAATAACTGCCTAGCGTGGTTTAAACGTGCGCACTTCTTAACATACACTGTGATCGTCCAGCTTTTCTTGGCAGACAGATCTGTTTGCTGGCGTTTTATTACACCCTCCATTCCAACAGTCCACCTGGAGAGGGGAATTAATTGCCTTTTCTCTGATGACTCCTCAGGCTCTTCTCAACAGGGAATATACTTGCTGGAATCTTTTCACTAACTGGGCCCTTGTTTTGATATCATGTTTCTCCAAAAAAAGCTCTCATGCTGAGTACTAAACTTTCGTTTTCCAAATTATATATTAAAGCAAATTCACCTGATGTGCCTTTAAAAAAAAAAGACTTTATTTTAGAGCAGTTTTAGGCTCACAGCACAATGAAGTGAAAGGTACCGAGATATTCCATATTCCCTCTGTCCCCACAGACCCACAGCCTCCCCACTATCAACATCCTACACCAGAGTGATAGACTTGTTACAACTGATGAAACCACATTGATATATCATTACCACCCAAAGTCCAAAGTTTGCATGTGGGTTCACTCTTGATCTTGTACATTCTATAGGTTTGGACAAATGTATACTGGCATGCATCTACCATTATAATATCATACAAAGGATTACAGTTTCACCACCTTAAAAATCCTCTGTGCTCTGCCTCTTTCATCCCTCCCTCCCCTCAACCTCTGGCAACCACTCATCTTTTTATTGTCTTCATAGTTTTGCCTTTTCTGGAATATTACATAGTTGCAATCATACCATATGTAGCCTTTTCAGATGATAAGTTTTCTAACTCTTAAAATGATCCTCTTCTCAACAGTGTTCTCAATCTCTAGAGAGATGGGATGTTTATATGTGGCCTGGGTGCAGATACAGAAAACTGCAGTTTTCTCTGCAATCCTACCATGGACCATTCCAGCTCTGGGTTCCTAGCTGGGAACTCTGCCTCAGTCTCTTCATGTGTGTATTCTAAAGGAGTATCAGTTCATTTTAGTACTTAACAATTCCATTCTATAGTCTCAGAAAAAAAGGACAAATCCTCCAGCATCAACCATGGCTCTTAAGTTTTATGATCTTTTGATAGCCACGCTTCTAAATTTGAAAACAAAATCACCGAACTATATCTTATCTTCTTTTTACATGAAATAAAATGTGAAATTCCTTTTAAAATTACAAGGAATTACGATCCCCTGCCAAAAAAGTCTCAATTCCTCCCAGCTGAGGCCCCAGGATGATGGAGTAGAGACAAGCACCCCTTGTATCCATTCTGAATTCCTGACCCACAGAATCTGCATGCATCGTAAAACAGTTATTTTTAAGAACTGAGCTTTGGAGTAATTTGTGAGAGAGCCAAGGATCACCAGAAAATTTACCCAACAGTTTTGAAGGGTGTCTGTCAGTCTAGGCAAGATGAAGAGATGTTGAAATTAGGGCATTGCAATTTGCTGCCTAGCTGGTACAATTTTCTCTAGTAATAAATACACAGCAGCAGCTCAGAGGGCAAGACAGTGTCTATATAGGTGTATGAATGTTTAACTCGCCTAAATATCTGTGAAACTATTCTTTACAGAGGAAATGAAACAAAAACCCCAAGCAAATTGTAGCACCCTACAATACACTTTTCAACGAAACTTTTTATTCCTTTTAACAATCAACACTTACTTCAGGATAATTTAAGTACACATCTCATTTTCTAAAAGCTTTCTTCCATGAGTTTAAATGTTAGCAGTTTGTTACAGCACTTCTGGACTCTTCAAAGATACCTGGATTCAGAGTCTCATGTTAGTATGAAATACCATTATACATTTTTTTCTAACAGAAATTGCTTCTGTTGACACAATGCAATTAGCGTGCAAACAAAGAACAAAGTTCACATCTTAGTACAGAGAACACTGACTCTCAGTTTTCACATTCTGTCTCTGAAAGCTGCCCTTGTTTTAGTTCTTCCTAAAACCTTGTAAGACAAAATGAAAAGTTGGCAAATTGTGCGCAGAGATGTTATTTATTAATGAGTTAACTTTCTGCATTCTCATCGTCTTTCCTTTCTAGAGGATGCTGCAAGCCCAGGTAGGCACTATCACTCCGTGGAGACTCTGGGAGACAACTCCTGTTTTACTTTCTGTTCATATCAGATGATTCATCAGAAAATTTCCTTTCTTTTAGGGATGAAAATATGACACAAAGCAAGGCAGAGTGTACAAAGACTTTTCCTTCTTCTGTTTGGTTTGTGTGTCGTGAGGTTTTGGTTTCTAGGCAATGGAATCCCTTTTCCCCTTTCTTTTTTTCTTTTCCTTTCAGACGTTTATGTTCAGGGCATCACGGTAACTGAGCTAAATGCCAAGCGAGCTCCCCGCTGTGTGTGGTCATCCACATGCCACCCATCCCCTGGCCACGGAGATTCAAGCTATTTAATTTCGGAAATGACATTTCTTCACAGTTCTTCCAAGATAGCAATTTATGTCAATCATGCCGGAACCCCTTCTGCCAATGACAATGTCAATGGACTTGAATTTCCTATTGACTTTGGGGTGAGAGGGCTATCTCTTTGACTCTTCTGAGTGGTACCTTTCACTATCATATAGAAAAGTTTACTTCCCAAGGAATTTTCCTTGTGATCTCAAACCTAATCTGACCTTCCTTTTATAGTCGCATAGAAAAGGAGAAATTTTTGCACAGTGTTTTATTGCCAGGAAGCCTGGGTCTAGTTGACTGACTTCATAATGGACTCCTTCTATGATTTTATTCCAGAGAAACTCAGTTATCACTGAGGGAGGAGATAAAAAGTGACCAGGGCACCCAGATTTAGGGACATCAGTGCGCTGTTGCCTCCTTAAATATAAAAATAAACCTGCAAATTGTTTTGCATTGTGTAAATTCTAAAAAACGCTACATTCGTACAAATAAAAAGATGCATCTCTTCTTCAATATTATTGTGAAGCTTTGAGAAAATATGTATGCATCTTGGAGATGGGGAAGGATTAGATTTAAATTCATGTCTAACCTCCCGAATGCATAGCTGGGGTTCTTCTGTGTGTCACTCAGACAAATCAAACATCTGTACCTGAAGGACACAGGTAAGGTTAACAATAGGTATATCATTAAGAAAAAACAATTTTGACAATATTTACATTCCTCCACTTCATTTAAATATGTAGGTGATCTGAATATTTTTATTTTACAAATGGTTTGCAAATTCTATTTCGAAGTGTTAAGAAAAGTTATTGTCATCCAGAAGGAGACAGTGATCTGGGATAAAGGTAAATGAGATGGGGATCAGAAGGGAGCTGCTTCTGCCTGTGCCTCAACTTCCCCATTCCCCAGTGAGAGGAGGGACTCCTGGGCAAGCTTCCTGCAACCATCCCTCCCAGGGAGCTGCTCCTGGGAGCAACACGAGGCCTTCTCGCCACCCACTTTCCGGCTCCTACCTCACGAAAGAAACAGGTGCTGACTGGGTGCGATGGCTCACGCCTGTAATCCCAGCACTTTGGGAGGCCGAGGTGGGTGGATCACCTGAGGTCAGGAGTTAGAGACCAGCCTGACCAACATGGTGAAACCCCCTCTCTACTAAAAATACAAAAATTAGCCAGGTGTGGTGGTGGGCACCTGTAGTCCCAGCTACTTGGGAGGCTGAGGCAGGAGAATTCCTTGAACCTGAGAGGCGGAGGTTACAGTGAGCTGAGATCACGCTATTGTACTCCAGCTTAGGCAACAAGAGCGAAACTCCATCTCAAAACAAAACAAAACAAAAAACAGAAAAAGAAAAAGAAAAAAGAAACAGCTGCTGCTTCTCTAAAATAGGACTCACTGCCCTGAGAGAAATTTCCATTTTTCCTCTGCCTGGGCCAGAGATGAGCAAGTCGATTGTCCTGGCCATGGTGCCCTCACTCAGGGCTCTCCAGGGCCGCAGCAAAGGCCCCTGATCTCTTCTGCACACCAGACTGACTTTCTCTCTCAGAAGACTGCATTACCTTTCTTTTCCTTTCCCTCTCCCTCTTCCCATAGCCACTTCTCTGCTTGTAGGTCTCTGGATCTAGCAGATGGGAGTTTCAAAACTGTTAGCATCTAACTTTGATTAGCACTTCTGTGGCTGGCAAAAATTTAATAATAAGTTGGTATTTTAACTCGTATTTGTCCTCCATCCTTGAGGAAATAATAGAGAGAAGGGATGAATGGTAAGATCTTGTTAACGAAGTCCCATTTCTCCCCAACATGAGCAGTGTGGTGTAGGAGGGAACGGTTACTCCTGTGTGCTGTGCACGAGTGAACTGAAAGCACATGTCAACTCATCGGCAACGTTAGGCGGTGTCCATACTCCTCAAATCAACCTTTTTCCTCTAGCTTTTAAAGAATCTTCTGAGGACCAAATCTTCATAAATCCCATTTTTGTAAGGCTGCTCCAGATCAAGTGTCTCCTTCAGGAGCCTGTGCTCTGTGGCTTATTGTGGGCTAATTGAATGTGTCACTGATGCAAAGCTGATTGTCCAACGTTTGATTTTCCAGTTAAAATTTTGGTCTGGGAGGGGTGTAGGATGGCAATAAAAGCCCTACCTTCCCCTCCTGCTTTGGTATCTATTAAGAAATCAGACATAGGGGACAGAATTGCAAATAAAAATATCAGCTGTGTTGCTATTAAGCTGATTAGAGAATATGGTTTTGATATGCACCCCCCTCGCCAGTTTGGTCATTTTAGGGTCAGGGCCCAAAATGGGCAAAGCCAGCTTCTCTAAGCTTGCAAAGAGCCAAGAGCAGGCCTAAATGCACCCAGCAGGGGACAGGTGGATCCAACAGAGACTAGGCCCACCAGGCTGCACTCATTCTCCCCAATTCACTGCTCACAGTGGTCTCTCCTACCCAACCAGGAAGGAGGGAAGAAGGGGTAGGGAAAAGCTGGAAATGTTTTTCCTGGGTTTTCCACGCTCAAAAAGTGAAACAAAAATTTCCTTCTTTCTATGGTAACACTAGGATTGCACAAGTTTCCTGTTTGCAATTGTGTGAATATTTGTGTCCCCCAAATTCCTCTGTTGAAATCCTCATCCCCAAGGTGATGGTATGAGGAGATGAGATCCTTGGGAGGTGACTGGGTCTTGAGGGAGAAACTCTCACGAATGGGATTAGTATCCTTATAAAAGAAACGTCAATAAGCTCCCTCTCCACTTCCACCATGTGAGGATGCGGCCTGAAAGCCCCATCTATGAGCCAGCAAGTGGTCCTCACCAGACACCGAATCTGCCAGCGCCTTGATCTTGGACTTCAGGTTCCAGAACTGTGAGAAATCAATTCCTGTTGTTGATAAGCCACTTGGTTTCTGGCATTTCGTTATAGCAGCCTGGTCAGCGTAAGACACTCTTAGCACATGAAGCCACCTCCAACATCATTAGGAAATGAAATAAAAATTAGACAGCACTTGTAACATGCTTATCACAGCATCTGCCACACAATAAGCTCTCAATTTGTGTTACTTTTATTGTTGGTATTATTATTGGGCCATAAGAAGGTCGATAGGACCCTCAGATTCCAAAGTATTCTTTTCTAAATAAAACAAAATAATCTACTTGGTATTTTGAAAATGATACCAAGTTTATTAGAAATGCCTTCTATTCCTTTAACAATAGCTCGTGAAGACAGGTTGATGAGAGGTGCAGGCGCAGCTTCCTGGACATTGAAACCTTTTCGTTTTCTGCCCTTGTCTTCTCCTCCTTGATTCATTGTTTTCATGGGCCATAAGCACAAAGCATTTTTGTTTCATTTAGCCTTGTAACATCACATATAGACCAACCACAAAGACTCCTCTCCTGGCCAATGTACCTGGAA
Organism: Homo sapiens; assembly: GCF_000001405.40. Lineage (NCBI taxonomy): Eukaryota > Metazoa > Chordata > Mammalia > Primates > Hominidae > Homo > Homo sapiens. Next base: position 104,480,635 of record NC_000002.12, read on the forward strand.
GTGTCCATTTTAGGGGGTTGAGTGCAAGGTATCCACGCTGCAGCCTGCTCCACTTCACCAGTGCCTGTGCATGCAGAGCTGTCTTGGAGTGATTGTGAGGGAAGCCTGCAGCTTGTCACAGCAACTGAGCAAAGGTGTGATGTGGCCATGTGGACACGAAGGAGTGGCTCTGCCCAGCTGCATTCCAGATGAACATTCCAGGATACCCATGGAATGATGAGTAATTTTATTCCTACCAACATGGTCCCAAATACTGCACTGCTATGTACTTCGTGTGCCAGTAAGCCTTTAGAAATCACAGCTACTTTAGAAGCAAAGTACCATTACCCTTATTGTATAGATGCACAAACTGACTCACCTAGGAGGGAAGTGATTTCTTAGAGGTGCAAGAGTAGTAGGTAACAGAACTGGTTCAAGATCATGCCTTTGTAATACAAACTCAGGCTTCATTTTTTCTTTTGCACCAAGACTGCCCTCTTTGAGAGACAACAATATTTGGTGTGTTTTTTCAGGGGGTGAGGTTCTGGGGTTTCATTTATCATTAAATATGCATTATGCCTCTGCAATAAACTAAGTGCTGGGAATAAGCCATCTCCCCTGATGACTGCAATACAGTGGAGGACACTAAGGGCTGAGAAAGGGTAAAGATGGGGCATGCCATGGGGAAGCACTTACGGGGGATTGGTGCTGAGTGCAGGGCTACTGGTGTTCAGGAAAGCAACCTTGGCTCAGGGAAGAGTGTGCAGCATTCAGCCAGAAGCACGGTCTGCAAAGTGAGGGGTGGCTGGCACCGGAACAGAGGTTACTAACGCAGAGGGACCAGGGAGACAGAGGGCAAAAGATCATCTGAGCCATGTGGAGAACTGGAAGCAGCTCAGGAGAATCAGAGCCAGGGAGAATAGCAGGAATGAGCGCAGCAGTGAGACCCGAGGCTGGGGAGGTAAGCAAGCGTCCAATTTCACTTGCCAAGAAATTGTTGGTGTTAGCCTACAGGCACTGCTTAAGTTTACATAAGCTGCAATCATTGTGACCTAGAAGCTGGGAGCCAAGAGAACAGGTAGGACCTGTGCTGGCAGACACTGTAGTGAGAGATGATGGTGATGATTGTCTCTACTGTCGTCTGAATCTTTTCAGGACAAAGATGTATATCCAGCTGGTATCATTTGTCTTTAAACCAGGTTAAGTTGCCATCCATGCCAAATGAGTATTCATGACAGAGGTCAGGTACAGGTACAGTCAAACTTAAAATCTTGTAAATTACATATAAAATTATTTGAAGCTATTTAACACCTGATAGAACCAAATAAATTCTTTGGATAGCTTCACAACAACATTGCCTATACAGCAAATTGGGGTAATACATGGAAGACGCATTTTTCTTTTTTTGAAAAGGGGACACTTCATCCTTCTGGAATAACTTTTATTTATTTAGGAACTCCTCATTCCAGCTTTCTGAATTTGATCTGGAAGATGGGCATTGTTTGGATATCACAGTTCTTTAGTAAAGGTGGTTTGGCCAAACAAAATCCCAGGCAAATTCTATTTTGAATTCCCCTGGCCTCCACAGAAGCCATCAATTTAAGCTACCTTCTGTCTGGATGTCCCCTGCCAACAATTTGCTGCTTGATCATTGTTTCCAATTGCTAAAGTGACCCTTAACTATGGCTGCTAGAGAATTCCCTGGTTCCCTCAAATCGATGGAGAAATCCTAGAACAGTGGGATTTTTTCGTTGTTGTTTTTTTACCAGCCATGTGCTCCGTGCAAATTCTTTGATAGCTGCATATTCTCGTGCCCTAAATAGGTACTCTGGTACTCAAAATGCTGGTGATATGACTTCAAAAAAGGAGGTGCGGCTGTGAAGACAAGATGCTGTCTAGAAAGGCCTGTGTGGCCTGCCAAAGGCTACCTTTTACAGCACCAGAGAGGAGCAGTTTTTTAGCTTTTGTCCACTGCCCAAATGTTTTGGGAGAAATCTGTACTAGAGTAGCCAGAAAGGAATATAACCTACCTGCATGTACATTAGTTAGGTTATATCATCTGAAAAACTTAAGCATATTATTTTATAGAATTATCACCTCCAGTGAAGCGCAGCAAAGAAACTTCAACTCCTATACCAAGAATGGAAAAGAATTGCTCCGAGAAGGGACTGCTTCTTTTGATCACTTTTGCACTCAGGCTGGAGTGACTCTGCCCTATTCTCTCTCCTCAGTTCCTCAGGCTCCTTAGCAGATGTGGAGGGATGCCTCGGGGGGTCTCAGAAGTCCTGGACTCTGCTTCAGTGAAAAATAGGAGAGAAGCTGCTTTTTGGTTGCTGTTTGAACTTTTCATGAAGAGAGTTCGGATACAGTATTTAAGTGTGTTAAAAATGTTTGGCAGCATTTGCCCATTTATGAATATATTCATTCTTTCTACATCTTTCTACATCTATTGCACATCTTCCCCATAGCAGGAACCATTAAGACTCGGGGGGCCACGAAGTACATAAGTCTTGGCTCTCTGCTCTGGGAGCACTTGCTAGAACAGAGGGAGAGACGTGAAAGCGTAGAATTGAAATACAAGGAGATCATGTTCGTAATCGAGATATAAAGTGACTGCTATGAGAGGACTGCTCAATGAGCCACCAACGCCCTGGGGAATCAGGTCATGCCTCAGTGGAGTGTGATATTTGAGCTTCAGGTATTCTGTGGTTTACATACAGCTCGTCCCCACCAAATCTCATGTTGATATGCGGTCCCCGTGTGCTGGTGGGGAAGGTGGGGCTGGGTGGGAGGTGTTTGGGTCATTGGTCGGGGGGTTCTTTAGTGAATGGCTCGGTATGGGTCTCATGGTAGTTAGTTCTGCTCTCCTTAGACTGGATTACTTCTCGTGAGAATAAACTCATTCCCCTGAGAGTGGGCTATTATAAAGCGAGGACCCCCCTCAGATTTTGTCCTTTCTTTGTTGACCTTCGTCCATGTTATGACCTAGCACAAAAGTCCCCACCAGAAGCTGAGCAGATGCTGGCACCATGTCCCATGAACTTCCCACCTTGTGGAACCATGAGCTACAGAAAGCTCTCTTCTTTATAAATTACTCAGTCTTGGCTGGGCACGGTGACTCACGCCTGTAATCCCAGCACTTTGGGAGGCCGAGGCGGGCAGATCACGAGGTCAGGCAATCGAGACCATCCTGGCTAACACAGTGAAACCCTGTCTCTACTAAAAATACAAAAAAATTAGCCGGGTGTAGTGGCTGGCGCCTGTAGTCCCAGCTACTCAGGAAGCTGAGGCAGGAGAATGTCGTGAACCCGGGAGGCAGAGCTTGCAGTGAGCTGGGATCGTGCCACTGCACTCCAGCCTGGGTGACAGAGGGAGACTTGGTCTCAAATAAATAAATAAATAAATAAATTCCTCAGTCTCAGGTATTCTGTTGTAAGACAGGGACTTATAAGAGGAACTAAGACAGGGTCAAATGTGTTTCACACCCTTAGAATCACTTCAGTTGAATAAAAAAATGTATTGGGAGTGTATGTATTCATTAGTTTACATTATCTGAAAAAATTAGCATATTGTTCATTTCTGTTGGCAAATGCATGGATATGTAACTGCGTTCAATACAAAATACACTGAAGAACTGTAAGCTACAAGTGGAAGCTATCACAGCAAAAGTGAACTTTCTGGTTATTTAACTTTTATATTTAGTACAAAAATATATAGCTTAAATATTTAAAAGCCTTATTTAATTTTTCAAACCAAAGCTGCTTACGTCTTAAGAGCATGAATCATGCTCAAACATGAATTACAAATAAACAGAGATGTCTGTTTATTCAAAATTCAAATCGGGAAGATCAAAAAATAGACATAAAAACAGATTCTACAAAATTTCATTTAGTTACCACTTAATGTCCAGAATGTGCTATTAAAATGAAAATTCTCATGGTTTGTCATAGAATTAGATGATACCAGATTAACATGAAAAAATCATGAAATATTGAAGGGCCCTAGGAAATACTAAGAAGTTAAATTCAGTAGCCTGTTAATGCTAAATATGCTTGATTAAGTAGAAATTCCCTGAAAACTTATTACTCAATATTTTATAAACAGTAACTGAATAAACAAAAACATTTACTTCCCCCCTATCTGTTTCACCTGTATCCTCCCCCATCTCAGGTGAAGGCTGCCCAAACCCTCCAGTCATTCCGGTCAAAATTGCGCATTCAATTTCCTTCCTACTTCCACTCCCCACAGCCAAAGGTAAATCCTACAAGCTTTATCTTCAAAATATGATGGAAGCCTGGGCAACATAGGGAGACCCCTATCTTTACAAAAAAATTGCTAAAAAAATTAGGCAGGTGTAGGAGGGCACCCCTGTCATCCCAGCTACTTGGGAGGCTGAGGTGGAAGCATGTCTGGAGCCCAGGATTTTGAGGCTGCAGTGAGCCATGATCACTCCACTGCTCTCCAGCCTGGGCAACATAGTGAGACCCTGTCTCTTAAATATATGTATGACCAGAGTCTGGCCTGCCCACCACCCATTAGGCTGTCCAATCATACCATTCCTCCATGCAATTCTCCAATGGCTCCCTCCCACAAGTCCTTATGACGGCTTGCAAGACCTTAACAAACCTTGTCATCTTTCCACTCAAGCCTCCTGATACTGCTGTCCTTACTCACACTGTTCTAGGCATACTGGTCCATTTGCTGTTTTCTTTTCTTTGGTTTTGTTTGTTTGTTTTTTGTCTCCTTAGGCCCATTCAGCCCTGGCACGGAGGCAAATTCTGTCTGGTGTGTTCTCTCAGGGACCTGCTAACTCCTTTACCACCTTCAAGTCTTTGTTCAAATGCCACCTTTGCAATAAAGATTACCCCAACCATCCTACTTAAAATTGCAATCTTCCCACTTCCCAAGCTCCCCACTCAATAATCTTTATTCAATATATTTTCCAAAGCAGGAATTACCTTGCAGTACTGTGTAATTTGCACACCTATCATTTTATTGTCTCTCTCCCCCTGTTAGAATGTCATCCTCACAAAGGTTAGGTTTGGGTCTCTTTTCTTCCCTGACTTATCTCTAAAACAACTCTTGGCACATAGGAAGTAGTCATTTAATATTTGTTGAGCCTAAATAACATGGTCGTCTTACTATCGCTACTCCTTTTCCCTCCAATTTCCCCTTGAATCCACTCCAATGATGGCATCACTCTGGGTTCTCCTAGCTTACTGGTCACATCTTCTAGGACTTCTTTGCCAATTCTTTTTCCTCTTTCAGCATAGAAATGGACCATTGGAACGCCGCAAGAACCACTCCTTGATGCCTTCCATTCTATCCTCCTCCCTTCCTAGGTGACCACATCCAGTCCCAAGGCTAAAATCACCAACACTATGCTGTTAGCATCAGATTTACACTTCTAGCTAAGAGCTGAGAACTTTCTTCTCACAGCCAGAATTGTAGTGAGCTCCCCACTTGACATTTTCACTTGGATATTATCAACTAGGCATCTCAATCTTAGTATGCCCCAAGTTGAACCCCTACCTCTCTCTCAAGATATGTTCCTGTGTATTCTCCTTCATCTTAGTTAATGACAACTCGTGCTTCCAGTTGCCCAAGCCAAAAACCTGGAAATATCCCTAATTCCTCACTTTTTTTCATGTCTCAAGTTGTATCATCCAAATATGCCCAGCCTCTGACCATCCCCAGCCATGTCAGTTTGAATCAAGCCTTCATCTTCTCTAGCCTGAATTATTGACTTCTAATTGGTTCCAAATGATTCTCTAGCTTGCTCCAAGGTGGCCCTCCTGAAACATACGTTGGCTCATCTGGTCTCTCTGCTCAAAACCCTCCAATGTCTTCCAGTCTCAATTCACGTTACATCCAAAGTGTCTACCATGATCCATGAGGTCCACGTGATTCGGCTCCCCCCATGTCTTCAGTTTTCCCAGGCTGTCTCTCCTCTCCTCTTTCCAGCGACACTGAGCTCCTGGCTGTTCCACAGGCATCGGGGGCACGTTCCCACCTCAGGGCTTTTGCACTCTGTTCTTTCCACCTAGAATGCTTTTCCCCCAGAGATCCCCAGCTCTCACTCTCTCACTTCCTTCAAGTCTCTGCTAAAATATTACCTTACCCAAGAAGCCCTCTCTGACAGCTCAGAATAAAAGCAACACCCTCAGCACTCTCCACCCGTTCACTGTTCTGTAGTTTTTAACATTCCTATACCACTTGACTTCGTTATATTTATTTATTTGTTTACATCTATCAGTAGACAATGACCTCCTCGAAAGCTAAGGATTTTTCTATTGTATTCACAGAAAAGTGCCTGGTTTAAGCAAAATAGTTTTTAATAAATGAACACTATCTTTCTGAAAACACTTTTACTAAAAGAAAATGTATTCGCTTCCTGGGGTAATAAATACTTCATCAAAATTAGCACATAATTCCTACCTCATATCATACACAGAAATTCACCCAAAATGTATCAAAGGCCTAAATGAAAGAGTTAAAACTATAAAGCTGTTAGACAAAAACACAGGAGTAAATCTTTGTGACCTCTGATTGGGCAGTGGTTTCTAAGATATGGTACCAAAAGCACAAACAATAGATATGGTACGAAGAGCACAAAGAAAAATAGATCAAATTTACCTGATGAAAATTTAAAACTTTTATGTTTCGAAGGACATCTTCAAGAAAGCAAAGAGACAACAGAATAAATGGGAGAAAATATTTGCCAATCACGTATCTGATAAGAGACATATCTAGACTATAGAGATAGTGTGAAGAATTGTTACAATTCTACAACAAAAAGGTTAGTAACCCAATTTAAAAATAAGCTAAGGATCTGAATAAACATTTCTCCAAAGAAGATATATAAGTGGCCAATAAGCACATGAAAAGATGCTCAGCGTCATTAGTCATTAGGGAAATGCAAGTCAAAACCACAATGAGACACCATTTCACAACCACTAGAAATAGCTATAATAAAAAAGACAGATAATAACAAATGCTGGAGGATGTGGAGAAATTGAAGCCTTCGTAAACTGCTGGTAGAGATGTAAAATGATGCGGCAACTTTGGAAAATAGTTTGGCAGTTCCCCAACACGTTAAACAAATAATCCAGCAATTCTACTCCTAGGTATCTATTCAAAAGAAATGAAAACATATGTCCACACAAACACTTGGGCAGGAACGTTCTTAGCCGCTTTATTCTTAATAGCAAAAAAAGTTGAAACAATGCAAACGCTCATCAATGGGTGAATGGATAAATAAAATCCACTTAACGGATTGTTATTCAGCAATAAAAAAGAAGTATTGACACATGCTACAGTGTGTATAAATCTTTAAAACATTATGCTGTGTGAAAGAAACTGGTTTTGAAAGACCAGATATTATATGGTTTCATTTTTATGAAATGTCCATAATAGGTAAATCTATAGAGACAGAAAATGGATTAGTGACTGCCTAGGGCTGTTGAGGCAGGGAGACTGGAGAAGATGGCTAAAGAGTACAGAGTTTTCTTTGGGGGCTAGGAAAATGTTCTGAAATTGTGGTGACGGTTGCATAACTCTGTGAATGTATCTATTTATGAGTTTCCTAGCTTATTGCATTTCTCAGAATGCGAGTCTCATGAGAGTAAGCACTTTATCCTCTTCACTGCTGCTCCCAGAGAGCCTACAATAGTGCCTGGCACATAGTAGGCACTCAATAAACATGTATTAAATACATCCTAGGGGACAGCATTGTTATAAAGACTAGAAACCAACGATGTCCGCAGAGCATATAACAGGCACCTGGAATATGAACCCACAGTAAAAGCAAAATTTGAATACTTCTTGAACAGAATAAATATCTTAGATTGAATCATTTTATTCATTGGCAAAAACAGTTTTTGTAAAGAGATTTCTTTGATAACTGAGAGTTTGCTGTGTTATTAAATGTTTTAATGAAGTGTCCTCTCATAGAAATTGTTGTATCTAAACACACTGGAGCCTCATCTTAATTTTAACTTTGCTAATTAAGTTATACAAAAAGATTTGCAGACAGGATTTCAACGAAGACCAACAGCAGTTCCTGCTTGGTACACAGTATACATTTGATTCTTCTTATACTTTTTAATGATTTTGTAGATAACCAGGCAAATCATGCTGATTGTATAATCCAGTGCTAATAATTATCTTCATGGAATTTATAGTCAATTTTCTAAGGAATCCAGCTATCAGAGAAACATCTGTTTGTCCCTCTTCTGTGATTTGTTTCTTGCTTTTAATTCACTACTGAAACCAAAATGCCATTTAAACTACTTTTTATTCAAAATTCCACATTGCTCATGCAATGGGATATTGGGCTGTCTCACCTAATGTAATTCTACAAAGCTATTTATAGCTGCTGCAGTATCTGAAAGACATAAAAATGGTTATTCCCGGGAGTCTGCCTTGAAAAAACAAACACTAAGATAGCTGGTAAAGTTTGGGAATTGACCACAAGGTCAAAATACAAATATATTTAACACCTAAAGTATCCCACACAATCCTTTATTGAGTTCAGAATTTTTTTAATGAATTTCTCAGTAATCCCCAAACTCGAGTCATTTGAATCACATTTCCTTATTTTACAGCAAGTATTTGCACTGCTCCATTTTGTTCCAGGCAAAAGTAAATTTTTTCCCCTTCCCTCTGTAAAAGGGCTCTTCAAAAAACTATGTAGACATCACACAAAAGAGAATCAACAATAAACTCCATGTAATTACTGTTAACCAAATAGGTCATTAATTGTTGGAAGTAATGTATGTTTTAAAAATCTATATTTACATTTAAAAAATATTTTGCAAGTGTGACCAGGCTTTTTGAAAGGTACTTGTTTTTCTATATTAAATGTACAATAATTGAGAGCGACATAATCAAAAACATCTTCATGGCTTGTAATAAAAAACTGAATATTTCCAATAAAATGGCTGTGTCGAAAGCTAGTTATGTTTTGGTTTTCTGCTCTCTTGCTAGGGTTGTCATGCTAAAGGAAATATATTTACCTGGGCTCTGGGAAGTGGTGGTCTGGCCAGTGGCCCCGGTGGTGGCTGCAGTTGCATGAATGGTGTTTACACTGTAGTGATGGTGTCTGCGTCACCTCCAGCGGACAAGCTCTACCCACACCCAGATTCATCAACAACGGCTGTGGTTCTTCTGGAAGGATCTAGAGAGGAAAACAGGGAAAAGGAGGAAGCTCAAAACAGAAATGAATATTAATCCACATCCAAAGATTTAAAATAATAATGTAAAAACCAGTGTGGGAATCCAAAGTCCTACTCAGACTTTCTCCTATTTAGCTATTTTCCACTTATTCAAGCAACATTCAAATGAGAATCAGAGAAGCTCCAATTTAAGTCACTTCAGCTTTGTAAATACCAGGAACAGATGGAATAGAATACCTAGAACCCTTAGTCTTCCTTCCCAGCTTGGCAAAAGATCACATGCTCCTGTGACCAAAATTATATTCTAAATTTTGACCTATTGTGAGAGACTATCTAGCTCTTTAAAATATTAAGAATTATACCTTGTCTACTGCACATTTGCTACAATGCTCTCAATTGAATCTGATGATACTTCAATTTGAAAGTACTATTAAGTCATGGGCAAGCATCCTTTCTTTAGATTTAATATTCTGCAACCACACTCTGTCTCTTCTGCTTGGAGACCAGAGTCCTCTGAGTCCCAAAAAGGATTTCAGTTCACGTCTTTCTTGCAATGTTTGCAAGATTTCTCTGACCCTTTCCTAAAATGATTTGCACCCATACTCCAGCTTTAAATGAAGGCACTGCTAAACCCGTGCTTCATTTCCTTTTCCATCCTAGTGCCCAACAGCGATTTAATCTCTAATCCCTCTGTCTCAGTGGTTCTACCAGGTGGAGGAGGACTTGAGTTGGCCTATGTTCACCATCCTAAGGTTCACCACACTGAGGTTCTCCACTACCCAATGGCAGCTCCTTACCTCAACAAGGGAAGTTTATTCCCCCAGCCGTGACCCCGGCACCTCTCCACACCATGTATCCTGTCTAGTGAGTGAGTTGCCTTGTCTTCTAATGTGAATACTCCTCTCCTGCACCTTAGAAAAAACTTCTGCATTTTGTTCCTTGTTCATTTTCATTGTACATGCTTTTTATCGCCTTCTCTACTGCCCTACAACTAAGCAAGGAGAGTTAAACTATAACAACAATAAAAAATAAAATTGGAAAGAGAATTACTTCTTCCTTCCACTCATAGAAATTGAACATCAAAATCGCAGGGATTTCAGGAGAAAAAAAAAAGTTAATCTCATAGAATGTATTGATGTCAGGGGTGTGCAGGGAAGTGGAGAGGATAGATGCCCCCATCCTCTGACCTTCAAGGTCGTAGTTATTCCAAATTCTAAAAATATATACTCACCTGAACAGTTTGTGTTTAACCACTAAAATTATGCAATGTTCCTCTTTAACTGTAATCATGAATTTTGCCACAAATTCTTTTTTGTCTGAAGTAAATGTTGTTGTAATAATTAGATCTATTTCTGTTCTTTTATTTCCAATATTTCTATATGATTTTGTTTCATATAAGCAGAAGATAGCTTTAAAAAAAAAATTCACTCTGGCCAGGCACGGTGGCTTACGCCTGTAGTCCCAGCACTTTGGGAGGCCAAGGTGGGCAGATCCCCAGAGGTCAGGAGTTCGAGACCAGCCTGGACAACATGGCGAAACCCCATCTCTACTAAAAATATAAAAAAATAGCCAGGCATGATGGCAGGCATGTGTAATCCCAGCTATTCGGGAGGCTGAGGCAGGAGAATCACTTGAACTCGAGAGGCAGAGGTTGCAGTGAGCCAAGATAAGGCCACTGCACTCCAGCCTAAGCGACAGAGCAAGACTCTGTCTCAAAAAAAAAAAAATTCATCTGCTAGTGTCAATCTTGTAATAAATGGGTTTAATTTATAACATTTATTGCAATTTCTGATATATTTGGAACTAGTTTTACTGCAATTCTTTTCTTTGTACCTTTTTTCTTTACTTCTAATGCTAATTTGTTTGATAAAGCTTTCTATATTTCTCTTTTAAATTAACCTCAGAATATTAACTACAAATGTTTCTGATAAGATCAATGGTTATTTGATGTCTCTATTTCCTTTCTGAAAAAGACAGGGGACTTAGCTCACGTTAACTACACACTGAACAACAATCTGTTTTACATTAAAGGGTGTTCTGACACACAAAGGGTGTTTGTCAATTACATTATCAGTTTTACTATTATTTTTTTCCATCCAACTCCTCTCAATTTTATTTTTCTTCTTGGAGAAGTCATTAGGAATTTTTCTCAATGAGGTGTGTAAGTATTAAACCCTATCTTCACACTTCTGAATTTTAAAAAATATTTCTCTTTTTATTGATTAATAAATTAGCTGGTTATAGAATTCAGGGTTGATAGCACTGAAGAAATTCAGCCTTTGTCTTCTGGTATCATTTATTGCCAGTGAGAAGCCAACTGTCGAACTTAAGTTAAAGTATCTTTCCTTTCTGGTGGTCTCTTTTATGTGATTCTGTTTCACTGTGATATCTCTAAATGAAGATTTATTTTCTCCTTATTTTAAAATTTTTGGTTTTGTTTTTTGGAAGGGCATTTTTAATCTAAGGACACATCTCTTTAATCAATGCTGAAAAAATTTTAGCAGTCATTTTATCTAATATTACTTCACCATTTCTTCTTTTTTCCTTTTCTGGAAGTCCTGATTGACCTACTTTAGAGCCTTTTGACCTATCTTCTATAAGTTCATAAATTTACATTTATATAAATTTAAATAAATTTATATAAATGTAAATATATATATTTTCTTCACAGTAAATTAATTATAGAAATATAGAGAGAATATCTATCTACCTATCTCTCTATATGTATGTATATATATACATGTATGTATGGGTACATAGAAATAGATGATAGATGATAGATAGATAGATAGATAGATAGATAGATAGATAGATAGATGATACAAAGATAGGAGTAATCTGAATGAAATCCTCAGTACTATCTCTCAATTTTATATTTCCTTGTGAACGTGTCCAATATAGAATTTACTTCAATATAGTATTTTTTTTGTGAATTACTACTTTTTTTCCCAAGATTTCCAACTTGTTATTTTACACAAATACATTTTGTTTAACTTCTGTCTTTTGTAATGTATTATTCTTGTTACACATGTTGTTCTTTCATTTTATTATGATTCATAAGCATACTGAAATCTTTTCCAGCATAGTCCTATTATTATGATTTTTATCTATTGTGAATTTATATTTGGATTGTTGGTGTCTTGGCTGTCTTTCTCAGCACTAGGATTCTGGTTTTTTTCTGGTTTGTTTGTTGTTTGCTTGAGACAGGTCTCACTCTGTTACCCTGGCTGGAGTGCAACTGTGCAATCACAGCTCACTGGAATCTTGACCTCCCAGGCTCAAATGATCCTCCCACCTCAGCCTCCGAAGTAGCTGGAACTACAGGTGCCCACCACCATGCCAGACTAAAATTTTATTTTTTGTGGTGATGTGGTCTCACGATGTTGCCCAGGCTGATCTCAAACTCCTGAACTCAAACAATCCTCAGGCCTTGGCTTCCCAAAATGCTGGGATTACAGGCACGAACCACTGTGCCTGGCCTAGAATTCTTTAACACAGTTCGAAATTTTGATTTGTAGCATCATGTGTAAAATATTTGATTTTATTGTGTGCAGTTCACCCCCTTTCTTGCTCTTTCTTAGTGTAGAGCATTTTTTTTTTTTTTGGCGTTCTAAGTGACATCCCTGTAACCTTGACTCCAGGACCAGTGTTACAGTGGTCACAGGAGCTTCTTGCCTTGCAATGATATTTGAAATACACTTTTCAGGGAATAGCTTCTCCTGGTTCTTGATACTAGAATGGTACCAATGTCTTCTTTCTTTTTGGGCACATAGCTTCGCAAGACCATAGTCCCTGAGAGTAGCAGGGACCAGGTTTTTCCCTTTTCTTTCACCAACCTGGGAGGTCCACTCTAGACCTTTTTCAAGCAGTAATCCCAATTTTCCGCCCCTAATTTGCTTGAAGTATCTTTGGGCCCTGTTAACTACAGTAGCAAAATTTTGTTCATTCTTACACACTTTAGACTTGAAGTCCAATAGGAATCCCAATTAGCCTGAGAACTTTGCAATTGTGTTTCTTTGCTGGTCTGCTAGGAGACTTATCCTGTTATTGAGCAATATTCTCTCTGAGTTTTGTTTTTTTTTTTTCTATCACTGATAGACATTTGTTTGTCTGGCTTCAGTGACACAGGAGTTCAGAGTAGCAGCTCTGGAGTCAGGTTGTTTCAGTTCAAATATCAGCTTAATCACACACCACCTACATGAACCTGGGAAAATTACTCAATCTCTGTTTATCTCACCTTCCTCAACTATAAAATGGAAATAATTATTGCTGCAAGATTAAATGAGATGACACATACAAAGCGCTAAAACACCGTAAGTGGTCATTGCATGCTAGTTGTGATATTGAGAACACAATTAGGTAACAGTCTTGACACAGAAGTTTGATAGCATAGAATTTCAGTCATAAAAAAGAAAGAAATTCCGTCACTTGTGGCAACATGGATGAACCTGCAGAATGTTATGTTAAATGAAATAAGTCAGGCACAAAAAAACAAGTACACTATTTCATTCATATGTGGAATCTAAAGAATTTGCTCTCATAGAAGTGGAGAGTAGGATGGTGGTTCCCAGAGGCTGGGAAGGATAAGGTGGAAGAGGGCATGCGGAGACACTGGCCAGTGGTACAAAGTTATAGTTAGAGAGGAGGAATAACTTCGGGTGTTCTATCAGTTCTATTGCACAGTAGGGTAGGGTGATGATAGTTAACAATAATGTATATTTCAAAATAGCTAGAAGAGAGGATTTTGAATGTTCTCACCACAAATAAATAATAAATATATGAGGTGATGGATATGTTAAATACCCTGATTTGAATTTTTATACAGTATATACATGTATTGAAACATCACACTGCACCCCATAAATATTTACAATGATTATGTGTCAATTAAAAACAAAAATAAAAGAAGAATTTGTTAAGGAAAGCACAAAAGAAAGCAAGTACCAGAGGAAAAAGGATTAGTTTTCTGATATTAATTTTTCCATTTTTTCCTAATGCATATATCCCTACATAGTTTTTTCTTCCATACTGCCAATGCTAGCAATTTTTATAGACTGGTAGATCATTTTGTAGATACTTTCTATGTAATCTGATTTTCTTGTTTAGCAATATATTATGAGCTCTTTCCTAATAGACTAAAATAAGACTAAAATAGTTGTTTTCACTATTGTTAATAACACTGTTTGAATATTTGGGGACATACAATCAGGGCATTTGAGGTAATATTCTTCTGAAAGTGACATAACAGGATCTGTTTCAGGACTTATGAAACATACTGACAAAATTGTCTTACAAAACATTTTCCACTTTATATTTCTACATTTTAACTTCAAATTCTCCCATCTCAAAATATCTTGAGATGGGAGTAAATCTTGAGATCAACAAAATGAAAATATAAGCAAAAGGAAAAATAAAACCCTGAGGAGTTAGCACTGTTGAAATCAGTAATGCTATTTCCCATTCCTGCCTATAGTTGCAGAAATACAACAATGCTGGAGTAGTACTTAACAGCAATAAATCTATTTTCACATGAAGAGGAAAAATTGTTTCATAATTAATTAAGATGTGAAATTTCTCCACTTTTCAAATTAAGAACGTAGTGCGGCTTTGTCCAATAGAACTTTGTGTAATGATGGAACTGTTTTACATTTATGCTGTCTAGCATGGTAACCACATGTAGCTAGTGAGCAGTTAAGACATGGCCAATGCTACTGAATTGTTTGTTATATTTAATTTTAAATAATTAAAATTTAATCAGCCACATGTGTCTAATGCCTACCATCCTGAACAGCTCAGCAGACTCAGAGTGTTAATGAAACAAGCAAGAAATTAACATCAACAAGAGGTAGAAGTCATTTTGTATAAGATAATGGATCTTTTAATGTATCTTAATAAGTCAAATAAATAATCAAATGATTTGTGATATAAAACAATACTTAACCATTCTTCAATGTACCATGTCTCCCCAAAAAATACTTTCTTCCCCCAAAATACTACATAGCATTTATACTGCTGCTCTTTCTGAACTATATCTTTAGGAACAAGAAGAAATAATGAAAAAGCAAAATGATAAAGTGGATTTATTAAGAGATTACACATTTCATCCTGTAGGTTATGTAATAATATGACTCCCAAGTCAGGATAAAACTCACTTATAGTATAGTTGATTTATTACGGTAAATATGTATATAAAGTAGACTCACAGTTTACTTAGAGGTTAAGACTTTAGCTCAAGTGAAAAACAAGATAATCTAAAGCACCTTGAAAAAAGGTTCTTTACATCCTCTATAAAATAATGTATGGTACTAACTTTCAATAAATTTACCACAGACCACATTTTCCTGCCAGATTGGAATAAATTATCACTTCTGAGGCTCTAGCTGTCTTCTGTTGAAACAGCATGCTGTGGGAATAGCATATCTGGATGGAAACTCACCAGAATCCCACTCGGAGGAGAGGTGTCCATGCTCTGGAGCCACAGGAACTGTGGACATTTGAAGAGCAACGGTCTTAGGCCCCCTCATTCCACTCAGCCCATGGCAATACCATCAAGTGGCAGGCAGACGGGGGCTTTGTCCCATTTCAGTTCTCTCTCTCTCTCTCAATTTCTCTCAGAATTCATGAAGTTGAATTCCAGCAAGTTGTATGTTCATGCAATACTCCATTATAATGTATTTGGAGAAAAGTAATATCAATAGAAATGGATAAAAACTAAAGTCTTTGGCCCTAATTATGTACATTTCAGTTACCCAGAAAATTCAAACCTTCTTTTTTTTTTTAACCATACTGGTAATTAAGGTTTTAGACTATTCTTGAAATCACAAGAAAAATAGAGTAAGAATGTTAGCTCATCTCTGAGCACAATAACCATCTACAAAAAGACTGATCGATTGGAAGTGTGTCCTAATTAAGGTGTCAACACAATTTGTCCACCATAGTCGGGCTCCAGAGTCCATCTACTGTGACACATCTCCCTTCTCTATCTGTGTCTATTTTGGTGCCTTATCGGAGTTATCTGAATGATGCAGTTACTTCTGCGCTATAGCAGAAATAAATAAAAGCATTGACTAGCATTATACGTCTGCTTAGGGGGAGTCCTGATTTAAAATAAAATAATTCCAAATATGTTAGGCAAGAGGATAGAACACAACCAAATCTATAATTTCATTATGTTTAACTCATTCTAAATAATAGTATATGATATTTATTTTTTTAACTTTCATATAAATACTTTTCTCTCTTTGACCTACTCATCCTTCAATTTTTCATTATGGAACTCAGAGCGATAATACTAATAGGACCAAAATGTACTAAGTACTTAACATAACTTACAAGGTCATGATCTTGACCTTCAGAAAAATATCTATACTCTTCACGTGTAAGTTCTTTTGAATCCTATGTTGAACCCTCTAACAAAAATACTTTTCTACATTGACTAGAACTGGTTGCTTCTATATTATTTGATAAGAAGACTTGTGTTTTTACTTCAGGATGAGGTAATTTTTTCATTTCGAATTATTATTTGATTTTCTTCCCATATCATTCCATTTTGAACCAACAAATAAGCAAATTGCCTTGTTTATTAATATTACCTAAAGACCTGGGTCCACTGCTTGTGTGTTTCTCCATTCCACCCATGCTGTTGACTTATCCCTTGTAAAGCAATTTCATAATTCTCAACTCTTCTTTGTTTCTTCTGATTAGTGTTTGTGCTTTCCCATCTCTCTAGTGTGGGATTGCCATTGTACCACATTTGACACATGTTGCTTTCATTTATCCTGTCATCATCCATAGTCTGAGAACTGATATATTTAGAGAATTGCTTTTTTACTGTTTGCCTGCCTTCTTCCCACAAGTCTTCTGCAATATGATTTTCTCTCCCCTGCAGTCAGAATACAGTGAGTAATCACAAAAGACCCTTCTGGAATCAGTACTGTTCCTCTCACTGATCCTCTGGAGAGTTTCTGGCTCTAAAGGAAATGCCTGATTGCGATCCCAGTTTGTTCCGACCATCATATGGTCCGCGCTTTTGTACACAGACTGAGGCTGCAGATGGGAGGACAAAGCTTCATATTAATGTGGACCCTGTAGCAGTTTTTGAATCATGTTGGACGTTTTGCAAAGTCAAGTATACCTTTACTTCTAAGTCCTTTTTCCTAAGCACCCAAAATGTGTTTTGATGTATTACCATCTTTGTCTCCTACTTTCCTAACCTTCTATTTGAGGGGAGAGTAAGGGGTAATATGTATTTATGAATAACACATACATATTTGTGTATCCCACCTTAACTGAAAAAATTGGGATCGTTTCTCTTCCACATCCCTTTTCTGTTGAAGTCATCTAGTAAGATGATTTTGCCACAGGAGGCCCCCAAAATTGTCAGTTGATCCAATGGATATACTTTTGAATTCTCACTATAAACCAAGCCGTGGAGATAAAACAGCACATGGTTACTACATGAAGTCATTCACAGACATGTCACAGGCTGGGAATGACACAAGGAATGCTGGAGTCAAAAACCACCGTCAATATTTTTCAGTAAGCATTAAAGGATCAAGAGTCAAGCCCATAGACATAAGTTAGAGGGCGTCTACTAACTAATCCTCTCTCTCCCATACCTCTTAGCAATCAAGTTGATAAGGATTCTAGTATCGTTAGAAGAAAATCAGTTAGAAAAGAATCCAAGTCCACAAATAGCATGGCTAGCTAAGCAAGCCCATCTTCCAAGTCCACAAATAGCATGGCTAGCTAGCTAAGTGTCCTTAGACCTTAGTATCTGTACCAAAAAAAAATGCAACCAAACCTTATATTTATATTATCACTGTTGCTCTTTCTGGGAATTACAGCTCAACCAAACAACTTCCTATCTCTGTAGCCTCTGGTAATTTACTTAATCGCTCAGAATTGGTTTTCTCATAGACTTGCTACAAAGATTAAATGAGATAGTCCTTATGATAGGCCCAGAGTAAGAGCTCGATAAGTGAGTATTGTTCTTGCTGATGCTGCTGATAATAGTGATGGTGGTTTGACATCTTCTACATGAGCAAAGTAACCCTGTGGGGAGGACCAGAAGTTGAAAAGTATACACTGACAGTGGGCTTTTTGTGCCTTGTCACCAACAACTCAGAAGAACTTGGTGCTTTGCCTGGCAGCACAGAGGGTCAAACGTGAAACTGTGCCAGGAGCTGGAAGGCTCAGGTGGAGGTAGAAGAGGACCAGAAGGCAGATTTGGGCAAGGGAGTGTAATTTAAAGCCAGGTGAGGACAGCAGACTTCCCTAGAGATGAGAGAGTCTTGGCTGGCTGATGGCATCTCTGCTTATATCCTGGTCCCCTAGAGTTCCTCACCAAAGCATGGATCCCAGGCCCAAACTCAACCTGGGTGGTCAGAGGAGTGCAGGGCCTCTCCCTTCATTCCTTGGGCCCAAGAAGAGGGGAGGAGCTTTTACTGAGGCTGAGAGGACTGGTGGCATCTTCTACCCAGGTGTGAACTTTATAACAAATATGTTGTTTAGATTAGGTGGCTAAATGATTCTGGGTTTCCCTAGCTCCATGTTGAGAATGTGTCAGACCACTCATAACTGGCAGGTATCTGAGTAACAGTCCTCAAGAAGGAGCAGATATTATTGTGCACATTGAGCAAAAAGGGCTGTGAAGGGCAGCTGTGTTAAACCATTCGCCTCTGGTCCTGCAATTAGTCCTCCACAGAGCTGGGTCTGGGCCGAGGTCATCGTAAGCCCTTCTTCTGATCTTTCCTGTGGCGACTACTGTCACTTCTTTAATTAAAGCTTGCAATAATTTTTCCTAGCCTAACGATAAGAAAAACAATCATTCAGAAGCCAATAAAATAGGGGAAGCCAAGTCAAGAGGATGGTAACTATTTAAATATCAGCCATATTTAGATATTTTAAATCAAGTAATATGCTAGCAAAACATTCTCTATGCATGCCTTAATTAAGCAAAGATGCAGGGAGGCTATAAAATCCTACAACTTGCAGTCCACTTTTACTTGAATAAACAAAAAGCTCTTATTAGCCAAGTTTCCTTAGTCAAGAAGCAGAAGCGTCATGTCAATGAAGTTAACTGTTAAGAACAAAGTATTTTAACTTCACGTTGTCATTCAGGAAAGAATTTTGAGTACTCTTTTTAAAAAAATTGGCAGTTGTCATTTAATATATGATGTGATCTAAAAGCATATTATTTTTTAATGTTACCTAGGAGATTTCATCAGCTTCATGACACTCTTAATCTTTGGTATAATTGTCTAAATTGATAGAACATCTTTTATTTAACTGATGGAGGCACTGCCTGCCCTTTTATAAGTCAAGTAAACAGGTCTCTGAGTTCTCACTTCCTTTGTCTCGCTTTAAAAAAAAAAAAAACAAAAAAAAAACCTTCCTAAAACTCTCTGATGATGATAAAAGTGGAATTGTTTTAAAAGATAAGAAGCACCCAAATTATTTTCTCTCTGACCTTTGTAGTTTCCAGGACAAGCAGCTTCTGTGAGCAAAATTGTTCAAGTTTTTTCTTACAATGGATACCTGACATTGTTCCCTAAGAAAAACATACTGTTCCTGATAAGGAAAGTTATTAAGCCCTCATCTTTGCTCAGAAAACAATTTAACAAAAATAAAGTTGGGGAGTATTTTAATATTTCTGAGAAAAAGTTTGAAAGAAAGGACTGAAAAATACAATAGATTACATTATCTGTAGGTGCCCATGTAGTTTTATACACTGTGCCTTATTGAAACAATCTAAGATAGGTTTCAAGGATAATTCTTGGCAGCCTTTTGATACGAGCAGAACATTTACATAGCTAAAGTTTAATGCGTTAAAAGTTTTGTAAAAAGAATTATTAGGAGAGTGAAGCAGAAAAATCACACAGTTAAAATTTTATATATCATATGTTAATCATGCTTAAACCTCTGAAACTGGCTATTTCTTAAATTGAGGAGCTCAGTTTCAGATGCCATCTCATTCTAAACTTAAACATGTTTTTGGTTTAAAAAAAAAAAAGTTACCAGTTACCAGTTGTTCAGAGAGGCAGCATGCATTCAAAGGCTAATTCACTGGTGATGAGCTCCCATTATCATTTTTTTCTGGGGTTTCAAAACAAACAAGCATGATCTATGTATCCTTGCAGGTTGCAAAGTCTGTAACAACAGTATGACACTATTGTCATCAATTCTTAACGAACTATGAACTAAATAGCTATGAAGGCAAAGCGATCATAAAACCTCTTCCCTTTACCAAAGAAGTGGGTATTGCTTTTGCAGTGGTTTCTTGCCCCAGCTGGAGGTACGGTATATAGTCAGGGAAAAGGCATGAAGTATATTAGAGCCACATAAAAAGAAGCATACATTTACAAATAATAAGATTCATTAAGGAAAATAATAGAACAGGCAGTAATAGTCATTAACTCTAGAATTCATAACTCTTCTGATTTCTCATTCACAGTAAGCTTTGTGGTATGCTACAGTTTTTAATAGTCTAGCAGCTTTTTTTATTCTTTTTTTAAAAGATGATTGGCTTTGAATGCTAGAATATGCAAATATACATAAAAGACTGACTTTACTGACCATTTCTTTGTGTTTGGGTATATATTTCTGTATGGCATAATATTTCCACTTGCACTGGTTTCCTGGCATGAAAATGTTTATTGCGCTCATTAGCTAAGAGGGTATCGGCACCGGTCCAATGAACACAGATCTGCCTTCTGATTTCAGCCATTAAATTGCAATGGGATTCACAGGCTTAACATTGTGGGTGTGAGAATAGTAAAATGGAACTCCATCCTTAGCCCAGTTACCATGGATGCAGTTAAAGGTCATAGTGGCAGCTGCTAACTAGTTGCCTTTTGAGCTGTGTTTCCCCTCCTGCTCTGTGTTTTCGAGCACTTTCTATGGGTCTGCCGTGGAATACCTTCACCTACTTTGGTGACACGCTAACCTCTTCTTTAAGGCAACGGGCTCCCTCTTTTCAAGACAATGGTTGCCATGGACCTTCTCTTGTATTTATGTGTCATGGATATGATATAGAATCAGAAGGCAAAAGCCTTAATAAAAATACAAATTGTGGTTGCTTCTGCATCCTGAATTACTTTCTCATTTTCTGCACACCGGTCTACATTCCCAACCAAAAAAAAAAAAAAAAAGTGTATAGTAAATTCTCATCTCCGTTTAAACTGGTAATGGGTTCAGGCACTGATGCATTCACAACGTGAAACATCAACGTCTTCTTCATTCGGCCCAAAGTCCTAGGAGTTAATTCCCTGTACTGCATGAGGTGTCAGGGTAATTACCGCTGATCAGCCCTATTTCTCCGCGCGCTGCCCGCTCCTCGGGCCCCCTGTTTACTGATGCACCACCACAGCATCACGGCGCTTTCATTCAAGCAAGCTTCTTCATCGAAAGGGTTTGGACAATGTCGGATTTTCAAAGAGAAGTGGGGGGGAAAAAATTAAAAGTAGCCAAGCAAAATAAAGTGCATGGTAAGAAACCTGAAAGCAGTACAAAATATTCCCTGATGTCAACACTTCATTTCAATAGATCTTAAAACTCCTATTCATTTCCAATGAAGGTACTGTGAGCCTTGCCATGGGCAACATAACTGCATGATCATATTTTGAAATATTTGGGGACCACATAGCTTTAAAACGCCATTTTGGAAAAACATATTCCTTTTTGTTCTGTTTAGAAATAAGTCCCAACCATGTAGCTATATACGCCAGAATACCAAAAAGAAAAAAAAAAAAACCTTACCAAAAAAATGTTGTACCCCTCTGTTTTAAACATACATTTATATAACTTGTCATTTCATAAAAATAAATTAAGTATTATATGAGCCAAATGTTTCAATTCCACACAAGAGTGGTTTCTGGGACTCTTGGCAGGATGCCACTATATTCATTTTTATTTCAGACACAATGTGAAGTCTTTAATTTTAATATACTTTGTAACTATAATGGTTATAAGGCATATACTGTACTAATTCATCCTCATCCTTTCCTAGTCCTGGGGAGATTTCACTGAGGAACAGGAAGAGTTGTTGATTTCATGTCTCTTTCGGACTTTAAAATGTTGTTGAAGAGTGGCCTGGGGTGCAGGGAAAGCAGAAAGAGAGAGAACTGGTCATTGGGCAGTCTGGGCTCCGTGCCCTAAATGCTGGCTGTAGAGTTGGCTATCATCCTTCCTGGTCCCTGGTCCCTGGTCTCCGAGTTCAAGTGATGGCCAAGTAGAAAGGCAAAGAGTGGAAGACTTTGCTGCCGCCTGGGGCTCTTCCCCAGCTCCTGAGTTCCTGCTCTGGCAGCAATTCAGCTGAAACAAGAAGAGTATTGGCGAGTCAGCGGATGGGAGCCTCTCTGTCACTGCCCCATGTGATAGCAGCGTGGGCACTGGCCAAATTCTTCTCCACAGCTCCTTTATTCTCTGAATCCCCACTGGCCAGGAGTCAGAGAACCAAGCAGGGACAAGAACACTGTAGGAGAATCTGGCCCCATTTAATCCGCAGTACCCTGCCAGAAAAAGAAGGAGAGGCTGATCCCCAGTAAGAGGGAACAGAGTGGCACCCACAAATACGTATGTAAATCAATTAATCCCCAGTGATCGTCCTGAGGTTTCCTGGTGACCTCAGAAGCAGAGTGGTATTTCTTCATTAAAGGGGCTGGGTGGAGGTGGGGAGAGAGAGAAGTAATTTTCATAATCTGTACGACTGTATTATTGGGAACACCAGAATAACATGTTTCAAGCGATCACAGAGACTTCAGCTCTACTCTTCCTCTGCCACACTCCTAATCAGAGAATTTCTTCCTGTGCCTTGTTTACTGTTGATATTTTCTGGCTGATTGGAGAGGAATGACATTTTGACAATTTACTGTAGCAGTAAGCACTGTACAAACAAAAGGTGCTGATGAAAACTGGAACCCATTATTATGTAAATGATGGCTGAGTAACACAGAATCCATCTCCCAGTCACCATCATTGAGACCAGTTTTACTCAATGATAATAATTTTCGTGATTGCAGACTTCAGAGTGATCAGAAATATGCTTTAGCTGTTGCATTTATCTACTGCTGGTACTTGACCCTTAATTAAATTCTGAAACTTTTTTATATAATAAAGTAAAATACAGCTGACACTTCTGTTCAAACAAAGAGGCTCAAACACAGATCCACCAAATAAGATAAAGGTATTTCAGACTTACCTCGCTGTATTTATAGTAAACATGGATTGTACAGTGTATTTTGAAAGGGAGCTTAAAGTTTAAAATGCAGATGTGTGTTTTCAAGTAATTTCAATTCTGTACTTCGGCTCTGCTCTCCTTAAATGATGCTGAATCTCTGCAAGCTCATCTTGGACACGTCATAATAAAAAAAAATCTGCTTAAAAGACATTTAAATGTGCTCTGAAAATAAGTTCTGTGGGTTCTTTAAACTTTCCATCTTAATATCTAGACTATTCAAAGTGAGTCTTCAAAACTATGCCACTTATGAAGATCCACACAGCTTAGTAAGCTATTGCATCGAGTTTTGTAAAGGAATATTTTCGTCATAAATTTGTTCTTGTCTTAAAAAGAGAAAGCCAAGGCAAATTTTAAAGCAGCATTTTGACTTTAATGAAAAATTGATTGGCTAAAACAGATGTCAGACTGAAACTACAAAGAGCCCAGGCATTATGCAGGTATCAGTTGCTTTGTTAAGAATGGCTGACAGTGAGGAGACTTTGGCTAATGTGTTCTTATTCCCTTTAAACCCTGCCAATGCTCCAGAGCATTTATTTACCTTGGAGTTTCCTCCCTCTTTCAGGGCAGGAAGAAAGATCTTCATTTAGAATATATTAATAAATACAAGTCAGCTTAAAGGGGCAACAGTGTGAGCCCGGTTTTTAATATTTCCTTAGATATAACCCTTTCTAACCAGGCAGCTCACAGAGCCAATGAGCTAAGAAGGTAATTACTTAAGTGGATTTCATGAAGAGTAGAAAGATGATTGTGCCACATTAAATAACAATTGTGTCCTTAATGATGTGTTGGGCTATAATGCAAACATCCCTCCACCATCACAGGCAGGCGCTCCAGCGTACCTTTCTAATGACTCCGGTGGCTCCCGTCCCCCTGCCAGGACGTGGGGCTTTCAGAGCCTATGTAAACACTAAGTGAGCTGGTATATTTTTTTAAACTGCAGTGCCTGCAGCTGCGTGGTCATTGATAAATTGGCTATGAATTGCTGAAATACTTCATATGAATATAAACATTGTTGTAGTTTTGCAGCTTTAAGAAAAACAGAAATGTACTTGACTTGAGAGAGAAGTCTGCAGTTCCAGAGTACAGCCTTCCAGAAAGTTCCTTCTTTGTTGTGTGTGAAGGATCTATTTTCACAAAATCCAGCGAGGTGGACTCAAAAACTGTGAGGGGGTGGGAATGCGGTAGAGAAAATTCATTATTTTAAAAACTTAAAGATTGAATAAAATGTAAGTTAGCGTTTAAGTATCTATCTTAAATAGAAGCAGGAAATAATATTACAGCATATTAGATTTTATTGCTTCAGAATGTGTAGTATTCTGAATGTCCATGTCCACTTGACTTTGTGTAGAAACATTAAAGAAAGGCCACCATAATAAATATATCCAACACCTGAGTTAGGATTCACATTAGCTGCCACCTAACCTTAGAGGAAGAATTTTCACAGTGATGTAAACTTGAGAGATGAAAAGGATAATTAGTCCATGACTATAAATTTTCCTGTCTGCCCTTGGATGTTGTTATAATGACTATTTCCCCCATAGCCCACATTGGTATCTCTTTGTGGACATGCATGCTGAATCTCTAGTCATTTACTCTCTGATGTTAACATTAACAAATTTGAATTTGAGAGACATGATACAAATAAAATGCACAGTCCAAATGTTGAGAAAGTACTTTACACTAAATCCTAGCCAGTTCTTTAGTATTGTACCCATTTCAGAGAACAGAGAAATAAGATACCTAAAATTGGAAAACTCTTACGAATCTTGACTGTAACCTATATTGTGGGAATTGAAATGAACAGATCTCTTACCACTTTTTTGTTTGTTTTATTTAGGGAATGAAGACATTTGGAGAAGAAGCGTTTACTGAAAGGAGATTCCTGGGCTGGAGGAAAACCATGATCTACAGTTCATGTTGACAGATATTGTATTTTTGGTCCTAGATCTGACTTTTGAAATGACTTATCACAAATTCAAATTTAGCAATCATGAGTGAAGTACCCACGATGTGCTAAGCATCTACCTCTGCAGATAGAAGAACACTTACTGTTCCTGAGCATGGGAGGGAATAGAAGTTCCTGGGTCCTGGCCTCACCTCATCAGGCACTGCCAAATTTGACACCTCCTTCCTGTTCACGGCAGTCCTTTGCGATAGGGTATTAGATGCCACCAAGTAGCTGCATAACTCACCCATTTGGTCAGAGCCTGGGTCTAAGCCAGGTCTGACAGACTCCAAAGCAAGCCCTGTTTACAGCATGACTGGGATCCAGTGGGTAAGACCAACCTGTCAATGCCCAAGTGCAGATGCAATAATAGTGCTTCAACTGATTGTTGCAAACCCCTCATGAGGGATGCCAAATCCCAGTGCAGATGGTAACACAGGCTATTTTTCACCTCCAACCTCTAATATCCTTTCTTTCTTTCTTTCCTTTTTTTTTTTTTTTTTTTTTTTTTGAGATAGAGTCTCCTCTGTCACCCAGGCTGGAGTGCAACAGCACGATCCCAGCTCACTGCAACCTCCACCTCCTGAGTTCAAGCGTTTCTCTCGCCTCAGCCTCCCGAGTAGCTGGGATTACAGGCACCCGCCATCATGTCCAGCTAATTTTTGTATATTTGTAGAGACGGGGTTTCACCATGTTGGCCAGACTGGTCTTGAACTCCTGACCTCAGGTGATCTGCCCGCCTCAGCCTCCCAAAGTGCTAGGATTACAAGTGTGAGCCACCACGCCCGGCCCCAATATTCTTTCTTACTAGACACTGTGTAAGCTAATTATTCAGCAAGTATTTTGCACTGAACTCTAAATAGGTAAGTATTTTGTGTCCATTTTACAGACAAGAGAAATAAAATAGGTAAAGTATTTCCCCAAAGCTATGATAAATGAATCCCATAGCTAGAAATGGCAGAAAACCCATGGAAACTTCTATGGGGAGTGGATGTCTGCCTTACCTTGGCACAATGCTTGGTTCTCAGATATCATTTCAGTGACATTGCCAAATGGGAGAAACCATGTCTGGTACACGGGACTCAAGCTGCCTCAAAATATCCTGAATGCATTTTTTCAGGGGAGAAAATCCATTTGAATAAGAATAGCTAGTTATAGCTTATTATGTGCCAGACACTATTCAAAGTGTTTAATGTGTATTAACTTCTCAAAACCACTCTATAAGTTAGGTACTATGATTTCCATCTCCATTTTACAGACGAGGGAACTGAGCTGTCAAAACTAAGTGACTTGATTGAGGCCATGCAGCTGGCGAGGGGAGGACCAGGATCTGAACCCAACTGGGTCTCCCAAGCCTGGGCCACTGAACCATTTCACCTCTTGGAAAAACTTAATGGTCAGAGTGGCCCACCCAGTCCATGGACAGCATGGAGGTAATGAACTTTAATCAGAAACTTATTGTGCATTGACTGAGCATTTATTCTTTTAAGACAATATGTTTGGATGTCTTTGGTTGTACAGAATTCAAATTATTAATAATGTTCACAAAAGTTGCCCTGTATTTTTATGCTGAAATACAACAAAATGTCAACTTGGTTCCAGTGACCTTTATACCGTACATATTATGTTTATTGTAGTTCTGTATTGTAGCTAAATTTATTATCTAACTTGTTGATGCCAATAAGCTGATGCATATGAAAGGTACCTGCAAAAAAATTATCATATCAAAACACTTCAGAAGAAGCCATAAAAGTATTATGATAAAATATCAGAGGAAGATATAAAATTGGGGGGAGGTGAAGTTATACTTTGCAGCATTTGCTCACGATATTTGAGAGAGTAAACTTTTCTGTCTTTTAAATGATTTCTGAATTTCTCTAACAGTGCTGCTCTGTTTTCTCGGTCAACCTTGCTGGATAGCCCAGTTTTCCTTTGCAGTCTGCAGAGCATGTGGCAGGACTATAGGCCTGTTTTATCTCTTTCTCACATAGCCCTCTGACCAAGAATCTGCGGAGGTCATCCCTCACCTCCAGAGTTGGTCTTGTCCCTAGCACCCACGTGTGCTCTGTGGCTCAGAATGGTCTACAGGATCTTCCAAATCCAAGCACAGGGTAAAGGTTTGCAGTTTATATTTTTAATTTTTAGTACATGTTTACTGAGCTACCGAAGTGTGCCCAGCACTGTGCACACGCTGATCCCTCCATGGAGCATGGTTGGAAATTCCCAGAGCAGCCCCTTTCTCTGAACACAGTGTGACACAACTCGCTGGCTGTTAGCCCCCGCAAGCCAAACGTGACGAAGGCACCTTCAAGACTCTAACAAGAGCCCTGGGCTCCCATTGCATACATGACATCAAAGGCATTTTCTTTTTCTTTTTCTTTTTTTTTTTTTTTTTTTTTGAGAAAGAGTCTTGCTGTGTCGTCCAGGCTGGAGTGCAGTGGCACAATCTCAGCTTACTGCAACCTCCGCCTCCCAGGTTGAAGCGATTCTCCTGCCTCAGCCTCCCTAGTAGCTGGGACTACAGGCACATGCCACCATGCCTGGCTAATTTTTTGTATTTTTAGTAGAGAGGGGGTTTCACCGTGTTAGCCAGGATGGTCTCGATCTCCTGACCTCTTGATCCGCCCGCCTTGGCCTCCAAAAGTGCTGGGATTACAGGAACGAGCCACCACGACCGGCCTATTTTCTTACACAATAGTTCTACTGGGGCTCCCCAGGCTGCAGACACAGAACCTGAGCTTATGGGGCAGGAGACTGAGTGAGGATACCTATGGGGACCCACATGGAGGAAGGGATGGGAACAAGGCAGGACTGGGAGGGAGAAGCCGGACTCAACAGAGTCCAGCTGACCTTGGGGAGCTCTGAAGATAAAAGCCCTTCAATGTGGTCTCCAGTTGAGGCAAGGGGGTCAGGTCTTTATTCCCCTACACTAACCAAAGGCTAATACAGAATTCCTTAGGAAGAGGCATGACCTTGGGCTAGGCTGCTCTCTCCAGCCAGGGACATTTTTGGAAGAGGCTGGCAGCTGATCTGCTACCGCCATGCCCAGCAGCTGATGGAAGGAGTGTTTTGAGTCCTAACGAGATGTGGAGAGCCCAACGCAATATCCACTAAACTCTCCATGTCTTATCTTAAACCTAGAATCGTGTGCCATCTATATTATTAAAATAGAAAGCAAAGAAATCCAGAGAATTAGCAACTCTCAAAAAAGACAGGATCTCAGAGGTACCCAAGGTTAGTGTCCCCGAACGTAGATACTACTCCTACAATGCCCTAGCAGTGAATCATCTCTTTGTACACCTTGAGAGACAGCAGCTCACCACTGGGAACCTCTAGTTGTGATGTGGTTTTTACTTATATCTTCTAGGTGGAAATTGCACTTTGATAACAGTAACTGTATTGACAAATTACGGTCGGTGTATTGAAACTGGAAAAGAGTTAGTATGGTTGTGCAAAATAATTTGGACCTAGGACTGAAATAATGGAGCAGATATTAATCATTTCCTTTAACTTATTTTACAAGATGTTTTCCACTAAGTAGTCAGAATAATCTTTTTTAATGAAAGTCAGATTAAATTTTTTTAGACTCAAAGCTCTCCACAATTGGAAAGTAGCTCATACTACTCACTATGGCCTACGAGCCCCTCTGGTCTGGAGCCTGACCCCAGGTCAGCCCTCATCTCCCACCCACCACTCAGCCTTCAGCCCCTTTGCCACTGCCACGTGGGCCTTTCTGGTGCTCTCCAGATGCCCCCACCTCGTTCTGCTACAGGACTTTGCACTTGATGGGAAGCCTGGCTTGGTGCTCTCCTTCAAGACCTTTGTAAGCTTCCATTCAAATGCCAAGTTTTCAGAAGGGCTTCCCTGCCACACCCCATCTCAGAAGAGCTCCTGAGTCTCTTGACCCCTTGTGCTGCTTGCTTTCTTTTCACAGTTCTTATTAATTTCTAATAAGATTTATACGTGCATGTTTGCGTGCATGTGTTACAAATATATACACTCTTATATACATATACACATACATATATATACATACAGACATGTATACATATACACATATATACCTATACACATATATGCATATTCACATATGTATTGTATCTAGTTGACCTTTGAACAATGAAAAGGTTAGGGCCACTAACCCTCCTCAGCCAAAAAGCCACCTACAACTTTTGACTCCCCAAAAACTTAGCTACTAATAGCCTGCTGTTGGCCAGAAACCTTGCTAGTAACATATATAGTCAATCAACACATATTTTGTGTGTTATATGCACTATATATTGTATCTTACAATAATAAAAGCTAGAGAAAAAGAAAATGTTGTTAAGAAAATCATAAGGACAAGAAAATAACATTTACCATTCATTAAGTGGAAGAGGATCATCATAAAGGTCTTCATCTTTGTAGTCTTCACGTTGAGTAGGCTGCTTGGGAGGAGGAAGAAGAGGAGTGGGTCTTGCTATCTCACGGGTGGCAGAGATGGAAGAAAATCCATCTATAAGTGGACCCATAAACTTCAAACCTGTGATGCTCAAGGGTCAACTCTGTAATAAAAAATGTGCGTGTATGCGCATGTTCTCACTCATAGGTGGGAACTGAACAATGAGAACACATGGACACAGGGTGGGGAACATCACACACCGGGGCCTGCCCGGGGGTCAGGGAAGCGGGGAGGGATAGCATTAGGAGATATACCTAACGCAAATGGCAAGTTAACGGGTGCAGCACACCAACATGTATACATATGTAACAAGCCTGCACGTTGTGCACATGTACTCTATAACTTAAAGTAAAATAATAATAAAAAATAAATAAATAAATAAATAAATGTGTGTGTGTGTATTGAACACATATCGTGTTCGTCACTACGTCTCTAAGCTTCTAGAACAGTTCCTGACACATAGTAGCATTAAATAAATATTTGTTGTATGAAGACATTAATAAATGGCATCAATGAACAAATAGAAGCTTGCTTAAAATGTATAGATAATGTAGTTTGTAAGTACTGAATTTTTTTTTTTTTTTCTTTGTGAGACAGAGTTTCGCTCTGAGTGCAGGCTAGAGTGCAGTGGCATGATCTCGGCTCACTGCAAGCTCTGCCTCCCAGGTTCATGCCATTCTCCTGCCTCAGCCTCCCGAATATCTGGGACTACAGGTGTCCACCACTATGCCTGACTAATTTTTTGTATTTTTAGTAGAGACAGGGTTTCACCGTGTTAGCCAGAATGGTCTCGATTTCCTGACCTCGTGATCCACCCACCTCGGACTCCCAAAGTGCTGAGATTACAGGCGTGAGCCAAAGTGCTGGGATTACTTGGCCTGGCCAAGTTACTGAAATTTTTAAGAAGGGGATGAGAATAAATATCAGCTAAAATAAAATAATCTAATGAATGGAAATAAACATGTTTTTGTACTGAGCTATAGTCAAGGAGAAGAGCATTTATATCACAGTTCCTTTCTAGGCACCTTGACGGCAGGGATCATGTTTCATTCCAGTTGTATTCTCCAAACCCCCACTATGGTACCTTAAATTATTAGGTACCCACTAGATGTTTGTTGAATTTAATTGATTTAGCCCGTTTAACCTCATCATCAAGACAGAAGACCACAGTCCCCTGATGCTGTTATAAATGCAGAAGGCTAGTGTGTTCCAAGTGTCAGTATGTCTTTTTCTAGATCATCTTTAATACTATTAGACTAGTGTACCAATTTTCCTCAATATGTATAAGTAGACTTATGAAAAAAACATTCAATATTGCATTGCTATTTAAGAGGATTTGCTAAGTTTCATATGAATGAAAGGCCCATTGAGTGGAACTGAGAAGGACTAGCCCATCAACAACATTTTATGGGGTGGACTCTTCTCAGCCCCATCGTGGACAGAGGTGTTGCTTTCATGCTTCAAAGGACGGCTCAGGACACACTTAGCTGTTGGAAGGAGGCGTGTAGGGAGTCTGGCTGGGTTCCTTCATTTTAGTTTGGTGAACCAGCCACTCGACCTCCTTAGGAGAAACTGGTACCATGTGTCTTGAAACAAATAAATGACTGACTCTGACATTCCCCTTTTAGGATAAACTGCTTCCCTAGAAATCCTCTCCAGCATTCTTGCCACCACGACTTTGGGACACATTGACCATGAGGAGGAGCTGGTCAATGATGGACAGGAGTCCAGATTAGCAGAGATGTGGTAATAAGGACACCGATGCCTAAATACTTGAAATATCCAATAGGAAGCATTCCACCTTTGTGCAAATGCGAACCACATCTCACCAAGTTCAGGCCAAGGCTGCCACCGGTGACGTTTTGGAAAAGAAAAAAAAAAGCGGGGGGAGAGGAGAGAAACAGAGAAGCAAGGAATGCAGAAGAGAGCAGAGGCCACAAAAACAGCAGCAACGTGTCCTGTGTATTCTGTTTCCTTGTAAAACTATGAAGCATGTTAAGGAGATACTTCATTTTTTGAGGATTCATACTCTTGTTTATATTATAATAAAAACAACCCATGTTCTTTCTAAAAATTTAGGCAATGCCTTCGTGCACATAAAAGTAAAACAAAATCACCTGTAATCCTACCACACGCAGATCAGCACTTGCTAATCTTTTCACAGGGATCCTAAGAATATCCTATTCTCTATAGAATATAGTTGATTTATGTTACCTAATAACTAACTGTTAACCATTTTAAAATTCTTCAGTTTTACATTATGCTAGAAAAAAGGAGCCGTCACTCTACGTGACATTTCTGTATATTGGTTTATTCATTCAATAAACATTTTTTAAGTACCTACTATGTTCCAAGAAGTATGCTATTTTCCTGTGCTACACAATGAAAGACATCATTCTTGTTCTCATGCAGTTCAGTGAGAATGGAAAGTAATTACAGTTCAGTGAATTATAATTCAGTGAGTAGGAGCATCTTGCTTAGCTAGAAACAAAGATTTTCAAAAGACATAGTAAATGAATTTGGTATTAATGAGTAAAAGTCAGTTAATAGGAACAAAGTTGGGAGAAAGGAACAGGGTTGGGCAAAGACACGGAGGTGAGAGTCAACATGGTGCATTTACGAACAGACAGGAGGTCCAGAGAGTTGGAGCTCAGGATGTGGGAAACAAAATAGTGGAGGTTGGCAGAGGGTGGGCCCTGCAAAAACACACAGACTTTGTCAGCCATGGGATTCAGAGTGCTGACAAGGCCTTATGGGCATTTGTTAAGAGGACTCTAGGTGCCGTGTAAAGGATGGGTTGGGAAGCCCAAGTGGTCAGAAGACCCTGGAGGACCCAGAATGGCAGGAAGCACGTCAGGAGCTCCACAGAGGTGAGAGTGAGGAACAGGAGGAGGCGAGAGCTGGGTAGGAAAGGGAAGGGTCAGCATCAGCTGTGGAGGTATGGGGTAGTGCGGACACAGGGCTCATCTTTCTGGGGAAAATGGCTGACAAGACTGGGGATGCCCAAGCACCAGCTCAGTGGAGAATCAGACAACAAACTAAGGACAAGAAGTCAGAACTTAGTCACCAGAACTGTGCTCTAGAACAGGAATCAACAACAATGTGGGATTTGGTGGTTATATATGTGTTTGAGGCAAAACCAAGACAAACTAGACACCAGGCATATAGTAGCAAGCCTTCTCCCCCACTCCTGACTTCTTTCTCAGAATGTCCACCTTCAGAAAACCACTTCACAGGTGCAGATCCCCCCAAGTTTTTCTGTGTTTCACTACTCACACTTCACCTAAGTCCATCCAAGGCGTTTGCTCTTTTCCTGCCCCTTTCTCTCTCTTCCCCTCCTCCCTGCTCTTGCTCACTCTCTCTCTCTCTCACACACACACATACATACTTAGAATGACTTTCTCCTTTCCTTCATGCTGCCAATTCCTGCCTAGATTTTGTAGCGAACAATCTTTTTCCTATTCTCTATCTTCGTTTCACATATATGCCACAGAGGAGTCTCACCTCTCTCTCCTGGAATGAGACCTGCTGTGATGCGTCCGTATCATGGAGTGCTATGGTAAGGAGGACATGAGTTTGGAAGGGTCCCTGGAAATATTGCCAAAGCTACACATAGACACACATGTGCACATGTACACACAAGTCTTAGTCTATGCTGCATCTTTTAAAATTAAACCTATGTTTCTTCAAGCATCAGCATTTTAGATCAAACATTTTAAATGATCTCTTAGTCAATTTTATCACCTTATTATTTTTCTACTTGGTTTAACTCATCAGCATGGCAACCATGCTGACGTTTGGCTTATTTTCTTAGTGTACCTAGCATTTCAGCAATGCAGTTGCTGTGCATTAAACAGACTTTTATAGGTTAAATCTAGAACATAATGACAACTTGTAATAAATTCCTTTGGAAAAATGTAATCTGAGATCCCAAGCAACGAACTTCGAATGAACATATAGAAGTTACTTACTCATAATTGGGAGTTTCCTGAGTAGAGAACAGATATAGATATATGTAAATATATCTAGATAGAACTCTAAATGTGATAGAACTCTAAATATCATTGTGTTGTAGTTAAGATAATGTTCCACAGCAGGAAAAAGGAGCACATTCATCAATTATCCACGAGTTTAACATCAGTTACAAAAATCTAATCATTAGTTGAAGAAAACCTTATGTCTTAATCAGAAAAATGTCTGTAGGAACATTGTTTACTGAATTTAGATTCTTGGAATAAATGGCAAAAATAGAAGTCAAACCAGCTTGTGAATTTCAAACCTAATTTCATTTGCTGATGGCCACTTTCAACAGTGGAGTATCTGTAAGCTAAACGAAAGCTAACAAACAAAACTCAGAAGAAAGCACAATTAATTAATTTGCAAATTTGTTCTTTCCTGCCACAGATCAATTTTGAGGCATAAATATCACAAGCAGGAATTTAGAAAAACATGTCTCAAAATATATTCTGTAAAAGATTAGTGCCCTACAAGATGTTAACGGTTGTTGTATTAAAAAGAAAAAAAAAATATGCAGCCAAGCAGATTTGGGCATGCTGAGTTAATCACAGTTAAACAGGCTTCCTTTCTCTAGAACTTCTCACAGATTTTACTACATTACATGAGTTGTGAATTTCTAAGGAGTGACATTATTTCTCAGACTTATTTGTGCCGCAACAACTAGTAGTAGTGCTTTATAACTCACATGGCAGGAAGCTTAGGCTCAGAATGGGAAGGCCTTTCAAAATAGGTGAAAATCATGGTTGTTTTAAACTGCACTATGGGCCAGAAATCAGTATCAGTATGCCCAGGTGTCCAGAAGGGATTCTCCAGAGCTTTGTTATAAATGCAAGGTCTGAGAAACAAGGAATACAGCCAGCAGTCACAATACCCATGTCTTTCAAACAAATTTAAGGGGAAAAAATTAAGAAAAGCTCCCCAGAGCTGCCATTTTTCAAAACACTATGTTCAAGAAGTGGGAGCGGGGAGTGTGGGGAACAGCAGGGAGGGATCTCTAGGGGACTGAACAGCAAATGTTAATATTCTTGTGTTCATGGGCACCTTGGAGGGATGGGTCAATCTAGCCCCGATTGTGGAAATCTCCTTAGACATTCAGCGTAAACTGCCACGGGGATTGGTCTTTCCCTCTGAAAGCTACACCCTTATTGCTTTATAATGACAGTACTTTATATTTTGAATAAATATTTAATTCATTTATGCTAACCCCAAAAGCTGAAAGTACTGTCAGAGTATGCAAGGGGACTCTAAATTTATGTTCTAATTACCTGACCGTTTCATCAAAAAGTAGACACGGTGTCTGTGGTTTCGGACTTTGAAATAAACCCTATATAAAGAAAAAAAAAATGCCAGGCACATAGAGCTCATTCATGCCCATGTTTATGGTTTCTCTACCTGCAAAAAGGAAAGATTCTGTGAAGGTGTAGTGTGGAGAAATCGACACAATTTTCTTGTTCATCAAATTAAGTCAGTGCATATTTTATTCCGCAAAACATGAAATTAGGGTGTGGCTCCTTAAATTTAGGAGGTTTTTTTTTTTTTTTTTTTTGCCATGCATAACTTTTCTGAATTGATAAGTGAAGATATCACATGGGAAAGAAAGTTTACAGAGGAAATTCAGTAGGAATTTTTTTTTACGTTTGTAAACTCAAGTATTATGAATTAAACTTTAAAAGACACTACTTTTTGGAAAAGAAATGTAAAACTACTGCTAATGATGGTATCATTAGTGCACAATCAGAATAGTTTTTCAGTGCTTTACTGTAATGATTCAGTGAAATCAATGAGATTATTCATATTCCGTCAAAACCTTGACTTCTTAATACCAAAGCCGGAAAATAGAAGTTAACCATAGCTTGGGTTCTCCTGAAGCCCTTACATTGGTCAATGTGTGGGACACATGGCTCAGCCTAAACTGGTCACATGCCCAGCCTAGAGCACAACAACCCCAGGGACAGATGTGACAGGAAAGTGGAAGGTCATTAACGGTTTCATCCCCATTATTATAGGCCCAAAGCCCACCCTTATGATGCACTCTGCTCTAAGAGGGCTAGAAAACCAGTATCTTTCATAGTAATGACTTCCAGTTTACAGCCTTCATTTGTTATATTTCCTCAATAGCTGTTGTGTTGAGATTAACTGCATAAATGGTCTGCAGCTGTCTGTTATGAATTAAGGGAGTTTAATCAAAGTATTTCTAATGTACAGCATAATGATAATACATGGGGGAAGTACTATTTAAGAGATAATGATGGCTTCAGAAGATCACTGTTGTAATGTTTAGTGCATATGCCTTCAGCATTGAATTTGTTGTTGTTCTGAATATGCTTAATGGATCACTGAAAAGCTGCCTAATGCGGGATTGTTTGATGGGGCTGACAGAGCTGGAATTAGCCCATTGCTGTTTACTGCATACAGCCATTAAGATTAATTGCTGCCAGATAATTTTGACTGTTTTTATCTTCTGGAAAAAGTGTCACTAATGGGTTTATAAATTGGTTCACTATTACTAATAGTAAGGCCAGTGTAACACAATAGAATGTCAGCTAATTCTAAAGATAAAGGTAAAAAAGTATAAAGTACTATATGGCTTGCTAGTTTTAAGGGATACTGTTATCTAATAACAGACAGACTGATATATGATGCTCATTAATGCTATTTCCTGAGCTTTGGGTTGAACCTAATAGATGCTAATAAAGTCTTATTTGATGTCCCATTAAAAAGCTCAATCTGTTTTCTGCATTAATGCCCAGTGTTGTTTATCACATCTTTGATGACTAAAACCCAAGTTCCAATCTGTTTCATAACCAAGCTTTTTCTGAGTGTCTTTATCCCTATTTTGGTTTTTCTACACATGAAATGTGTACAACCAAATCAGAAGAATTAATAACGCACATAAATTTATAATCATGATATATGGTGTATGTTACCTGTGAAGTTTACAATTCAAGCATTTTTATATAATGTCTAGACAAGCTTCTAGAAATACTGTATTGCTTTTCTAACCATTGTTTAGGGATTATTTGCAATTGAATACAATTTTGAACATATAGGTAATTTAAATTAGTGGTGATAAAAACACTTCACATACTTAAATCTTAACAGATTATAGGATTTAAAACTTCTAAGCATATTTCCCTAAAGGAAGTTAAATTGATAAAATTATTTTTAAGTGATGCAATTCTGGTAGATTATCCATGGAGCCTTAGACATCATTGGGATGTAACCAACCCAACTTCTTGCATTGGTTTGTAGATGTTTAACATATCAATCTGAGTTTTGCCAGTTTACCATAATTTATCATAAAATTCCTTGTGCTTTGAGTTTCAAATGTATTCCTTACTTCTGAGAGTGCTAAAAATAAACAGAAAAAATATGTACCAGATAGATAGACAGTGAATATTTAACCACGTAGAAGAAAGCAATAATTCATGAGTAGTGAAGGTGTTCTTTCCTCAAGAATGGATACTATAAATTATGAAGTGTTTCTTTTGTGAAATCAAAAAGCATATTTATATCTTTTACTTGAAGATGTTTTACATTGCACTTAAAAGTTTTACATTTAAGAATATCTGAACTCTTGAAATATAAAATAATATCTGACAGGTTATTTTCCCCCCTTTTCTTTAGTGGTATGGTGGAAGAGGAGGGAAGAAAACCTGTGTATTGTAAGTCATATTCTTCTATGGTGTGAAGGTTAACGTAAGTTTTAAGAAAGTTTTTTTTTTTAATTTTATTATATGATCTTGCTCTAAAGGGATGTAAATTCAGATGCTGAATTGCACACATCCTTTCTCTTTCATATTTTCAATATTGAACGTAATTTCAATATTTAACATAAAACAATGAGTACATTGTCTCCACCTCATTGTTTTTGGGTGGTGTTTGTGAGGAGCCTGCGTTCTTTGGAAGGAAGACCTTTCAGATGACCTGACCAGTCCTCCTCTTCAGAACCCGGATGCTGGCGAAGCAGGTGAGTGACAGCCTGCTTCCCTCCGTGTGCCACGCAACCCTTGCTTAGAGCGCAGTGTTGACATATTGAAATGCCTGGGGTTTCTCAGCAGCATTTTAGCACACAAAGAGCTCCTTTGTCAACTTTTAGCAGTGTCTGGTCATACATCCTGGCTATATATAAAGACATTTTCCACTCAAGAAAAACCTGGTTTCATTATTTAACTCAGTTTGTCACCTCTGGATGGTTCCCCCAACCCACCCAAAATAGAAGATATTTTTGAGCTCCTTTACCAACATGGGTACCAGGGACTATGGCTGCAGAAAGTAGAATGATAGACATGGGAGACCTGGAAGAGAGGGAGTGCAAGGGGGTGGACGATGAGGAATGACTTATTGAGTACAATATATATTATTTGGGTGATGAATACACTAAAAGCTCAGACTTCATCACCATACAATGATATCCCAGTAACAAAATTGCTTTTGCACCCCTTAAATTTATGCAAAAAAAAACCCACACCAAAACATTGCAATGCATCTTTCTGGTTACAGATTTTTAAAAAGGCATGTACATATCTCCTTCCCTGACCTCCCGTCTCTTTTAGAGCCAAGAATGCCTGGCTTTGGGCCATCTTGTTTTTTAGAGAGATATAGGGTCTCATACCCTCCCAGGCTGGTCTCAAACCACTGGCTCCCAGAGATCCTCCCACCTTGGCCTCTCAAATTGCTTGAATTAGGGCGTGAGCCACTGAGCCAGGCCTTGGGCCTTTCAAATGGAATAATAGTAACAAAAAAACTAACGTAAGCCTGAATGTTTCCTTAGTTATTACATGGTTTACATTTGTAGGTTTGACAAAATGAAAAACAACCCTCATAGTACTCTGTTGAAAGAAAGAAAGAGAGAGAGAGAAGGAAGGAAGGAAGGAAGGAAGGAAGGAAGGAAGGAAGGAAAGAAGGGAGGGAGGGAAAGGGAGAAAGGAAACAGAGGGAGGGAGGGAGGGAAGGAAGGAAGGAAGGAGAGAAAGAGAGAAAGAAAGAAAGAGAAAGAGAGAATGAAGGAAGGAAAGAAAGAAAGAAAGAAAGAAAGAAAGAAAGAAAGAAAGAAAGAAAGAAAGGAAGGGAGGGAGGGAGGGAGGGAGGGAGGGAAGGAAGGAGGGAGGGAGGGAAAGAAAGAAAGAAATGAAGAAAGGAAGGAAAGAAGGAAGGAAAGAAAGAAAAAGAAAGAAAGAAAGAAAAAGAAAGAAAGAAAGAAAGAAAGAAAGAAAGAAAGAAAGAAAGAAAGAAAGAAAGAAAGAAAGAAAGAAAAGAAAGAGAAAAGAGGAAACTGAACATTTCAAGATGGCTTCTCTTCTGGTGCAATGTGGATGGCATCCCATCAGGGTAAATGGAGAAGCAGAGTGAGGAGATGACAGGAGTGAGAAAGTGAATGGACTCTGAAAGTGCGTCCCTGGTGGGATCTGGGGGAGAACAGGGGACTCTCCTGAATCTAACGATGGGAAAAATACTGCTTCAATTTAGCCTCAGCAAGTCCCAAAGCTTAAAACTCCCTACGTTTGTTCAACACGACGGCAGAGAGGAAAGTTGCACCAGCAGGTACTTAAGGACTCTTCCCAATGTGGAGGTGGAACCAGGATCCTGCGACTGCAGGCACAGGATCACTGGTGCTGGGAAGTAGCTGTATCTGCAGCATCCCCTTGACATCTGCCTCATTTCAATAATTTCCAGCCATTGAACCTCTGTCTGAATGAGCATTAGGAAACAGGCATGTTTGGATACTAATTTGAGCCTCTCTCTCTCTCCAATCTCTCTCCAGTTTGAATTTTATGCTTGTGAAAGGGCTCCGTTGATGATTTTGATGTCTGCAGCTTTCCACCCGTATGACCAGACACATTCTCACCAGCTCCATATATCAAGATAAGGAGGGGAAACCTGGTAGCTTTTCCTTCTGTTAACTGCTGGCATCAGCTGAGTGATGCAGACATTTCTCTATTAAGAACTGAGCTGAGACTGAAGCTTCATTTTGTATGAGACTGTGCAGAGGTCGTCTAAAGTCTCTCCCAGGTGTGGTTATTAAGATCCTGGATTTGAAACTGTGACCTACTGGTTTGCCAGATGCCAAGAACAAATGCTCTGAAATTGATTTGCCAAAAGACATGATGAGCTGCTCTAACTTGCCTGGGAAGAGTGGAATATTTAACCTGTGGGTGAGACTCCCTCTTGCTACCTATCAGCTTTGCCACTGCTCTGATAGAGAAACATCTTGGGAGCAGAGTTGGTAAGAGTGAATCAGACGTATCTGCCGGAATAGGACTCGTGGCACCTGCTTGTTCGATCCCTCATTTCCACCCCCTCTATCCTTTGCCTATTGTCAGTCATTGTGGTTGGTCCATTCAGAAGAATCGTGAATATTCATAGCCACCCTAATTTACCAATATATATTCAATAATGTCAGAGATCTGTACATGTGATTCCTGAGCTTATTACAGTAACAAGTTTCTCCAATGCTACTGGGCATATTCTTCATGTCTTTCTTTCCAGACTACTGACTCAATTTAAGATTACATCCCTTGCCCCTTTGTGTGTATTGCATTTGCCCTGTAAAACTCATTCCCTTCATATTGTAGGACATCTAAAGACATGGGGGGCATTCCAAGACTAGGCATAAGATGTGTTTGATGCCATTCTTTTAACATGATTCACTCTTTCTTTGATCTGTGAAACTCCCTAGCATTCTGTCATGGCTATTGGGGTCCTGAGAGAGAAAACTGGAGCCTGCTTAAGTATTAATTGGTGTGGGATGATTTTTCTCCGCATCACACTCAGGCTGCTCCCTCTGCAGTATGGTGTGCATCACTTCTCACAGCATCACTGAGGAAAGAAATATTAAATTAAGTAGGTTTTAAAATTGCCCATTGAACTCACATCATTAAATAATGCTATAAGAAATTCTTAAGCGGAGACAAGTAGGAGAATTAAAATGCTATAAATTATGCCCGGGAGGGGCGGCGGGGTGTTAAACACTTGTTTTGCCCTTTGTTCTGGCCACAAAGCACCCACAGCCGGGGATGGTTCTGCCCACTGCTTAACAATAAGTACCTGAGAGGAAGCATGACCCCTGAGTGCCCCCAAAAGGGGGATTATTGTAACAGCATTTAGCTCATCTCCAGAAACTGGTGAAAAACACCTCTGCATCATTCAGGTTATACTTGTCCCCAGGGAGCCATTAAAGTTTCCTTCTTTTTCTCTTACTCCTGCCTGGTATTTTCCATTCCCCAATTCCACCTGTCCAGCAGCAAGGAAGTGGGCAAGGAACAGTGCTCATCTTGCATATAAGGTATTCACCTGTATCATTCACCCTCAAATGTCAGGAAAGTTGTAGCTACACCTGGTCATTTATATTTTTCTCTATCGTTATTCTTGATCATGCCATCCTGTCTCTTTGGCTAATGTTTGTTAGCCAAAATTCTCATTTTCTCTATTTCTAACCGGTCTGTAAATGTTATAAAAACAAGGACAATTCTATTTTCAAAGCACTGTACTTAAGTACATAAAACAGTGCCTGGCCCATAAATAGTGCTCTGGTTACCCAAGGCTGTGTGACAAATACCATAATGTAGTAGTTTAAACAACAGCAATCATCTTATTGTCTTGAACAATTCCTATCAGT
Organism: Homo sapiens; assembly: GCF_000001405.40. NCBI lineage: Eukaryota > Metazoa > Chordata > Mammalia > Primates > Hominidae > Homo > Homo sapiens. The sequence goes on from NC_000002.12 coordinate 104,522,050, forward strand.
TAGGAACTAGAGAAGGGCTAATTTTTGACCCATAGTCTCAGTGGTTCTGCCTCAAGGTCTCTCATGCAACTGCTAGAGATATAACAGGGATTTTCTGAACATCTCTGTTGCATAGTCTCCAGGTCTTTCAGTGTGGTCCCTCTTCATCTGACTAGTTGAGCTTCCTTACAGCATGGCCGCCTGATGGCGGGAGGACTATCTATATGAAAACTGAAGGCTTTGAGACCAGGCATTTTAGCAGCAAAGTAGGTGCTATGAAGACTTTAGTGACCTGGCCTTGGGAGTCACACGCCATAATTTTCACTGCAATCTCTTAGTTACAAGTGAGTCACAAGCCTACCTAGATTCCAAGACAGGGGAATTTGACTTTGGTTCCTGATGTTAGTGTGGCAAGATTCTAGAAGCACATGGCGTACTGGAGATATTGTTATGACCATCTTTGGAAAACGGGCTCGAGAGTGCCCAGCCTTGTTTGTTTAAAAAGTAAATAAATGCCTTCTGAATGATTTCTCCATCTCTCCTACTGCAGATTTCTTCTGACTTCAGTTTTCAAATAGCTGTATTTTCATCCCATTACTGGAAACTGCATTCTGTCCGCTTTTTGAATGGCCCTTTGTATTCTACCAATTCAGCTCTTTTATAGACTATCTTCATAAAATATCGGTTCTTGAAATTTCTTCAAGCCATGTGCTTTCTCTCTCGGACTTATTTATATTCCTCTGTTGAGCTTAAATTTCTGTACTTTGTCTTAAGGATGAGTCTTGAAAATTCAATACACCCTCCTCACCTCAGTGATCATGTTACATCCTATCTCCACCATAAGGAAAATCAACTTCTTTAAGATTTTAGAAATTTTCTCTTTGTTGATAATTTTCAGGTTTCTGTGTTCAAGTCTGACCTCTCCTAAGGCAACCAATTTGGTATCTCTGTTTATGTCTTCATAAGCTAACCAGACTCAATTAATTCAAATGTAGCATAACTGCACTAAATTATTTTCTTTATAAACTTTTCTTCTTTATCCACTTCTCAAAGAATGCTGTTTTGAGTAAGAATTGTACAATTCCTTATACAGCCATGTTCAGAGGAGCATTATTCACAACTGCCAGAGGCGGAAGCAACCCAAGTGTCCATCAATGGATGAATGGATAAACAAAATATAGTGTATACATACAATGAAATACCATTCTGCCATAAAAAGGAGGGAAATTTTGACACATGCTATAACATGAAAGAACCTTAAGGATATTACACTAGTGAAATAAGCCAGTCACAAAAGCATAAGTATTGTATGATTCCATTTACATGAAGTACCTAGAATAGCCAAATTCATGGAGATAAAAGTAGAACGATGATTGGCAGGGGCTGGTGGAGGGAGGAATGTGGGATTATTATTTAATGGGAATAAAGTTTCAGTTTTGCAACATGAGGAAGTTCTGAAGATGGGTGGTGGTGATAGTTGTATAGCAAGATGAATGTACTTAACACTACTGAACTATACACTTAAAAATGGCTAAGATGGCAAATTTTATGTCATATGTAATCTACCACAATTTTTTAAACTTCTTTTTAAAAAATTGCTCAATTTTTTTTTATTTTTTCTAGCCAATATCTGTAAACCAAAATCAGTTCTATTGAAGCAGTCAGTCTACGGGTAAGAAACTTATTAGTTTAATAATTGGAATTGCTCAGATTTAAGGTAAAGAATAACAGAAGGTTTCAATTTTCTAAGTAGAAAATGTCTTTATTGGATAGACTGTAATCATCCCCCTTACACACACAGAAACACGTACACATATACACCCTTCACAGAGTAAGACATATTTTGTTAAGGAGGGTAATTGATTCATGTATATGATTGGCTATGATTTTTGTAAGTATTTTGCATATTAATATCCCATTAAATCCTCACATTAACCGTATAAGGAAAGTACTACTATGGTCTAATTTTATTTATTTTATTTTATTTTTTTGAGACAGGGTCTCACTCTGTCACCCAGGCCAGAAAGCAGTGGCACAATCACATCTCACAGCAACCTCAAACTCCTGGCCCCAAGCAACTTTCTCACCTCAGCCTTCCTAAGTGCTAAGATTATAGGCATGAGTCACTGCACCCAGCCTTATGATCCCATTTTAATATGAGAAAGTGTGACTCAGAGTAACAAAATTATTTAACACAGAGAAATTGAGGTGAGAGGTAGGCTTTGAACCCAGGTATCCAACCGCAGACCTTTCCCTTCTTGACATTCTACTTAAATGTCACCTGCTAACTATGAGATGTTATATGTGTAAATGTGGAATTTGCTCTGAGGTTGGACACAGGACACTCGGGCTCCAGTCCAGGCTCTGTCCCAAATGGCTAAATCACTTTCTGCTTGGCATTTAATGCTCAACTGAGACTCAGTTCCTCCATCCATAAAATGGTAAATCTATTTACCTTAAAACCCATTTTGAAAATCAAAATCAAAATTAAATAATATAAGTACTACATATGAAATAAGTACTATATATTTATTTACAGATATAAATATAAGTACTATATATGTTCACTATGAAGTGAGCAAATATGAGGCATTGTTATCATGATGAGGTCAACAGTAGGTGGCAAACAGATGAAATGGCTCTAATCCAGAGAGCATAATAGGGAGAAGAAGATGCCAGAAGTAAGAGATAGGGAAGAGGTTGTATTGTGGCTGGTGGTCTGTTTAGTGAGAGTTACAAGATGGGGTGTGTGGATATAAGTAATTCTTACGGACAATGCATATCAGAGAAATTCCTGCAAGCTCTTCCTTCACAAATCTTGAAGCAACAATGTAAAGAATATAAAATTGTGATCCTGCTTAGGAGAAGAAACAAATTTAGGTCACCACACACACACACACACACACACACACACACACACATATATTCACATAATTTTATATGCATCTGCATTTGCAAGCTCACTATGTCTTTTTAATAGCAAGGAGGGAGAGGAGGGAAGGAAAATGACGAAGAGTTTGTTCCTAAAGTGAAGAAGTAGATCAATCCATGAATGTTTTCAAAAAATATTTCTATAAAATAGATGAGTTCTGCTTCCACAATGGGTGATTTTTAGCAACCTGCCCCTGAAACAGTCAGCTGGTGGGTCTTCATGATTCTCCCAGAAGCCGAAGCTGAGACAAGGATGTGAATGCAGATTATTTACTAAGAGGTAATCTAGGAAGAACTGGCAGGACTAGAGGTAAATGAAGCAAGCTAACACAGGGGACATTTGTGAGCAGGAGAATAATGAGTAAAAGTCCGCTGGAGACCTCAATGAATCTATATATAATACACCTCAGTTATTCCTTTTATCCACCTGGTCTTTTCTGCTGCCATTAATATCTGGAGGTTCTCACTACCTTCACTTGGTTCTCTGCTATTCCAGTGTTTACATAGCCAATTCCCTTTATTAAATACCCTCTACTTTAAATACCTAGAATGGGACCAACTTGAGCAGTACCAGTACATTCTCCACAGAGATGCTGACCCTGATTATCAACCTGCAGAACCAATGACAGCATCAGTCTCCCTCCAGACATTGTATACTGTGAGAAAATTATTTACTTAATCTGCTTTATTCACTTAATCTGCTATGATCGGGGATTTATTTTACCCATAAAGAACTACGTAATCAGTTTTTTCCATGCATTAATTTATTTACCTATTTTTAGCATTTTGCATGATAGACTGGCCTCATCCAGTTCACTGAGCAAGTATTTGCTTTCTAATGAGTCCTATAAAGTCCACCCGTCTAGACTGTAAGGGAGACAGACATCTCAAGAGTTTATTTCTGCTTTTACTTTTCTTTGAAACAAACTGAGCTGTTCTGTTCCATGTAACTCCACACTGTCTTCGACCAGGTGCATGTTCCTCTTATGTTGAATCGCTGCAGCTCAAGAGCCAACTTAAGCCACACAAGCACATTTAAGGATTGTACCACATTCACTAACATTCCATTGGCCAATGCAAATTATGTGGCCCTGCTCAACACAAATGGGGCTGAAAAGTATTTTGTTCACAAAGGGAGAGGAAAGAGTGTGCTAAAAAGTAATTCTCAAATTTTAACATGCATCAGAGTTCCCCGGAAGACTTGCTAAACAGACTGTGGGGCCCCATTCCCAAAGCTTCTCATTCAATAGGTTTGGAGTGGTACCCCACAATTTACGTTTCTAACAAATACCCTGGTGATGCTGATGCTGCTGGTCCAGGGACTAAACTTTGAGCATCACTGGTCTAACCTATGACTTTAGTCTTGATACCTATCACAGTAGGTATCTAGAGAGGCCATGCAGTGTCTAAGAGAAAGTCGGGGACAAAAGAGTGTAAAATGCAAAATAAATGAAAAACAAAAATGATTAGTCTTGTGAATAGTCCTTTTGAAAAAATGCAAAAGGATCTTGGTTTAATTAGGCGAAAGTAGAGTAGAAAACTCAGTAACCATCTTAAAGTGTGCATTAGAATATAAGCGGCTGGTTTTTGGAGGACAGGAATAGAGTTAAAGTGCATCAAAGATATTTAAATTAGCCATGAGCAAGAACAGCCCATTTGCAAGGCTGTTGACATGGCAGGTACACCAAAGAGACTTAGAAAATCAGAATTAGATCATTTAAGGCATAAACAGTTACCATCGTGTTATTATTTGACTTTTGTCCTACATTGGTGCAAAATTGGAATCATCTCTGAGGGTCACTTTGGCCCCACAATCTGGTAAAGCCGGGTATGAGGATGGGAGAAAACTCAGTAAAGAAGGAGACAGAGGGAGAGACCCTGAGGAATGAATGCCTTCTTTATTGGCAAATGTATTAAAAGATGTCACCAACAGACTTTTCATAAAAGCAAACATTTCCTAATCGTGCTGTCACCCTTAAAGCACGATGAATCTTACCCCATCGAGGAGTCAACTTTTATGGGGAGACTAGAAAAAGCATCAGACTGAATGTCACAAGACCTGGAATGAGCCTAGGTTCGGCCATATTTGTGTTGGTTGGCCATTTATCTTAACCTTTTGCAGTTTCAGGTTTCTTGTCTATAAAATGGGTATAAGAATACCATCACTAATAAAAGAGAAAGAGCTTTGCAAACCATAAAGTGCTATTCGAATGCTGGCTTTCGGATGGCAGAGAAGCGGTGACCATGGGCAGACCCGTCCATCTCAGCTTGCCCTGCGGAGCATTGTGGGAGTGCTTTCTGAGTCGGAATTTCAAGCGTCACTGCAAGGACAGTTTGTGTTTTGGATATCAGACAGTAAAAGTTCAGTTCAGTTAATTGCATTCTCAGTTCAGGACGTATTATCAAAATCGGTAGGTACGAGGCCTTCCTCTTGTCTAATCTCATGCTTTTTTCTTCAACTCCATTCCCAACCCCAGCTTCCCCCTCCCCACTCTCACTCAGTTTGGTATACGTCTTTGCTATGCACACGTGTTTGAAATAGAGCATGTATTTATTTATGTGTGGCAGAGATACTGTACTTTATATCTCACTCTGGGTTTTACTCAACACTGTGTTCTGGTTTTTCCTGTCTATCCATTTAACATTATGTACCTCCAGTGACTACTATACTGGTAATTCTTTTTTAATTAGATTCTTGACATACGGTAATAAACTTTTTATTTTGCCAATTAAGGACATAAAACAAACAAACGTCTATTATCTACTCTTCCCATCATTTCATCAAAAAGGGTATTTTGGCACCAAAAATTGGATAAGGATAGAATCTCAAACTAAAGCATAGTTTCTTTATGGTGAATACTTCAGGACCATCTAGATTTGTGGGAAACCTCATCCATTTCTCTCATTTGTGGAACAGTGAAGCTTTATCATGGGCTGGAAATAGAAAAACATCAGAGGAAAATATTTCTGTACCGTGCCATATAGTCATAGTTTAGACTTTGTGGGTCCAGAGTTGGCTTCAGGGCCATGAGAACTATGCAGTTGCACAAAGCCCCACACTTTAGAAGGGCCGTTTGCTTGGTTTAATGTTCTACTGTTACTGTTTTAAAATTCTTAATAATTTGTGAACTGGAGGCCCTGCATTTTCATTTTGTTCAGGGCCTCAGTTCTCTGTAGGTCAGATATCCTCCGTTACAACCACTCCTCTCTGCCACGGGAACACAGACACAGCCGTAGACAGCATGCAAACGAATGAGAGTGGCTACATTCCATCAAAACTTTACTTCCAAATATAGGCCGCGGGCTGGATCTGGCCTGTGAGCCACAGTTTGCTGGCCCCTGGCTTAGAGCACAGGCTGTGGAGTAAGCAGGCTAGATTCAAATACCAATGCCAGGACTGCGGCTGCATGACACCTGGCCATTTACTTAACCTTCTCCAATTGCTACTTGCCCCCATTTCTAACTGTGGGGTAATATTGCAAGCCTACCTCTGGGGCTGCTGTCAGAATTAGCCCGATGATGTATGTAAACTGCCTACTACCCTCCAGTACAAACTTTCTAGAACTATTCTCATTTCTACTCTTACTGTCCTCTAGCATCACCTCTCTGCCAATCCTGATGCTGGGTTATTTACGTATTCCAACCTGTCTGTCTTTCTGGGAATCTTCCAAATTCCATATCAGAGGAAGCCGAAGTGTGTGGATCGTTTCCCTTTTCCTCCTTTTCCAAGTAGACGTTTTTGGCTAAAATTAGCAACAGTTTTCAATAAACCAGATGTGATCTCTCACCCAGGGTTCTGGAGTTTGGCGCAGAGTACACACTTTCATCAGCTGTCCCCAGTGCCGGGCTGGTCAGAGGTACAATTGCTCCCTCTCTAAGTAATACAGTTGCTTCTGCAACACATGCACACTTTCAACCTCAGGCATTCAGGTGTTCTTACACACTTGCCATGGTATCAACCTTCTCTCTGTCCATCATTAAAAATAATATAAGCGGCTGCTCAAGGAAATCAGAGAGGACACAAACAAATGGAAAAACACTCCATGCTCATGGATAGAAAGAATCAATATCATGAAGATGGCCATACTGCCCAAAGTAATTTAGATTCAGTGCTATTCCCATTAAATTACCATTGACATTCTTCACGGAACTAGAAAAAAATACTTTAAAATCCATATGGAACCAAAAAAGAGCCCATATAGCCAAGACAATCCTAAGCAAAAAGAACAAAGCTAGAAGCATCATGCTACTCAACTTCAAACTATACTACAAGGCTACAGTAACCAAAACAGCATAGTACTGGAACCAAAACAGACACATAGACCAATGGAACAGAGCAGAGAACTCAGAAATAAGACCGCATATCTACAACCATCTTATCTTTGACAAACCTGACAAAAACAAACAATGGAGAAAGGATTCCCTGTTTAATAAATGGTGCTGGGAGAACTGGCTAGTCACATGCAGAAAATTGAAACTAGACCCCTTCCTTGCACTTTATACAAAAATAACTCAAGATGGTTTGAAGGCTTAAATGTAAAATCAAAAACTATAAAATCCCTAGAAGAAAATCTAGGCAATACCATTCAGGACATAGGCAAGGGCAAAGATTTCATGAGGAAGACGCCAAAAGCAATTGCAACAAAAGCTAAAATTGACAAATTGGATCTAATTAAACTAAAGAGCCTCAAAACAGCAAAAGAACTATCATCAGAGTGAGCAGACAACTCACAGAATGAGGGAAAATTTTTGCAATCTATCCATCTAACAAAGGTCTAATACCCAGAATCTACAAGGAACTTAAACAAATTTACAAGAAAAAAAACCCAACAACCTTATTAAAAAGTGGGCAAAGGACATGAACAGACACTTCTCAAAAGAAGAAATGTATGTGGCCAACAAACATATTGAAGAAGCTCAACATTATGGATCATTAGAGAAATGCAAATTGAACCACAATGAGATACCATCTCACACCAGTCAGAATAGATGATTATTAAAAAGTCAAGAAACAACAGATTCTGGCAAGGCTGCAGAGAAATAGAAACACCTGTACACTGTTGGTGGGAATGTAAATTAGTTCAACCATTGTGGAAGACAGTGTGGAGATTCCTCAAAGACCTAGAACCAGAAACACCATTTGACCCAGCAATCCCATTACTGGATATATACCCAAAGGAATATAAATCATTCTTTTATAACAATACATGGACACATATGTTCATTGCAGCACTATTCACAATAGCAAATACATGGGAACAATCTAAATGCCCATCAATGATAGACTGGATAAGGAAAACGTGGTACATATACACCATGGAATACTATGCAGCCATAAAAAGAAATGAGATCATGTCCTTTGCAGGAACATGTATGGAGCTGGAAGCCATTATCCTCAGCAGACTAATGCAGGAATAGAAAACCAAATACTGCATGTTCTCACTTATGAGTGGGAGCTGAACAATGTGAACACATGGACATAGGGAGGACACCAACACACAGTGGGGCCTGTGTTGGGAGGGTGGTTGGGGGAGGTTGGAGAGCATCAGGAAAAATAGCTAATGCATGCTGATCTTAACACCTAGATGATGGATTGAAAGGTGCAGCAAACCACCATCACACATGTTTACCTATGGAACAAACCTGCATATCCTGCCCATGTATCTTGGTACCTAAAATAAAATAAATTTTTAAAAATAATATAAGTGACTTCTTACCTGGAGTAGGCTCTACAGTAAGTATGTTTTTGGAGTTTTTTTCTCCCTTATCTTCTTTACCGAGTTAAGGCCACAGATCTTAGGCTTTGAGTCACATATACCTAAAATCTAAACAAAATTGAAAATACTCCCCAAAGGGGAAAAACTGCACTTGTGCACACACACACACACATATGCACACTTTTTTTACCTAAAATTTCAGGGGCTTAAAGATTCTCTGAGGGATCAGTCACAACCACTAAAGATCTATCTATGAAAACAGATGAATTCCTAACCGGGGGAATTTCAACGCTTTACTTGTTGAGGTATCAGAATCACAAGTTGTATCTATGCTAGCAAGAGTACCTGACAAGGAAGAAGTACATTCGTAAAAGTGTGAATTAACTAAGGTGAATTCCTAGGCATCTTGAAATCCTTTTAGGACCTAGTTATGATGAATGAATGGCTTGTGGAAAAGCAGCACGTCAGCCATCCATTAGGATAGCTTTGCGTTCCCTTGGTGAGCAGATCTATACGGATGGTTCTTCCGGTTACTTTCAGGGTAGTGAGTTTTGCTTCAGAAAATGTGATTGATGTGGCTGTGCCTCCATGCACACATCATTAGTCTGTGGCGGGTAAGCTCAGATGGTCAGAGCACTGTGCTAATGAGGCGAAGGTTAGGGGTTCAGTGCCCACGTGGGCTACTTAGCTTTTGTCTCATTCATGCCCCCAGACTACTCCCAACGCAGGCCACCTGTCTTGAAGATGTGTATCTATAGTCAGAGGGAGGAGCCATGTGCAAGCGTTTGGCTGGATCACTACAAATCTATCATGACTCTGGGAAATCAACCGCTGTATGAGATCCCGGCGATTGATGAGGGAACTCACTTTCATTTAAAAGGGACAGCAAGCATAATTCTCAATGCACACATAGTCTCAATGGAGTGGATTTTGTGAGTAACTTGTTAAACTGTCACTTAATTTTACATCTCTAGAAAATAGGTAACAGAGTGAGATGATTTTTGACAAAATAGTGGTGAGGTGCCCTTCACTTAGGCAAGAGAAATGTGAATATTTACTTACATATAGAGGGGTGCGCACTAGCACTCATGCTGCAGAAAATTCATTTCACAAAAACAACTACAGATGCTTTTGAATTATTTAATCGGTAAATCTTCGATTGTGTTATCAAAATAATAGTTGAATTCAACAAAACTTTTCATCTTCATATTTCTTTTAAAGAGCAAAGCACATGTTTGCATCCAAAACTTCCTCATTTACCCTTACTTTGGGTAAAAGCACTACGATCTGACACCAGCCAGGGGTCAGGAAATAACCCTTAGGTCCTCCCTGACCCTCAGGCTCTCCATCTCCCAGACCTACAGGAAGCCAAGAGGTTTTGTTTCAACTCCTTCAGGGCTCTAATATCTGTCCTTCCCTCATTCTTACTATGACGATTTCAGCTCAAACCCTGGTTACTTCCTTACTGGACCACTGGAGAACACAGCTAACTAATCTTTCATCCTCCCTTATCACTGAGGATAATTTCTGAGGGTGAGGTTTACAATCCGACTACCTGTATTCAAACCCAAAATCTACCATTTACTAGCTATGTGACTTTTAGCCTGTGCCTTTGTTTTTGTTCACCTGTAAATTGGGGACAAAAATAATAACAGGCTTATGGGATTCTTGTGATGTAAATTGGTTAATTTTATAAAAGGTGCTTAGAAAATTGCCTGGAATATAATATGCACTTAATAAATGTTATTTGCTATTATTATTATTGCTAATTAATTAATCATTATCATCATTTCTATATCTACAGCATGGACTGACTCAAGGTATACTGCTCTAAATCCTACTGTAAGGCTTCCTCATCAAGTTACCTACCTTCTAATTGAGTCTCCTCATCGGCTGAAATGTTTACTCACATGGAGTTAATGACAGTGTCTGCATTAGAGGATTTAGTCAAGATCAAATTAGATATTGCAATGGAGTGCTGAGGACAACAGCTGGCATGCTTAAAATGCTTGCTAAATGTGTACAAGTGCACAAGTTCTGTTTTATTAATAAAAACCAACACCTATGTCACTCTCTTGTTTCCAATTATGTAATGTAAGACTATTCTTCTAGGGATCTTTTCTATAGTTCAGTACCAGAGATGGTTCTCTGACAGTGTGGAGCACCAGAAACCATGAGAAGGAGGCACAGCAATCTCTCCTGAGCATGGAGCCTGCTCTTGGTGTTGTTTTGCTGCAGCTGCTGTTTGCCATTGATGATCGTTCTCTTCTTTCAGGAGAGTAAGAAGGCGAGGATGCAGTCTGAGTGGTTTCCATTAGGACTTTGAAAAAAAATCATGTAATAGTTCCTCATTGAATATAGCCATTGTTCCCAACATGTTAGATGCTAAGAAACCCTTTGTCACATAACAAATTTCAAGCAGCTGTAAATGCTCTAAATACCTATGTGAGACTTCAGCAATATGGTAGACCCAGCTAATGTAGAGAAGTCCACCTCTTGATATGAATGTATAAATATGTTGAAAACAGGTAACGATGCACAAACGAATTCAAAAGACTGAAGGAACCCTCCCAGTACTAGAATCTCAAAGCTCATGCAAAGCTAGAGCAGATGCCACCACTGCTCACAGGAGTATCTTCCTTGATACAGACCCTAGGGCTTACGGTGTGACTGTAACAACCACACTGGAACAGGTGAGAAAACCTCTCACCTGAACTAGGTGGAGAGCTGGAATAGCTTTTTTTGTTTTTTTTTTGTTTGTTTGTTTTTTTAGGGAGAGTTTCACTCTTGTTGCCCAGACTGGTCCGTCCTTCCTTCCTTCCTTCTTTCCTTCCTTCCTTCCTTCCTTCCTTTCTTTTTGATGGAGTTTTGCTCTTGTCACCAGGCTGGAGTGATCCCGGGTCACTGCAACTTCGGCCACCCAGGTTCAAGTGATTCTCCTGCCTCAGCCTCCCAAGTAGCTGTGATTACAGGCATGCACCACCACACCTGGCTAACTCTTTGTATTTAGTAGAGATGGGGTTTCACCATGTTGGTCAGGCTGGTCTCAAACTCCTGACCTCAGGTGGTCCACCCACCTCACCCTCCCAAAGTGCTGGGATTACAGGTGTGTGCCACTACACCCAGCCCTGGAATAGCTATTTTTATAAAGCCAAGACTGTCTAGGTCACACAAAGAGAAATTAGCTCCACTCGCCAACCTGGGGAAACAGCAGTGTAACTTTCTCCCTGCTGATAGCTATAAAGGAGAAAAAGGTCTCCTGCAAGAAATCAAAACACCAACTTTGTGCCATGAGTGCATGGGAAGATCAAATTTATATTATCATCCAGGTGTATGGGAGCCTTAAATGGGATTTTATCTGTAATATGAAATCTCAATAAATCTAAAAAAAAAAAAGTAAAGTTGCTTTGTAGAGACAACTATGCAACTGGGGTGGTGGCATATGACTCCTCCCACACTAAATAACCCACCAGATACAAATCATAACTAAAGAACAAGAAATATGCAAAAAAGCTGGGCACTTATAATAACAAATAAAATCGTGGTCATTAATATGTTTAAAAACAGTGGATAGGTTAAACAGCAGATTAGATAAAGCTGACAAAAGACTCAATAAACTGGAAAACAATTCTGAGAAAAGTCCCTCAAAATGCAGTACAAATAAATAAAAAATGTAAAGTGTCAAAAGAGTTAAGCAACAGAAATAATGTCCTATATTCATCTAATAAGAAATCCACCAAGAAGAATATTTGAAGAAAAAATAATTGATAATTTTGCAGAGCTGAAAAAAATCAGATTAGAGAAGCACCCTGATTCCCAAACAAGTAAAAATAAATTTATACCTAAACCCATCAAAATAAAATTAGAAAACATAAAAACAAAGAAAATATCTTAAAGATAATTAGAAAAAAATTAAGATTGCTCACAAAGGAAGCGCATGGTGCTGACTGCAGGCAACTCTTCATCTATCAGAAAGGCCAGAAAAAAGTAGAACTTTTTAACCTACAGGCACTTAAACTGTTATTTACAAGTAAAAGAAAAATAAAGATGAGTTTAGAGAGTATAGCATTGATAGACTGTTAGTCAAGAAATACTAAAAAAAGATGTTGAACAGAAACTGAATAGGCTGGACACAGTGGTTCATGCCTTTAATCCCAGCACTTTGTGAGGTCAAGGTGGGTGGATCACCTGAGGTCACAAGTTCTAGACCAGCCTGGCCAACATGGTGAAACCCTGTCTCTACTAAAAATACAAAAAATTAGCTGGGCGTGGTGGCACACACCTGTAATCCCAGCTACTTAGGAAGCTGAGGCAGGAGAATCGCTTAGGCCTGGGAGGCAGAGGTTGCAGTCACCCGGGATTACGCCACTGCACTCCAGCCTGGGTAACAACAGCAAAATTCCATTGAAAGAAAGAAAAAGAAAGAAAGAAGTAAAGAGAAAGAAAGAAAGAAAGAAAGAGAAAGAAAGAAACTAAATACAGAAGAATGAAAAGTGAATTGCAAGAGACTGATGATTTTGACAACTTATAAATATAAATGAATCTAAACTGACTTATTAAGAAAAATTAAAAGTATACCTAAACTTGGAAAGCTTAAAAACAAGGACTCAAAATCCCATTCAACAATAGCATAGAAAAAAAAAGAGGGGATGATAAGAGCTAAAGGATTTAGTTCCTCTTGGAAAGAGTAGAAATGCTGATAAGCTTAGACTCTTCACATCAAAAGTGCTCGTTCAAGTGTAAGGGTATTGGCCAGGTGTGGTGGCTCACACCTGTAACCCCAGCACTTTGGGATACCGAGGCAGGCAGATCACCTGAGGTCAGGAGTTCAAGACCAGCCTGGCAAACATGGCGAAACCCCATCTCCACTAAAAGTACAAAAAAAATTAGCTGGGCGTGGGCGCCTGTAATCCCAGCTACTCAGGAGGCTGAGGCAGGAGAATCACTTGAACCCAGGAGGCAGAGGCTGCAGTGAGCCGAGATCGAGCTCTCCAGCCTAGGCAACAGAGTGAGACTCCATGTCAATAATAATAATAATAATAATAATAATAATAATAATAATAATATAATAAGGGCATTGCAGAACCAGGATTTTGGGGACCTGAGTCCTATATAATCTGGGGAACTTACATTATTTTCTCTTAAGAATTAAAAACTAATTTAAATTTTTCAAATTTTACAGAAACATCTGAGCCACATTGCTATGGCTTCGAGGAGGACCGTGCATGTTAGGGGCCAGAAGGCTATACTTCCTTAGCTAAATCTAGCTGTAGTGCAAGTTTTAGAAACATCAAAATAAAATGCTTAAATCACATTCCAATCCAAGAAGGAGGTGAGAGGATAAAAATAAAGAAATGCCATCAAACTAATAAAATCAAAAAAAAGAAAAGAAAAAATAAGCAACGTCACTGAAAATTGAAAACATAAAATAACATAGTATAAAATTTCCAAATAAACCAGTAATTACAATAAAAAATTAATGAGCTAAATGTTCAACTTAATAAGTTAGAAAAATTAGAAAAGAAGTCCAAAGAAATAGAAGGAAAAAAATAAAAAGATAACCGATATTAATGAACTAGAAAATACAGAAATAATAATGAGGATGAAGAGAACTGAGATTAGTCACCATTCTTTCTAAGTAAATTCCTGACATTTAAGGAGAATTGGATAATTTTCACAAACAAGACCTCTTACCTCCTGGGTTGCCAAAACATTAAGAACAGTTTGTTAAGTTTGAAATTCTTCTAATTTTTTCTTCCCTCTTATATCTTATATCTTACAACTCTTTTGTCCCACATGCAAATTTGCAAATTTGAGTCAACCAACCATAAAAATCATTTCTACTTGTTTCCATTGAGTGATACTTTCAGGCCTCACATCAGTCCAAAATCCTGAGGTCTGGGTTACCTTTTATCTTTTTGATGAGCCCTGGATAGAAGCAGATGCTTTTTAGACTGGGCAATAAGAAACTGGAAGTCACAGCTGTGTAGGGGGCATCATATTTTTATTGCCTGCTCCCCAGGGCTGTGTTTCACAGGTACCCAGAATAGAGGTATGACACTTAAATAATGAATTTTTGATTAGAAAGAACAGGAACAAGCTTCTCAGGCTGACTAGTTCACACTTCTTTTATTTCTTCTTCATTTTCTTTTATTTTCTCTTTATCACCCGTCTTGTCTTTAATCAGATGGATATACACATGAATCACAGGATACAGTTTGGCACTAAATGGCCTCTGAAAGGATCATAGCTACGCCTTCAAACTCATTCATATCTAAAGTGCCCCCAAAAGGTTGCCAGCATGCTCCACCCTGAATTCTGAAACAGAGGTACTCCTTGGAAAAGGTAAGTCTCTTTCACTGCCTAATCATTCCAGTCTGAGGAGAGACAGCCCGCAGTGGACCACAAGCCGAGAGCTGTATGCAGCACATTAAGAAAATCCTCCAAAATGCAAACCAAAAAAAAAATTTTTCATCATCAGAAAAAAAAAGTGAAAGAAAGAATTAGATGGGGAAAAAAATGGATCTTCCTCTCTCAGCCTCAGAATGTCAGTTGAAGCTCGGAAGGACTCTTTTATTACACAGATAATTCAAAGCAAGAAATCTGCTGTCAGTATAGGGACAGCCTCTGGGCTGAACAGGGCAACAAGTTCAGGTCACCTCCACGGCCTTGCTGCTCCACAGGTGAATGTGGCCTGAAATAAAGGTATAAATTATCAGCATGGCGCATGGGACTTAGCCTTCCAATGCCCCTCCATTAACCTTCCACCCTCCTCCTGCCTGCAATCACCATGTGGAAAAAAGGTCCCCGTGTGGTCTGGCAGAAGGTAACGCAAATGTTTCACTGACTTTTGAATTAAGAAAGGTAAAAAAAAAAAAAAATCCTAACTGTGGCATATAAAAGACACAGCAATTTAGGATTTGGTTGTTTCCTATGGAAGGTGTGTGATTTTTTCACTCCCCCTCTATTTTTTGCTTTAAAAAAAAATAATTGTTAAGTTTTTCAACATTGTGGCCTTAGGAGGTAATTTGCTAAATAGGACAAAATTAGCTGATTTTTGGACCATTTAAAAGAACATTTCTTTTGAAAGCATATAAAATGTATTAAAGCAATCTTCAGAGTCTTTACCCCTGCTTGAGATTTTAATTTACTCCGAACTAATAAATTATCCCCCCCTCTCAGAAGCTATTGAAAAATTTCAGTTCAATCCTTTTTAAATTTTAATGTGTTCAATTGAATCCCGGGCAATTTAGACATACACACTCACAGCTTGGGGTGGTCAGCTCACCAAGGCAAGACTGAAAAGGGGTCAGATTAACGTGAACCCCTCTGCCCCCTGGGATTACCAAGGTGATATTAATGAATGCGATTTCCCCCCACACATACAGGTCTGATGGTTGGATAATTACTTCTCCAAAACAGCATTTAACAAATGCCCCTATTTGAAGGCCAAGACCATTTTCTCTGCAGCTGGAGGAAGCTGCAGCGCAGGCAGGAGGAGGTGGAAGCCAGGAGGGGTGGAAGTGGGGAGGGAAGAAGAAGGGAGCAGGAAGCCGGGTGGCTCTAATCAGAGAAGGCAACGGCAGTGCCGGGATCTGGGTCACTTTGATCGTAGGGTTTGCTGAAGCACAAAGGTTCACTTCATCTCAGGCAGAGCTCTGCGTTACCTCTGCACACTTATCAGAAATATTTTTTCAGGCTATCAATTATTATATTTGAACATTGCATCCCGGCTCTGGGGAGCCCTTAGCAAGCTGTAGCAAAAATCAATCCAGTTTTACAACTTTTACCTTGGCAGAGCTCCAGCCCTTTATCTACGTTACCCATAATTTAAAGATGCCATATCTCTTTCCATGGCACAGATATATTCCCAAGTATGACATGTCCTTGATAAACAACAATAATTTTTTAAAGTTTGCACTGGTTAGTCTGGGTACGGTTAACTTTCATGGAAGTTGCAGGCATCACCATGGTCGTTCCTTCTTGTCAATAATAATCATTATGGCAGTGGTTAGCAATACTAATTGCTTTGTCTTCCTTTGCTTCTCCTTTCCATACTGTCTGTTATATATGACTTTAGCCCTGAGCGCTGATGTAATTGATCATATTGGAGAACCCATTGCATTTTTTTTTAACTCACCAATTGGAAACAGAATCTGAGTCTTACTTGGAAAAAATTTGAAGGCTTCCATATGGCTGTGAACACATGACCTTGAACTTGCCTCTTTCCTTGATGCACTGGGGAGGTGGCACTGAGGACCGAGAGAATGTACTCTCTTGTTAGCTGGGGGCACTTATGTGTGGACTAAGGGGATTGGCCATGTGGCTGGCACCTTGAAAGAGGTTATGTATCAAATCCAGAGTGGCAAGATTGAAGAGGACATGGTGCTTCTCAGGGAAAAGTTTAAAACCTTTCCTAAGGTGAGAAATTAGAGCTGAGGCTGCTGTTCTCACATGTGGCCAAGTTTGTGTAGGTGGCAAAAAACGATCATCTAATCTGGCCTTCAGAGGATCCGTGTAGAAAAAAGAAGAAAAGAAGAAGCCTTACCTTACAGCCACATTTTGAAAAGGTTTTTCTAATGTGAGTGTATTTTAGATGTCATCAGTATCTCAATCTCTTTGGTAAATCTTCATGTATAGATAAACCAGTGATCAGATGGGTTGGTTTTCAGATTACTTATTTTGTACTTGTGCTAGTTCCAAATGTGTTTTATGTGCTTTTTGTGCATCTCATTTCTGCAAGTTCCCTTAGAGCATTTAGCCAGAGGCGGATACAATCCTCTGTCTTTGAGTAGTTCTCCACCAAATGTTTTGATAACTGTAGCTGCTGTGAAATCAAAGTAGAACAGACATCAAATGAAAAATGACTGTTCAGAACCTGCAATTTTAAAAACCAGCAAATTAAGAACTTAATGCTTCTCCCATCAGTCCATCCATCTATCCATCCATCATTCATTCGGCCATTCTGGTTCTCAGATGAGAAAAGAAAGCTCATATATGAAATTTCCACTTATAGATTCACAGGAAGTTTCAAAATAGTACAGAGAGGTCTCATATACCCTTCAGCCAGTTTCCTCCAATGGTTACATCTTATGTAATTATACCACAACAGGAAATTCACCATGGCACGACATAAATGTATGATTCGATGTCATTTTTTCACAGTACTTGTGATATTCATGTAACCACGATCAAGATATAGAACTATTCCATCACCACCAACCTGTTTCCTCTTTGCAGTCATATCAGGCCCTGTCACTCATTAACAACCAGTAATGTTTGTTTTGTTTTGTTTTCAATTTCGAATATCATTATTTTGCCTATACAAAGTTGGATTGTATTTTTTTTCAGTCTCCAACCTCTGTCTTTTGGTTTGTGTATTTACAGCATTTACATCTAATGTATTTGTTGATAGAGTAAAGCTTAAGTCTGCTGTTTTCTGTTCTGTTTTCTGTTTGTTCCCTGTTTGCTTTTTCCCTGCCTTCCTGTGGATCACTTGAACATTTTTAGAATTCCATTTTGGTTTATCTGTAGTGTTTTTGGATATACAGCTTTGTAATTTTTTAGTAGTTGCTTTAGATATTACCACATTTATAACTCATCAAAGTCTAATGGCGTCAACTATTTCTTCTCTTCTGGGACTTTAGTGACACAAATGTTAGTTTTTTACTATGGTTGCACATTTTCCTGAGGCTCCTGGCCACTCCTCTCCCTGCCCCCCTCCCCCCAACCAACCCCAGACAGTCTATTTTATCTCTATTTTTCAGCTTGGGTAATATCTAGTTATCTCTCTATCTTTCAGGTCATTAGACTCATCTGTCTTCTTCATTTGCTGTTGAGTTCATTCACTGAGTTTTTAAATTTCAGTTATTATATTTTTCAGTTCCAAAATATCCATTTTCTTCTTTATATTTCTATTTTTTCTGCTGAGACTTTCTTATTTTTATTTGTTCCAAGCATGTTTGTAATTCCTCACTGAAGCAGTTGTATATGGCTGTTTTTAAACTTTTGTCAAATAATTCTACAATTTGTGTCATCTCCACATTAGTGAACGCTCATTTTCTTTTCTCTTTCAATTTATAATCTTTCTAATACTTTTATATGTGACCTTAGATTAAAACCTGGAAGCATTAGGTATCATGTTATATGACTTCCCCTCTTATTTAAATTTCGTGTTTTAGCAGGCCTCCTTAACACGGCTCTGGCTGAGCACAGGGGAGCACTGCCTTGTTACTACCAGGTGGACATGAAAGTCTAGGCTCTCCACTTGGCCTCCTTTGACATCTGAGAGGAGGGGACTTCTTTTTACTATTGGGAAGGGTATTAATGCTGAGAGATCTACCCACTAGCCCATCTTGACCCTATCCTGGCTGGGAGGGACAAAGGTGCCTGTTTACTACTCCCCACGTATCCTCCACTGACACCAAAGCAGGTGGAAGGATCACCTTGCTGCTCATCAAGCAGTGAGAGTCTTGATGCTCAGCCACGTCTTCCCTGACACTACCCCAGGGAGGGGGAAGAGGCGTCCTCTTGCTGGGTGGGAGTGCTGGAAGTCAAGGCTCCCTGAGTAGTCTCCACTGACAGCACACGGGGTGGGAGTGGGTCATTATCCCTTGGGGTGGGTGGGATTCATTACCACCAGTGGGATGAAATTTCAAGCTCCCTTGGCCTTGTGTGATGCAACCAGAGCTGAGTGAGGAGCGGACATCTTACCATAGCCTTGTGAAGGTGGAAGTCTAGACTCCCCTCACCCAGACTCTGCTGGCAGGAGGGCTGGGGCACCAGTTTCCCTGAGGGGCTTTTTGGAACAGAACATTTATTGTGTAAAAGTTTTCTGTTTGACTAGGCTGGGCTTCCCTTTTCTTGGTCCTTTAGCTTTTCTTGGGGCTTTTTTTGTCTATCCCCACTCTTGTTTCCAGGTTTCTGGATTCTCCAGTATCCAGGCTGGGTTATCTTAGGCAAAAAGAAAACTCAGAAAACTCACTGACATGTCATTTCTTGGTTTCCATAGTCCTGAGCCGGTCTGACCTCTGTCCACTTTGCAGAGATCTTGTGTTTGTTTCTTCCATAGCGTCCACGGCTTTTAGTGGCTCTCAGCGGGAGGACAAGGGGAAAGGACATCTACTCCATCTTCCTGGAAGTGAAAGTCTTTTTTTAATGTCTTCTTAAGTTAATATATTGTATTAAAAAAGACTTACCCATGGCTGTTCTATGGCTAGATGTATTAATAGACAAATGCGTTATTTTTTTCAGGTATTGAACTTTACCACATAAGCAGCATTTGTGTTCATTAAAATTTGGAAGCAAATATCAACAACAAAGTTCTGATGATAACTGCCTCATTTTAATATTTATGTAGAACCTGCTGCATCATAAATATTGAGTTATGCTATTATCCCTGTCTATCCTGGCTTTTAATAAATGTAAAATCTGGCAAATATTACCATATCTCTTCCTTATTTACCTTTGAATTTAAGAATAGAAAATGTATTTCCTCATTAAAACTTGAAAAATGTCTATTTAGTGAGTAGAATCTCTACAGATTCTATTTACCTATCTCTCTCCCACTGCCAAAATATTCTCCCTGACCTGTTCTATCTTCATCATTATTGTAAATGCAGATAAAAATAAAATTATTCGCGTACCTCGTAGCTATGAAAAAGCAATGAAATAAAGAGTTGTTTTTATCTGCTTTTAATTATATGAAAAAGAGAAGCTAAAAGAAAGAATTCTTTTTAAGTGGGGGTAAGTCTGAGGGACAGATGACAAGGGAAGAAAAAGAACAAGAAGAAGAAAAAGGAGAGGTCATCAGAGAAGTCATGGAAGATTTGCTGTGAGGCCATGTTAAAATATTTCTTCATGATGAGACCTAGAATTTCATATATTAAGACACTTCCAAATCTAACGTTTCAAATGATGAATTCCTTTTTTGCCAATAATTCTTAGTTAAATTCAGACTCAATTTAGGTGTCTCTATTTGAGAACCCAGTATATTAATTGGAACCATGTCATGATTGGGCACCTGGCACACTGATGCATGTATTTGATTGGAGAATGAAATCCACTAGAGGGGATGCCACCCATGATGGGACCCTAAAGTAAACACTTTCTGAAGGGCATCACTCTATGGAGATTCCAAGAGAAAATACACCCTTACTTAGACACACACAGAGTGTTCCCAACATATATGTTCAAATGTAGTTATTCTAATCAGAAGTTTAGGTATTTCAAACTTCTCTCAAATAAGTGGGTCAAAGAATGGCAATAGTAATATCTGAGAACTGTAGAAGTGGCAAATACATTTCAATTCACAGGTGAGCAGCTACCGTTCAATACAGGCTACTGGGTGTGCTACTTTAAGGATTCTGAGGCAAGAACAGAAAAAATATGCTATTACCTAGATGTTTAAACCCCTGCCCCCAAATTCATATGTTGAAATCCTAACCCCCAAAGTGAGGTATTAGGAGGTGGGGCCGTTATGGGGTGATTAACTCTTGGGGAGTGGAACCCTAATGAATGGGATTATTACCCTTATACAAGAGGCCCCAAAGATCTCCCTCACCCCTGCTGCCACGTGAGGACACAGCAAGAAGGCACCATCTATGAACCAGGAAAATGATCCTCACCAGACACCATATGGGCCAGCACCTTGATCTTGGACTTCCAGGTTCCAGAACTGTGAGAAATATTTTTTTGTGGCGGGGGTGGGGGACTGAGATGGAGTCTTGCTCTGTCACCCAGGCTGGAGTGCAGTGGCGTGATCTCAGCTCACCACAACCTCCACCTCCCAGGCTCAAGCGATTCTCCTGCCTCAGCCTCCCGAGTAGCTGGGACTACAGGCGCCTGCCACCACGCCCGGCTAATTTTTTGTATTTTTTAGTAGAGACAGGGTTTCAACATGTTAGCTAGGATGGTCTCGATCTCCTGACCTCGTGATCCACCCGCCTTGGCCTCCCAAAGTGCTGGGATTACAGGCGTGAGCCACCGCGCCCGGCCTTTTTTTTGTTTGTTTTTTAACATGTCATTTTTTTTCATCCTTGCACCAACCGTATGGGTACAAAGTGCTCTAGCGATTTACACATGAGAGAGGCGGAGGTTCTGATGAAGAAGAGGGGAATGATGAACACGCACAAAACTGTAAATGGGCATTTTCCACCTGTGGGGCTCGAGGCAGGGATGGGAAGCACCTGGGTTGGGGTCAGTAGCCCGGGTTCTGGTGGGCTGTCTAGTAGATGAGCTGGGTGAGGTTGGCAAGTCAAGGGATGGCCCTTGGCTTCTGCTCCTTGTGGATTCGTCTACCAGGTGGACAGACTGCAGGCCCTTTTCCTCGGCTACCGTGATGTGTTAGAACAAACTGCATCCAACTGACCTAGGTACGGCCTGCAACACATGGAACACGGCATGGCCACCACCGCCTGCTGTCCCCATACCTCCTGAAGACGCGTAAGTCTGCAGCCTCTGGACAGGCTGAGTCCTTCCGGATCCCACATTTGGGTAGAGAGACTCCAACTGACAGCTCTTCTCCCTAATACATACACCAAATCCATTTGCACTCAGACCTTGAAGTACTCACTTCATTCTGAATGGAGCATCTGAAATAATTTAACCCCTAAAACCTTCCCGAAGACTCTTTTTAACTTCCTGTGCTAATACACCAAGTATTCAGCTCTTTCAAAGAGGCATGTAAACAGGCCCAACTCTTCCGATAGACCTCCAAGAAACTGGGTTAGATAAAACTGAGGGTTGAAAAAAAGTAGACATTTCACCTCAAGTTAAGAAAAGGGCCCGGAGCTACACCCGTGCGATGTTGAGTACAGGCTGAGGTATCTGTGGAGATTGAAGACATTCCTGGGGTGATATTGATGCTGTGTTCAATCAGGTGAATTGAGTCTGTGGCATTCAAAAATGGGCGTAGAGTTTTTCACACCGATATTGTAGAACATTTATATAAGGTGATGCCACTAACAGACAAAAAAGGAATCAATTCTCAGAACATGCCTGCAGTTTTCTTCCCCCTTTTCTTCTTCCCCTTTGAGAAATGAGATGAACTTTGTTCACTTATGAGAAAAAGCTGGCTGGGTGCGGTGGCTCATGCCTGTAATCCCAGCACTTCGGGAGGCCAAGGTGGGCAGATCACCTAAGTCAGGAGTTTAAGACCAGCCAGGCCGATATGGTGAAACCCTGTCTTTACTAAAAATACAAAAATTAGCCAGGCATGGTGGTGGACACCTATAATCCCAGCTACTCGGGAGGCTGAGGCAGGAGAATTGCTGGAGCCCGGGAGACAGAGCTTGCAGTGAGCTGAGATCATTCCACTACACTCCAGCCTGGGTGACAGAGCGAGACTGTCTCAAAAAAAAAAACAACAAAACGTAAAAGTTGTCAGCCCAAGTCCACGTGCCATCTCGGAAGGGCTGTGGGCCCAATCCTATGCCACCTTCTCATCCCTGGTGCCCACTACACAGACCACAGTCCCTCCTCTGCAAGGATTTGGGTGGAGCAGGCTGGGCTCCAGGCAGAGGTGTGGCTGCGGGAAGCAGAGGCCTGGAGCCTGTCCACTGCACCTGGAAAGTTCTCACTGGGCGGCACTTCATGTTTGTGCTTTGACTAGTCCAGAGCAGAGAGCTGCAAATGAGGGCACTTAGCACTTCAAAGTCCTAAAGGCTTAGTTCTTAAATTTGGGACTCTGGGGAAAGTGGTGGGAGAAAAATAAACAACGGTGCACAGGAGCTGGGATTTTCGGACAGCCAGGTATGTGGCCCAAGGCAGAGAAGGGAAGGCAGGGGCTGAGGTAGCCCACAGGAGCCCTCACCAGGCAGAACGGGAGATGGTCCCATTGGCTGTCACCCTAAGAAGGTGAATACTTCAAGAAAAAGAGAAAGATAAGTGCTGGTCACTTTTGTTATGGAGCTGGTGGTGAGTGCTGCGCTGATGGAAAGAGGCCCTGGAGCCTAAGGGGTGCCCATGTGGCCAAGGTGACTCTTTGGACTATTCCAGACCATTGACAAGGCTCTCAGGCTCTCAGCAGCCACAGGCACCCTGCACTCCCACCCCATCTCCCTTTCTCTCTGTGATTCTTAGACAGCTCTCTTCTCCCTCCATTTAGCTTTGTTCTCCCAAGACAAGTGCATAGCATGGGGGTTCTGTGAATCCTCACATAGGCAAGTTGAGTCCCTCAAACAGAAGGAGCACAGTGACCTGATTTCAGGGACTAAATGGCCTTTGGGGAAGAAAAACATTTAAACACTAAACCATACTGGATTTGTGCTACAATCAAAAGGTAAAGAATCTTTCTTAAAATCCATTGGAAACCCTTAGCACACATAGACTGAACTACACAGCACCAGGTACATGCAGAAAAGTAAGGATGAAAATCCAGATGTTTGTCGCTGGTGTCTAACACCTGTGTTTGGCCATCGAAGTAGTAGGTCAAATTTTTATCTGAGTATTTGATCTCATGAAAATAAAGCATAAAGCAAACTATAAGAAAATTACATATCCAAATTCTAAAATTTTTTCTCATTGATTATTTTGTAGAAACTTAGGCAGAGTAAGAATGTATTGCAGAGGTTCTAAAAATTTTAGGAGTTTAGATTTTTCTTAATAATAAAATTCTGTGTGGGGGAATTCCAAATTTTCCTTACTCAAGAAGACATATATTAAGTTTCTATACAAAAGTTATAATAATGAGCTTAAATTCGAAAAGTATATCTCTTGTGTCCCACACAAAATTTCCAGCCAGGAGAACAGTGCAATTGATATCACCCCTTATCATGCTTTGAAATCATCAGTGAGATGTTAGCAGTAAAAAATGACTTTTTTTGGCATTGTAAAATACATATTGAGAGTCAAATGAATGCAAAGTAGAAATCATTTATCATTGTCAAATAATATTTTGTTTAACCTCTTTGCCACCCTACACCTTCAAAATTAACCTATGTTTATTAAACAAATACATTATTGGCATCAAAAAAACTTTAAAGGGATTTATATTATGACAAATATAATTCAAGCCTTTCTGGGACCCAGGAATGTGGGGGCATTTGTTAATGAGAGTGACGTCATCCTTAATTAAATTTCCAAGCTTTTCATATCACAATATCACTATCAAATATATAAGAAACTCAAAGTTTTTCTATGCTTTTAAATTTGTGGTCTATGAGAGAAAATTATTTAAGGGTGTACATTCAATTAAATGTAAGGAAAAGCAAAGTTTTGATCTGATTATATTGTTTATTAAAAAAATACATTTAATCAACAAGAATGCATTTAAACAGATAAAAAATCCAAGTTGTCTTCTTTTGAATCTCCAGAGTTGTAATTGTATATACCATTCTTACCTGGGGGCATAGTAAGTGCCATACATTTTCTTTAAGATCAAGGTATATTCTTGTCTGGTTTTACTCGATATTTGACCAGAGGAAGTCAATTCGTTTTTATGGAGAATGGCCCATGATAAACGTCTCCTAATAACCCTAGACCTTTCTTTTCTTAGAAAGGGTTTTCCTGCCGGTTCTCCACAACTAGACTACCCCATCAGCAATCCTGAAGGACGGGAGACTGCTGAGCGGATGGAGGTTAAGAACAGAAGAAACTGGGACAGCCGGTGCCTTGTGCCAATCCCTATGCACCTGCTAAATAGGCTGACATGTTTGGACGAAGCAGCCCAATTTGCATTTGTCACCACAGTGAGACATTAGCAGTGTGAATATCAAGAGGGACAGATGTGCCCCAGCAGGACTGCCACCTCAGACAGCCCGCTGTGCTCCCAACACAGGAGGCTGCCAGCCCAGGGGACGCCCCCTTGCCTCCGAGGAGCCCATGGCACTGCCAGACACAGCAGAAAAATAAGACATATGTCCTTCCTCAAGGTCCTGGGGTCCTGGCTAATGGATGGGGGACAAATTAGCCAGTATCCTATTGTGTGCTAAATCCATGGTCCTTGGGGATTGCTTGCTGTCTTTTAAATATCATGCCCCTCATCTTTTCTAATTCCCCATCCCTACCCTTCCTGTGTTCTTGAGAGAGGCACCAGACTCGACTCTTCTCAGTTTCTGAGTTTCCTCCAAATCTTAAAAAAAAAAAAAAAAGCAGCCCAATTAAGTATGGTATTGAGTAGCTGGTATTATTCCCTGGTAGATTCTTAGGTACGAGATCTGATTTTCTCTGTAAATATATTTTCATTATAAGGCAAGAATTTTACACTAAACTGAATTAGGATTCCTAATCTATAATATTTTTTATGTAGCCTCATGATTTAAGGCAGGGATCAGCAAACTTCCTCCAAAGGGCCAATGGTAAATTGTTAGGCTTTATGTGTCTCCTTCACAACGATTCAACTCTGCTGCTGTATTGAGATGGCATCAATGAATGGGCATGCTGTGTGCCAACAAAACTTTATTTACAGAGA
The DNA here is from genome assembly GCF_000001405.40 of Homo sapiens. NCBI lineage: Eukaryota > Metazoa > Chordata > Mammalia > Primates > Hominidae > Homo > Homo sapiens. Next base: position 104,548,087 of record NC_000002.12, read on the forward strand.
CAGGCAGTGGGCCAGATTTCTCCCACCAGCCGTAGTTTCTTGAACCCTGGTTTAGGACAAGAAGATTACCCAGAAGCTAAATGCATAGTTTTCAGAATTTTGTCCTCGTTTGAAGAAACAGATGACACAGCACGTCATATAGCAGAAAACCAGGGGTTTGCACCTCTGGATCTGACCTCTGCTCCTTTCCTCATAGATGAATGACTTTGGCAAAGGCACTCACCCTCTCCACAATTATAAAATGAGGTTGTGGCCTTCTCCCAGGTGCTGGCTTGCTGTCAGGTTAAATGAAATGGTGTTTTACAAGCTTGGTGTAGTGTAGAAAACAGGAAATACACAGTAAACTTTAGTCCCTCCAAACTGAGAGATTTTACACTGTCCCCCACTCTGATCCTGAAACCCTTCCCCTGCACCCTCCAAGTCTCCTCCTCCTTTCTTGACTACTCCATCAGTCTCTTCCAAGTTTTCTAATTTCTTTTCCTCTGGACAAGGTCTGCGAGTGTTCTCAAAATTTCTAGCCGCAGCCTTCCTCCTTCTCCTTAGGTGAGGACACCATTGGGAAGGAAAACTTTTACCTTCTCAGGTTAAGTACTCAGGGCCTGTGAATTAAACTGACCAAACACAAGTTAGCAAGAAAAAAGATTTTTATTCATGTATATACGGACATGAGAGTTCACAGAAAAGTGTGAGAGAGTTAACAGTAGTGCCTACTCTTGGGCCAGGTGGCACTGAGGGCCTCGATCTCAGCAGCCCATTGTTCCCTCCCTAGGCATTGTACTGACAGTGCTCAGGAAGGGAAGGATGAAATGTGTGACTGCACGTGCAGGACAGGGTGTAAAAACTAGAAAGATGGGGTGGAAAAGCATGAATTTTGGTGACCCTTTGCTGCCCAGACCAGACTACTTGTCATGAGATCTGTTTACTCAAAAGGGATAAATCAGGCCAGGCATGGTGGCTCACGCCTGTAATCCCAGCACTTTGGGAGGCTGAGGCAGGCAGATTGCTTGAGCTCAGAAGTTCAAGACCAGCCTGGGCAACATGGAGAAACCCCATCTCCACAAAAAATACAAAACCAGCTGGACATGGTGGCATGAGCATGTAGTCTCAACTACCTGGGAGGCAGAGGCAGAAGAGTCACCTGAGCCCAAGAGGTGGAGGTGGCAGTGAGCTGAGATAGCACCATTGCACTCCAGTTGGGAAATAGGTGAGACCCCATGTCAAAAAAAAGAAGAAGAAGGAGAAGGAGGAGGAGGAGGAGGAAGAGGCGAAGAAGAAGAAGAAGAGGAAGAAGAGGAGGAGGAGGAGGAAATCAAGAGTACAGTTTGTAGTAGGGATAGCCACGAAAAAAAGCATTTAAAGGTCTCACTTCTCAGCACTGTTGCATTAAGGATTAAGTTTCCAACATAAGAACTTTGGGGGACATATTCAAACCATAATATTTCACCCATGGACCCCAATATTCATGTTTTTCTCACATGCAAAGAACATTCATGTCATCCCCATAGTCTCAAAAGACTTAACTCTCTCCAGTATCAACTCAAAGGTCTACAGTCTCATCTAAATCAAATGTGGATGAGACTCAAGGCACAATTCACCCTGAGGCAAATTCCTGTCCACCTGTGAGCCTGTGAAATTAACAAGTCATTTGCTGGCAAAATATAGTGGTAGGCAAGGCATACGATACATTCCCATTCCAAAAGAGGGAAATCAGCAAGAAGAAAGGGGTAGCTGGTCCCAAGTAAGTCTAAAATCCAACAGGGTAAACAACATTAAGTCTCAAAGCTGGAGAATAATCTCCATTGATTCCCTGTCTCAAATCCTGGGCACACTGGACTTTCCTGGGTTCAGTCCACCCTGAAGTTCTCATGGGTTGGACCCTCATGTCTGCGGCTTTGCAAGGCTGATGCCACAAGCTGGTAGCTCTGCAGTTCTGCTTTTCCCTCCATTATAAATTCCATCTTTATGTCTCTTTTCTCCCACATCTTACTGCATGTGGTTAAAAGCAGCCATGCAGTTCCTTCAATATTTTGCCTGGAAATTTCTTCTGCCACACATCCTAGTCCATTGCTCTTAAAATCCCCCTTCCAAAAATCCCAGGACACAGACACAATTCCACCAAATTCTTTCCTACATTATAGCAAGAATGGCCTTTACTCCGGTTTCCAATACCTTGTTCCTCAGTTCCATCAGAGACCTCTTCAGAATGGCCCTTACCATCCGTATATCTACCAACATTCTCATCGTGACCACTTAAGAAATCTCCAAGAAGTTCTAGACTTTCCCTACATATCTTATCTCTGAGCCATCACCAGAATTGCCTTTAATGCTCCATTCACTGCAGTCTTGGCTTTTTCACACCTGCTTCTCCATATTCTTCCAGTCTCTACCCCATTACCCAGTTAAAAAGCCACTTCCACATTTTCAGGTATTAATTATAGCAACAGCCCTACTTCTTGGTACCAGTTTTCTTAGTCCATTTTGTGTTGCTATAACAGAATGTCTGAGACTGAAGAATGTATAAAGAACAGGGATTTATTTATTGCAGTTCTGGAGGCTGGGGGGCCCAAGGTCAAGTGGCTCCTGTCTAATAAGGGCCTTCTTCTGCATCATCCCATGGTGGCAGGTGGAAGGGCAAGAGTGCATGTATGCAAGAGAGGAAGGGACTTAGACTCATCCTTTTATCAGGGACCCACTCCTATGATAACAAACCCACTACCAAGATAATGGATTAATCCATTTGTGAGGGCAGAACTCTCACCTACTTAATTGCCTCTTAAAGGTCCCACCTCTCAACACTGTTGCATTGGGGATTAAGTTTCCAACACATGAACTTTAGGGGACACATTCAAACCGTAGCAGTAGCCATTTGCAAACCAGAAAGTAGTCCCTCATGAGACACCAGATCTGCCCATACCTTGTTCTTGGACTTCCAGCCTCCGGAACTATGAGAAATAAATGTTCACTGTTTAAGCCATCCAGTCTAGGGTACTCTTGTTACAGCAGCCCAAGCTACGGCAGAAATTGGTTTCATTCTCTGAACTGATAATTGTGAAGCCAGAGGGTCTTCACTCCCCCTCATAGCTTCATCCCACTTACAGAAAATGCAGAAAGGGTACCACAGAAAGCAAGGTGTCCCCAAAGCTGCTAGGGCCTCTGTGGTTCATGAACCTACACTTCAGGGAGCCTGAGCCCTGCTGCCTTTTTACCATTTAGGGAGGGCGTGGCTGAGACTGGACATGAGCAAACCCAGGAATGCTCTCAGAGAAGCCCCGGCCTCTTGCCTCACAGAGGCTTAGCACAAGGAATCAGTCAGTGTGTGCTGTATAGTGTTATCCACACAGGTGAGAACATCTGGAAAATCCCAGAAATCTCATGTTTTACTCACATTCCCAGCAACAAGTAGAGAAAAGGTCCACAGGGAGTCTCAGTCCTAGGACTGGTAACCCTGGTCAGACACTATAGAGGAGAAAGATCTTTCTCAGAGAAATTCAAAAAGAAAGTGCTTCTCTAGACAGGTTTTACTGAAAAAAAAATATTTGATGGAAAAAAGGTAGTTATCTCCATGGGAATTTCTCAAAAGAATAAAGCATTTCACACTTGTCTGTGGTTTGAACCTTTTGCTCCAGCCCTGAGATCTGCACTGTGATTGTGGGCACATTCTTGGATTTTTTTTTTTTTTTTGAGACTGAGTTGTCCAGGCTGGAGTGCAGTGGCACAATCTCTGTCTCTCACCCCCTGGGTTCAAGAAATTCTCCTGCCTCAGCCTCCCAAGTAGCTGGGATTACAGGTGCGCACCACCACGTCCTGCTAATTTACTAATTTTAGTAGAAACGGGCTTTCACCATGGTGGCCAGGCTGATCTCAAACTCCTGACCTCAGGTGATCGGCCCACCTCGGCCTCCCAAAGTGTGGGATTACAGGCATGAGCCACCACACCAGGCCAGATTGTTGGATTTGGTTAACCTCTTTGATGTGTAAAAAAGTTGAAACCTTTCCTGTAAAAACTAAAAGAGGAGAGGCAAAGGGTAACCAGGGAGGTCTGTGTGAGCCCTTCCATTGAGACACATTTTGCCTACAAGTCTGGATGGTTACAAATGAAAGAACTACATATTTGGAAGCAGAGAAAAAATATTTTTAAAGGGAATTAAGTGAACATGAGATAATCAGGTTTTATTGAATGAACCCTTCTAATCACCTAGAACCTGGTAGACTCAAGCAAAAGCAATCCTGCAGAGACTGGTAAGCAACAATACTACAATAACTGAATGACTTACTGACCAACTCTTGTGGAATCTTTTTGGCATATGGATGATATAAAACCTTGTCTTGCCGGGTACGGTGGCTCATGCCTGTAATCCCAGAACTCTGGGAGGCTGAGGCAGGCAGATCACCTGAGGTCAGGAGTTCAAGACCAGCCTGGCCAACGTGGCAAAATCCCTTGTCTACTAAAAAATACAAAAGCTAACCGGGCATAGTGGCACACTCCTGTAACCCCAGCTACACAGGAGGCTGAGGCTGGAGAATTGCTTGAACCCGGGAGGCGGAGGTTGCAGTGAGCAAAGATCACGCCACTGCCCTCCAGCCTGGGCGATAGAGTAAGACTCCGTCTCCTTGTCTTTAAAGGGAATTTGATTTAATTAGTAAATCCAGACTAACACAAGGAGGAAAAGGCATAAATAAAACTCTTTAGTCTGCAAATAGAGGGAAACACATTAACATCATTGAGTGTCTATATAGGGAAGTCCCTGAAGACATATAAGAAGAAAATTGAGAAATATCAACCCAGACTCCTCTGAAGGTGGAGAAGTGGACCAGATGCTTCTCAAAATCTCTCCCAGGTGTGCAGAGCTAATGACTCTAGGGCTCAGGCACCTGAGAAATTCGGAGGGCTCAGGACAGGTGAACTGTGCTTTCAAACCTTAATATGTGAAAAGTCAGGTCTAGTAAAAAGATTAACTAGTGAATATTCACTCAACAGTAAGATTTCACCTAAAAAAAAGTATGAATACAGAATCACTTTTAAAACCCTCAAGTGCATTTAAAATATGATCCAATTTCCAGAAATTGGAGAACATATTCTTTCAGTAAAGGAATCTATTCATGTGTATAAATTACAGATACTGTTTCTGCATAGATGCTATTTTTAACAAGCATACAAAAAATCCTACATAGGACAATAATTTTCCTTCTTGTGCTGCTTTGGTGTGTTTATATGAGTGAATGAGCAACTGAATAAACTTGGCTTTCATAAGTATAGATTTAAATATTAGGGATTCATATTGGACCCTATATTCAGTTATTACTACTGTCATGGAAGATGTATTCCTACTCCAGGAGGGAAAGAAAGCTCTAAAATAAAGTGCCTGGAAAATAAAGTGTCTGCTTCTCGCTGTGATTTTTTCCTCCAAATAGCCAGGAACGGAAGCTGAAGGATTTGAGTAGTCTTTCCTCTACTTCCTTTCTTTTTTCCTGAAACCATTGGATGAAAAAGTCTAAGCTGAAATCATTGTAAATTGCGTTGTTCACAAAGCAGCTATCACTCTTTTTTACTGGCATGGGAAGCCAACCTACCGAAGCTTCCAACAGTGATCTGGAGAATAATTCAAACAGGGGAACTTCCAGTGGAGATGTACCTACCTATGGTTTTGTCCACAAATGAAGAGAAATGGTGAGGTGGGTGATCACCCAACAATCTGAATTCCAGAAAACAGTCCAGGTTCTTCACATGCAGACCATCAGCTTTGCTAATCAACAAAATTGCATGACCTAAAAAAATCAAGTTAATCACGGCTTTATCTCCTCTCTGTCTGCCTGTAAAAACCCAAACTTCATATTCAAGGATTCCTGAATACATTACCCTAACCCAAAAAAGTCAAGTTGGTATTAAGCAGAACCCACATTTACAGACTGCTTGCAGCTCCCCAATGAAATGAGTGCTGAGTCTCACAGCGGTAGCTTTCAGAATGCCAAAAATTTTGCATAATAAGAATTCATTTTTGGTGCTCACACTGAGGGGTAAATCTGCAAAGAAGGAACTCAACTATTTTGAAAGCTCAAACATTGTTCAGAAATTTATAGCTTTTCAAACTTGGGAATTGAGGCTGAAATGCTTAGGAGAAAATGGGAGGGGAAGGACAAAGGCCTTGGGTAGAAGGTTGGGCTCATAGAGAGGTAGAATTCCTGGCATCCCATGGTCTCCGCATGCTCTTATGGGTGTCCACCATAAGGCACATGCATATACACTCCACATCTGATGCTGCCTGTTGTGCACATACATGTGCATTTTTGTGTACTCTGCACATGAGTGTTATTATATGTGCATGCATATACTACATATGTAAACTTTGCTGTTGTTTCAATGTTTTCCACTTAAGACAATATGACATGCTTCGGTAACCCTGACTCCTTTTGGGATGTGAAGAACTGCGACTGCAGTTAAAGTAATAGAGAGCGATAATGTGGCATGCCAGGAAAACAGCAGCATTGGCCCTGAGGTAACCCCTTTCAAAAATGCCCAAGCAATGGAAAACGTGGCATCTCATTTCCTGGGAATATGGCATTAGTACTCATCAGCAAAATGTAACACTTTATTTGAAGATATCAGTAGATTTTGAGGCAATGTTTCTCTCTTGCAATCGCTTGCTTATAGGTGCTGAGAGCCAGGGATCTCCAAGGAAAACGTTCTTGGCCTGAGAAACACATAAATTAAGGATAAAAAATTAATTCTGCCACTTTCCAATGCTATCTTACATTCATAAAGCATTGATATCAGACCTGACATGCTTTGGGTTTTAGTTCCATTTATTGTTGCTAATTTTCTAATTTCTAGGAGAAAAAAAGCATTTTAAACAGATCCAGGGCATCCCATGAAACTTCATGGTAAAGCTTTGTTGAGTTAAATATAAATGAATTGAGGGCTCATGGTCATATCTCCCTATAAATCATTGCACATAGTCAAAAAAGAGAATAGTTTAAGACTTTATGGGCAAAGCAGGTGAAAAAAATTATTGAAGACATCTAATATTTACATTTTTACTCATTAGCAATTAGTTTTTGGGATATAATAATGCTTAAATGATATCCTTTTGCTAACTGAACACTGATTTATGAAAAGACCTTTTAAGCATGTATAAGATTTTTTTCATGGTATTTTTTGGAATATTGTTTTGTTTATCTGTATGGTGGTTGCTTTGTTTTTGTTTGTTGGCTTAGAAAGGAACTGAGAGCCCACGTATAATTTCCAGATTGTATCTATTAATATGAAAGTGACCTGTGTAGTATTAATTACATTTTTTATCTTAATATGTTTAGTGATTTTTTTAATAGATCAAAGACGCAAAAATTTTGGCAAACTAGTACCCTCATTAAAACTGAGATAAATAGGGTTATATACATCATCAAAAGAAAGCCTCATTTCAGAGTCAAAGTGGACTATGGGGCAAGCGAAGGCCTTTCCTTTCCTGGATCCAAGGTGTGCACATGTGAAACCACAAGAACTCTGGGAATGCCCAAAACCTAAGGCTCTTCACAGTCTACATCTTTTTCTTTTTTTTGAATTTTGTATAAGGACAAACACTTCAAAATGGGAGGCACAAAACCAAACAAGGATTTTCACTGGGATTTTAGATCGAACAGACATGGACTCCTCTCTGTCTCAAAACACAAGTGGTCAAATTTTAAAATAAGTATTCATGAGTCTGTTTGCATATGTGAACTTGCCTGCCCTGTTTTGTGGGATGCATGACATCCTCTCTGGGTGCAAAGAGCAACAGACACGATAGGAACCCTTCTGTTCCCTGGGCCCTGACTCTGAACGTTGAGTCCCATCCCTTCAGGAATGCCCAACTGCGATTATTTCTGGAAACTTTTCTTTTGCCTATTTGCCTCCCTGGCAAATCAAGGCTACCAGCTGCTAAATTTCAAATAAATAAATAAATTGCCTGATTGTGGACTAGGAGGAAGCTGAGAATATCCATTGTAATCACAGAGTCCCTGAAGTGTAGTTTGATCGGCACGGTTTTAGATACTTTAAGATAAACAGCGCTTTCATCATCAACTGGCAGGTAAGTTACCACAACTTACACAGAATGCCAATGAATGAGCCTGAGTAATGGACAGAGTTGACCATGGTCAAGCTCTGTTTGAATAACTGTTTGTTGCAAGACTTTAATTTGAGCTATGTTCTTATCATCTAATGGCATTTACTTAGAGATGCCAAATTTTGTAACCTACCACCATATACCTTCAAAACCTATTTCAAGGCTGATTTAGCCTTAAATTTTACTCCTAACTGCATGCTTTTAGCTTTTAATTAGCAGAATGACTCTTCTTCAGCTTTGGTATTTATTCACAGATATTATATCGGTACCTAAATCATGGTCACTAAAGCATGATTCCGTATGCAATCAATCATTACCAGACAAAATCTGCATATCGCCCGACTCTGGTCACTGTCTCAAATTCACTAGAGATTTCCATAATTAAATAGAAAATATCAAATATCTAAATCCAGGAGTAGTAAAACATTCTTCATAGAAGAAAATTCTAAATATAGTTTCTACCCCATTTCATTTGTGAACTCCACGTCTGTTACATATTTCAGTACATTTATTATTGCTAGACAGTGCCACCTAAAAAAACGGATGACCCACAGTGGCTTACACAGTGCATTTAATCACCTGAATACCTCAATGAAAAACACAAACTGAGATTGGTTTTTCATAGTCATTTAATATTTAAGTATTGTTGATTCTCAAGCAAGCTCACGATTCTAATAATCTCCTCCAAATATTTCCAGCTACCTCCTGCATTTCTCATTTAAATTTCGAAGTTTCCCTCCTTTATCTCTGCGACCTCATTAGCTACCATCGTTTCAATGTTTTACACTTGTATTACTCCTTTTGCCCAAATGTTTTATATGCATCATCCCATTAATCCTCACAAATGCCCCTTTTAACAAAATCCAACATTAGCAATGTATGATGAAGAATTATAATAAATAATCAACATTAAATACTTTCTTGTCAAAATAAGTGGAAAACGATTTTTTGCAGTTCAGGACTCCTGATTTTTATTGTTTATTCATGTACTCACTAATTTGCAAAATTCTATAATCCACAATGGGTTCCCCTGTCATTAGTGCTAATTAGTGGAATTCTACTGTACTAATAAATCAACATTATCCAAACACGGTGCTTGGAGATGTGGTTATAATACATTCTTGCATACGAATTTTTTAAAATTAGGGCCGGGTGTGGTGGCTCACACCTGTATTCCCAGCACTTTGGAAGGCCGAGGCGGGTGGATCACGAGGTCAGGAGTTCAAGACCAGTCTGGCCAATATGGTGAAAACTTGCCTCTACTAAAAAAATACAAAAATTAGCTGGGCATGGTGGCATGCACCTGTAGTCCCAGGCTGAGGCAGGAGAATCGCTGGAACCGGGGAGGTGGAGGCTGCAGTGAACTGAGATCGCACCACTGCACTCCAGCCTGGGACAGAGTAAGACTCCGTCTCAAAAAAAAAAAAAAAAAAGAAAAAAAATAGATGGTCACCACTGCAGTCCCGATTTTTACTGATAGGATTTTTATATAGATCCTTCTACAGCTGGGTTTTTTTAGAGAGAGCATGCGTGTCTTTAATGATTGCATATTCATTCCAAGTCAGACACATTCTGTATAAGGAATAATGGGACTTACGGCAGAAAGGGACAGCTGGTATCACATTGTTCACTGCATTAAGTTAGGAGCTGAGTGATAAAGGAACTTCCTCAAAGTCACATTGTTAGTGTGAGAGCCCTGCTGGAACTCAGGTGTTCTCACACTCACTCAGGTCTCCTTCCAACACATCAAATTGGCCACCTGTGTCAAAAGTGTGAACACGCAACTTAAGTAAAGCTTATTTTTCATGTGCCTGCACATGCCCATGATCCCCCTCCAGGTCCATTCATTTCTGTCTTCCATCCCATAATCTTTAATAGTCCCCATCCTACTAACCTCGAACCTTCTGCCCCTTTTTTGTTGCTCAGGTGTGAACTGTGTGCTTCCTTTTCATATAACATTGCGTGTATTTTTTTTTCTGGTAAGAACATTAAGTTCATTACATTAGATCTCATGTTTGGTGTGTACCTCACCTCTCCCAGGCATTTATCTGACCTAGGATCCATTTATTGAACAGTATACCTTTCTTTTAACCTCACATCATCATTTAATTACAATAGACAAAAATGGTTTTCTTCGTCAGTCAGCATGATGGAAGGTTATATGGTCACTGACCCACATCTGTACAGCTGTTTCTGTGCTCTTTGCAATGCCTAGCTCCCTATCTGGCCAGTAATGGCCCATAACCAATCAGTGCAAATGCTTTTTGACTGTGTAGTTATTCTACAATAAATACAATGTAACAGTAGCCGTGGAAGACCTGGTATTTCTCTCCATCTTTACAAGAGGATGAGTGTCACAGGAATGTTCCTAGATCACAGTAGTAGCAGATCATCCAATGACACAGAGCCAGTCAAGAGGTCAGTGGCTCTTCCTCACCAGAGAATTTAAAAACAGGGGACAGTTTTCCCTTTGAAATGGGAGGGGAAATTTTCTAGGTGATCTTCCAAGGTGCTTTTAAGTTCTATGACTCTTTGATTTCCTCAGCAGTTCCTTTGAATTGTAATTTCTCCCAAATTTTTGTGATCTCGAAACTGAATGTACATTTATATTCATGAATGAATATTCAACGTATCTATGCACAGTGCATTGAAAAAAAAGAGTATAATTTTAGTATCCCTATACTATACAAAGGGTACTCAGAATCTTACTAATAAAGGCATTGGCATCCTTCACTACTCTGTAATCTAAGATGGAAGAACTGTCTGGTTTCTGTTAAGGCTGTATAAATTTAAAAAGACGGCAAGATTGCATTTGGGCAAGTACCCTGAAGTTTGGCTGCTTATTCAAATCTTGTGCAAATTTCCATAAGCTGCTAAATTGGTCTGGGTCGAGGAATTAGCCTGCGAATATTATGGACCTTGGCAGGCTGTTTTCATCTGCTGTTTTTCTTACGAGATTATAAGAAAAATATTAAGGTGGCTCAATGAAATGAGAAAGTGCTGGGAAACACACCCATGACCAGGTAGAAGAAAAGATTGATTCAAAATTGGTCATGTTTGATTTTGAATTAAGCATATTGTAGTGGATATGCTAAATATAAAACTTCATCTTGGGGAGGTATGATATGTTTCTCAAACTATTTAATACTGAAGAGGTGGGGATGATTTTGCAGAAGGAAATTCTTGATTAGAGAAAGGTTCTGATAGGCTTTAAGATTTCATCTGAAACTTCTAAAATCTACTGAAGAGTCCTAATGTGTGTCTGTGTGAGTGCCGGGTTGTGGGGTCTTGGAGGATTGGGTCTGGATTGTTGTGTCTATTCATCATGGGTTTTGACATATCAGTATTCTTCCTAATGTTGACTACCTAAGCTGAAAATAGCTAGAAAACTATACAAAAGAGAAGGATTCCATTGGTGTACTTACAGTATATTTTTAAAGAAGTTATTGTATTAAATGAATTTGACCATAGACTTACTCTTACTTATAGAAATAATGGTCAAGCCTTATTTTGGCAATGGGAAACATAACAAATATAATATCTCAAATATTTATCAACCACTGCACTTCATCTGGCCTTCTTCTTGTTTCATAAAGTGACAATTCTATCATTAGATATCAATTATAACTTGTGCCATTATAAACAAAGTCATATAGAAAAATTCATTTTCTGAAAATGAATACCTAGGTAAAGCAAACTGTCATGGAGAATAATCACACCAAATTTTCCCAGGTGACTTGTGTAAATTCCAAAAATTAGTATTGATTTCACCTGCTCCTTGAACAACGAAAAGCACAGACAGCTGGTTGCAGAGATTCGGGATGTAATTACAATTAGTAATTACTACATTGTTTCTAAACAGGAAGTTCAAGGGGAAGATCTTGGGATGCTCACAGTATTTAGCTACAAGATTTTTTTTCATTGCTTTAAGTCATGAAAAAACTCATTGATGGATTGCCCCGTGAAAACCAAAACTGCATCTCATTGCAAAAGAAGACATAACTTCAGTTCCAAATCTCCTGCAGAAGGAAGCAAAAAGGAAGCATTGCAAATAGAAAACTGTGTGTAGGAGTGTGCACAGGAGGCTGAATTTCTAAAAGATAAACATTTTGAATTTTCTAGGAGGTTTATCAATTGCAACTATAATATGTAATGTATGGCTCACTAGATGCAATTCAACCCTGACTGCTTTCCATGTGGAAATATTGCAAATAAATCCTTTACTAGCTATCCCCTATCATTGTGCTGCTATAAATATTGTTTGTCCAGCCATGGATGTTACGATGGAAAATACTGTGTTTCAGCAAGTTGACCTAGGGCAGTGGTCCTCAACAAGGGTCAGTTTTGCCCCCTGCGTGACACTTGTCAATGTCTGGAAACATTTTTGATTTTAATGACTGGTGGGGAAGTAGAGGGGACACCAGCATCCAGCAGCCAGAGACCAGGTGTGCTGCTGAACATCCTACAAGGCACTGGACAGTCCCCACAACCAAGAATCGCTGGCCCAACATGTCAAGGATGCCAAATTTGAGGAACCCTGAGTTAGAGTGAACTGGGACAGTTGCCAGTGTCTGCTAATACATTTCTCAGGTGTCAATAGTCCAAATAAAAGTCTATCACCTGGACGCTGAAAGATAGCATTCTGAATGCATGACCAATGAGAGAGTCTCAGGGGCCCCTTACAGTGGGGTGCAGCTGGATGGAAATTGGCCTGAAGCAGAAATCCCTTTTGTCTCTCCCTATTTATCATCATCATCATTACTTTTTTACTTTGGTTAGCAGATGTTTCTTTAGTGCTCTGACATCCTTTTTAATTTGCACATTTATTAATTTGGCTGGCTGAGAGCAGAGTTCTCTACCTGCTGAATCGTCCCTGTACCTTGGAGCTGGTGGCATCCACATAAAGCCTTGCCCCGGCCCACCATCCATCACTAGGAAGCAGTTTTAACCTATAGCATCTTTAAATGGGATCACTTGATGACCAGTGCAATTTTGGCTTTTCTGCTATCTCACATTCCAAGTGAAAGGAACTGATTGCTCTTGAGTCCATTTACTCGTCCACTCTAGGGGGAATTGTTTGGATTCTAACATGTACCCTCCCGACATCCCATTTATAGCTGTAACAAAGAAGTAAGCAATTAATCAGACATCCCTTCTAACAATACTGACCTGCCAGCATTCAAATGCTTTAATTAAAATCGCCTCACAATATATGCCGGGGGTAACAGGCAAGCACTGTCTCCACCAAGCAGTATGCCGCTCTCCTCATCAGCCCTGAAGCAAACATGGCATTACGGATGTCCCTCGCACGGGACCTTCAGTGAGAAAGGAAGGAAGTCTCCTGGGACGGCTTCTGCATGCTGCTGCTCACCTTCAAAAGTAGATTCTGTTCCTATCATGTTTTCAGAGGCTTTAGTATAAAAGGATGCACCCAGTGCAGAAATTTCCTCCACCCTTTCATTCTCATCTTTTTTCTCTTTCTTTCTTTTCTGAAACCTGCACAGTGATGAGCCAGATTGCCCCCAGCAGTGTTAGGCTGAAATCACCTTTGCTGCTTTAAAAATAAAATGTCAGTGCTACTTTGAGATTTAAAAATTTTAAATATCAGTAAGCACGGAAAAAGCTGGATTTTTTTTCCCGTTTCGGTGTTAACTCACCCTTGTGACAGGTTTTAGCCTCTTGATATTCATGCCTGCTCCCCAGTAGTTCTGTTCTGGCTTTCTTATATACAGTAATATCAGGATTTTACAATCAATGAGGATGCATTGATTCATAGAGTTAGATTCGTTTGGAGAATTTGGAAAGATGTTCAACCATTCACTTTTATTACACTTAAATAATTTTTAAAGGTTGATGTATAATTTCATTGAAAGGTGTCAGCATTGTTTGAAACACACACCAATCCCACTATTCTCCCCTTGATTAATAGTACTTCCGTATTTATCCATTGCCTCCATTGCCCATTTTTTAACTGTTAATATGGGCATGGAGATTACTTCTCAACATCAACATAAGCCAAGTAACTTAAAAGGATTCTAATTCTGCAGGTCCCTCGCTCACCGTCTTCCACCTTGAGTTTAAGTATTATTTCCTCTTTTGCTTCTATCCAAAATTCCCTTAACACATCCTTATACAAAGTCTGTTTAAAGAGTTAGTCTTATTTCCAAATGTTCCACTGGAGCAGCTGCCTGGCAGTGGTAATATCGGACTTTCAGTTGATTTTCAACACCTCACGTGCCTTTTTCTATAAATCTAAATCCTTAATGTCTTTTTTCTCATTTCTCCCCCAAGCCACCCTCAAAACTTGTGGTCTTTGTGAATCCAATAAAAAGTGCTTTCATAGTTTATCTTTCTTTCCACATGTGGCCCCTCCATATTTGGGGCATCTATGGAGAGTTCACTGTGTCCCTGGCGCCCTGAAGAAAGGAGTGCTGTCTGTACTCACCTTCCCCAGACACCCCTTCTAAGTCGTTTCTAGCCTCCAGGAAGGGAAGCCTCCCCTCACTTTGTTTATCCACCCCTCCCTCAGGGCTCTGCATATGGTGAGCTTCCTCCTCCACTCAACAGCCCATCACACCCTTTCTTTTTCATATCCTGTCCCCTTTCAAGTTTGTGTTCTTTTTCCTTTGAAGGACACTGATACTTCCCACAATGGTTTTCAAGTTGGAAAGACGAAACTTAAAACTTTCCTTCATTTCCCCCCATCACCCTCTCTACTTCCCTTCTGTGTATATTAAAATAATCTCTCTCTTTCTGTCTGCCTACCTCTCTCCCTCTTTCTCTCTTACACACACGCAAGTAATTCCTGCCAGGAGCTCAGGTTCAGAGAGAAGGACAACTGTCTTTTCATCACTTTACCCTGATTATCATAATAAGACCATGGGCAAGCTCAACAGAGAGTACATACATCCCGTAGGCCGCAGCCAAATATAATTTAATTATTTCTAACAGGAATTAAGAATCTCATCAAGACTGTTGGACACAGAGAAATCATGTCCTTCTCCAAAGTTTGATTTTTCTCTTCACTCTCTCCATTATTTCCTCCTAATTCTCTTTAGCCCAATCTGCTCTTAAAATGTTTTCTAGAAGGTATTTGCGATAGTCAGGCTTCTCCAGAGAAAGAGAACAAATAGGACTTGTATATATAAAGAGATTTATTTTAAAGAATTAGCTTGCATGATTATGGAAGTGTAGGACTTTCTCCTTAGTTCAGCTGAAAACGGAGCCCTTTCACACAACCGTGAAAAATATTAGGGTCGCAGACACTTTGAAGGATGAGAAAAATGGAATTTATTGGGCAAAAAGGAAAAAAAGGGAAACAAGGACTCTGTACAAAGCCAGAGTACTGCTAGTGCACTTCCCACCTCGCAGATTGAATCCCAGGTACTACCTGGGGGAGAGGAGGGGTCAGGCTCCTCCTCCCTGCAAACGGTGTGAACTGCCCCAGGCTCCACCCCAGTGCATGTTCCTCCCAGTTCCCAGGCTGGTCAGAGGTTCCCCAGGGACCCCTTTATACTTGGCTGTCTCAGAAGCTTGATAAATCTAAAGACTGCAGGGTAGGTTGGCAGGCTGGAGACCCAGGGAAGAGCTATGATCCAAGTCTGCTGGAAGAATTCCCGCTTACTCTGGTGAGGTCATTGTTTGTTCTTCGTCAGACCTGTGGCTGATTGGATGAGGGCCACCCACATTACGGATGGCAACCTTCTTTATTGTGGCTCAAATATGTTGACACATAAAATGAACCATCATGGTAGGGATTCTCAAATTGTGTCTGATGGAACACTGATCCTTTGGCTGAAACACTAGATTGAACTGATGTCTCTCTCAGATAGTTGCTTCCATTATTAAAGGAAAAAGAATAGATGTTAATATTTATTCTATAACCTCTAGTTGCTCAATATTCACTATCTCACTTTATTCTTATAACCTTATGAAATAGGTATCATTATCAGAATTCTTTATATGACACATCACTTGTAGGAAGTGATATATTAATTTAGAAATATGACTCTTTCAACCTCACATTTTGTGAAAAAAAAAATGATTCAAGCTCTTCATCAGAGTATTTGCCATCATTAGACAGACCACTTTTCAAATAATCTAAATCCATCTGGCTATGCACATCACCTCCATTTAAATCCACAGGCACACTAGCAGATATTGTGGGTTTGGTTCCAGGACATCACAATAAAGTAAATATCGCAATAAAATGAGTCACCCAAATTTTTTTGCTTTCCCACTGCATATAAAATTTATGTTTACACTATACTGTAGTCTATGTCTCAAAAAACAATGTACTACAGGGGAAAGGACCGTCTCTTCAATCTCTTGCCATACACAAAAATCAAATCAAAATGAATTAAAGACTTAAATCTAAGACCTCAAACTATGAAATTACTACAAGAAAACATTGGGGAAACTCTCCAGGATGTTGGTCTGGGGAGAGATTTCTTGAGCAATACCCCACAAGCACAGGCAACCAAAGCAAAAATGGACAAATGAGACAGTATCAAGCTAAAAAGCTTCTGCACAGCAAAGGAAATAATCAACAACAAAATGAAGAGACAACCCACAGAATGGGAGAAAATATTTGCAAACTACCTATCTGACAAGGGATTAATAACCAAAATATATAAGGGGCTCAAACCACATTATAGGAAAAAAAAGTAATAATCTGATTTAGAAATGGGCAAAAGATTTGAATGGACATGTAATGGCAAACAGGTATATGACAAGGCACTCAACATCATTGATCATCTGACAAACGCAAATCAAAACTACAATGAGATATCATCTCACCCCAGGTAAAATGGCTTATATCCAGTAAGACAGGCAATAACAAATGCTGGTGAGGATGTGAAGAACAGGGAACCCTCCTACACTGTTGGTAGGAATGTAATTAGTACAACTTCTATGGAAAACAGTTTGGAAGTTCCTCAAAAATCTAAAAGTAGAGCTACCATATGACCCAGTAATCCCACTGCTGGGTATATACCCCAAAGAAAGGAAATCAGTGTATCGAAGAGACATCTGCACTCCCATGTTTGTTGCAGCACTGTTCACGGTAGCCAAGACTTGGAAGCAACCTAAGTGTTCCTCAACAGACAAATGATTAAAGAAAATGTGGTACCAGCCGGGCGCAGTAGCTCACCTCTGTAATCCCAGCACTTTGGGAGGCCGAGACGGGCAGATCACAGGGTCGGGAGATCGAGACCATCCTGGCTAACAAGGTGAAACCCCATCTCTACTAAAAATACAAAAAAAAATTAGCCAGACGTGGTGGTGGGCGCCTGTAGTCCCAGCTACTCGGGAGGCTGAGGCAGGAGAATGGCATGAACCCTGGAGGTGGAGCTTGCAGTGAGCCAAGATCACACCACTGCCCTCCAGCCTGGGCGACAGAGGGAGACTCCGTCTCAAAAAAAAAAAAAAAAAAAAAAAAAACAGAAAAGAGAAAAGAAAATGTGGTACCTACACACAATGGAGTACTATGCAGCCATAAGAAACAATAAGATCCTGTCATTCGCAACAACATGGATGGAATTGGAGGTCATTATGTTAAGCGAAACAAGCCAGGAGCAGAGAAACAAACTTCAGATATTTTCACTTATTTGTGGGAGCTACAAAATTAAAACAATTAGGCTGGATGCCGTGGCTCACGCCTGTAATCCCAACACTTTGGGAGGCCAAGGAGAGGGGATCACCTGAGGTCAGGAGTTCGAAACCAGCCTGGCCAACATGGAGAAACCCCATCTCTACTAAAAATACAAAAATTAGTTGGGCGTGGTGGTGGGCGCCTGTAATCCCAGTTACTCAAGAGGCTGAGGCAAGAGAGTCGCTTGAACCTAGGAGGCGGAGGTTGCAGTGAGCCGAGATCGTACCACTGCACTCCAGCCTGGGCAACAGAGCAAGACTCTGTCGCAAAAAAAAAAAAAAAAAAAAAAAAAGAAAAAGAAAAAGAAAAGAAAAGCAAGCAAGAAAGAAAGAAAGAAAGAAAAAAATTAAAACAATTAAATGCATGGACACAGAGAGTAGAAGGATGGTTACCAGAAGCTGGGAAGGGTAGTAGCTGGGAGGTAGGGATAGTTAGTGGGTACAAAGAAATAGAAACAATGAATAAGACTTAGTATTTGATAGCACAACAGGGTGACTACAGTCAAAAATAATTTAATTGTACATTTTTAAATAACTAAAAGTATAATTGGATTGTTTATAACACAAAGGATAAATGCTTGAGGGGATGGATACCCCATTTACCCTGATAAGATTATTACTCTTTGCATGCCTGTATCAAAGTATCTCATGGACCCCGTAAATATATACACCTACTATGTATCCACAGAACTTTTTAAATAAAAAATAATGTTAAAAGAGAAGTGAAAATAAATAGAAAACAGCAACAAAAATGTACATACTTTAATTTAAAAAATACGTCATTGCTAAAAAAAATCGGAAAATTGGTGCCAATAGACTTGGTTGACACAAGGTTGCCACAAACCTCAGATTTGTCAAAAACACAGCATCTGCACAGCACAGTAAAGTGACGTGCGCTAAAACATGGTGTGCCTGCGACTTGCTTGAGATGCAGCCTTTTTAATCCATGACCCTAAGCCACAAAATATTAGGACCATCGTTTATTTTATCCGTCCCATAGAAGTACATTTACTTTAGAGTTTATGAAATATGATTGGAAAGTTCTTAAGCCTGCCTATGGGGTAACAGAAAGTCTTGGTTTTCATCAGCTTACCTCTATAAGCATACAAAGCCAGAAGTGATTGAAGTGGTTTCAGACTATAACACTTTCCTAAGTGGTACTTTGTTGAAAAAAGAAAGTGACTGAGAGGGCACCCAGTAGAAAACAAATAAAACAGCATGAGTTGAGAAACTGTGACAGAGACCACATGACTAGCAAAACCTAAAATATTTACCATCTGGCCCTTTGACAGAGAAGTCTGCGGGCCCCATGCTATGATAAAATGGGCACCCTGGAGTGGCCACCTTGATGGGCAGACTCTGTCCACATCCCATGCCAGTGCTCCTTTGGGGATCCTTGTGAAGACACCCTACGTTCATTTAGCAGTGATTTTTTAAAAAACATCCTATTGACTTTTGTGGAGTAATACTCACTTCTCCTTATCGTACCTAGGATGACTACTGAGAAAACTATCTTTAAATTGCTTTGGTATTTTCAGAAAAGGGAAAAAAAAAGATTACACTCACCAGGATAAGAACAGGTTTGACCTACAGGAGATTCTTTAAGTAAAAACATCTTAAGTTCTGTAGAGTGGGAGTCAATATGAAACCTTAATTTGGACTCAGAAAGCCCTGGCAGGGGGAGCCACTGACCAGGTGCAACCCCTGAGAGTGGGTGCTGCTGCTTCTGAGAACAATCCTGATCTGTAGAGCAGGGCTAAGAACACCTACCTTCCCAGGACTTTTGTGAGGATTAAAATGCCTGGCACAAACCAACACGGTGGGTCAAATGGGTAAGCCCAGAACTTTGGGAGGCTGAGGCAAGAGGATCACTTGAGGTCAGGAGTTTGAGACCCACCTGGGCAACACAGTGAGATCCTACCTCTAAAAGCAAGTAAATAAAATAAAATAAAAAACACAAAAATTAAAATGTCTGGGCCGGAGTAAAAATGAAACAAACCACATCAAAACTGAGGGGCTAAGAACAATGTGTAATTTCTGACAATTGCATGGGTTTCTGGATAGTTCAGCTGGCCTCATGTGAGCGCATATGGGCCTCTTCAGTCAACTTCAGTGGGCTGGGGGCCCCATCCACGGACTGCTCAGTCTCTCTCCTGGTTATTTAACCCTGGGTTTTGCCTTGGCTGCCACAAGGCGACCTCCAGGCATGCATCTGCCAAGCTGCCATTTGTGCCCCACTTCACAGTGTCCTAGAAACCCGAGCAAGCCCCACGGTCAAGCCCTGAGGCAACGTGGAGGCAACATAGCCTCTGACTCTTGGTGGGAAGAGGGGCGAAGGGTTCTCGGCCATACCCAAGGCCCTGCTTTTGCTCAGGATGATGCCTCATAAAAGACAGAATTTTGTCTTTTCTCCACCTACATCATCCTTGGTTCTTTTCTTTCATACCACAACCACCTTCCAAATGCCAGGAATGTTTTCATATGCTAGCATGATTCCCTTGCTGGGTGTTAGACACTGCGCTGTACCCTATTAATAGGCGTGACTACCATGCTATTGCTATTCTCATCTTTCAGACTTAAGAAAGCTATGGAACTTGCCCATGATTAAGGCTGCAAAGGAGTGGAGCAGGATTACAAGCTGAGCAGTCTGTGGCTCCCACGCCTGTCCCAGCCAACACTGCAGTCTCTGCAACCAGTTTTATATCTCACAAGGGTCAGACTGAGCTTGGTAAATGACCCTCTGCCTAAGAGCCCATCTGCCATGCAACAGCGCTGAGTGTGGGCCCTGGAACTCAGAACAACTGTGGCTGTGCAGACCTGCCAGGAGTCAGGTATGAAGCCAGTCTCCTCTCATGACTGACTGTTGGGCCCAGAACTGGACAATCCAACAGCCTGGAAGTTCTTCTCTTCAAGCAAGTTGAGTCAGCCCAGGTGCTCAGAGGGGGAGCTAATGGATGTGAGCTAACCATGAAATTGTGCCAATCTATTAGGTTGGTGCAAAAGTAATTGTGGCTTTTGCCATTACTTTTGATTGCAAAAACCGCAATTACTTTTGCACCAACCTAATAGTGTGGCATAATTTCATGGTTAGCTTATGTCCATTAGTTCCCCTTCCCCCCAGAAACCTGACCCAAAAGCCAGAACGAAGTTAAAGTGGTGAAGGCAAATGTTATCCAGGATCATTGCAACAGGGGAAAAGAGACCCCACTATAGAAATGGGCTCCATTCTGAATACAGCAGGGAGAAGGGATTTATATAGCCAAGGAGCAGGAGTCAGAAGATGGAAAAACACTAATAGAAAATGGCACCAAGTCTGGGGAGAATACTGACTGAACAGACCTGACAGGATTCCTGCTGAAGGCAGGCCAAGGTGATCAGACAGCAAAACTGCGCAGTGAAAAATTTTAATCAGGTGTCAAAGGTGGGGGATTCTTGTTAAAATGACTTATCAAGATTCTTGCTGAAACTGGATTTTACATGGAAGAGCACCGATGGGTATTTACAGTCTGCCTAAAGTTTGGGTACGCAAAGAATCTTTGTTACTAGTTCTCTTTCAGAGAATCAGAAGTCCAAGTAAGCTTAATTAACTAGTTATAACTAGCCCTTCCTTGTTCTGGACTCTCTCAGTTTCAGCCATGAAAGTCCTCCTGGGGAACCACTCAGTCCTGGGCAAACTGGAATAGTTGGTCACCTGGTTACTAGACTGATCTGCTCTCTGCCTACGAGTCTCAGAAAACATTTGGTCCCTGAACAACTAATGGAATGAGAAAAGACTTCCTTGACCGATTTTGTTCACCACTCTGACGTCTGAGTCCAGTATGGAGCTTGGCACCAAGTGAGAGATCATAAAACACCTGTTGAGGACAGGGCCCGGTGGCTCATGCCTGTAATCCCAGCACTTTGGGAGGCCGAGGTGTGTGGATCACGAGGTCAGGAGTTCAAGACCAGCCTGACCAACATGGTGAAACCCCGTCTCTACTAAAAATACAAAAATTAGCTGGGCATGGTGGCGTGCACCTCTATTCCCAGCTACTCAGGAGGCTGAGACAGGGCAATTGCTTGAACCAAGGAGGCAGAGGTTGCAGTGTGCCGAGATCGCACCACTGCACTCCAGCCTGGGCAACGGAGGGAGACTCCGTGTCAAAAAAAAAAAAATTGTTGAATAAATAAGCATGCATAAATGAATCTAGTTCAGAAGAGGTGGCCCTGATTCCTACCTCCCAAGTGGGTGGGCAAAGCTACGGAAGCCCAGAAATACCAGAAATATGGCCCAGGGTTCGCCCCTAGTGTACACTGAGGAGATATATGCCCTTCTGGTTGTTTCTAAAACAAGAAGGACCCGACAAAGTGACTGATATAAAAGACTCCTGAATGTCTAATTCAAATAACTCAAGTTTTACTTACATAAACAGTGTCTCCTAAAATCTTGTATAATCCTCTTGAAGTTATGGTTAGTAAAATTCTTACTCAACATTTTCATGAAGGAAGAAAAAAATCATGTTTTATGTGACCCAATTGCTTTAACTTAGACTTTGTGAATTATTACACATCAGGGAAGGAACTAAACAAGCAGCTATTTTAGTCTCAACTAAAGCTCTGAGTAAATCAAAAGAGATTCATAAAGGCGAAGGGCAGTGCTTTGGACTACATGTTTATGTTTCCCCAAAACTCACATGTGAAACTCTAACCCTTAAGAGGGTGGTATTAGGAGGGAGATACTTTGGGGAGTGATTAGGCCATGAGGCAGGCACAATGAAGTGGAGCAAACTTGCATTTGAATTCTGACTTGGACTCCTTCTAGCGGTGTGACATTGGGCATAGCATTTGAGACTAAGCCTTTTGTTTCCTCGCATACAAAATAGACATAGCACTGCCTGTCTTTTGGAATTGTGGTAAATATTCAACATGATACCATATCCTAGTGAGCCTAAGGATAGTTGTGGAATAATTATCCGTAAGCCCACATTCACTCTCAAAGTTTTCCTGGTTTGCATGAAATACTATACACTCACCCAATACTGAAAGTACTTAGCTTCAGGCCTCACACACAGCGATGAAGTACCACAGCTTAATATACTAACCTTTTCCTAAACTTTGCATTAATTTTTTAAATGTATACATTTTGAAATTATTCTAGCATAGTGCCAAAAAAATGATATCACAAAAAAGTTCAAGAATATGCCATGTTGTCATGCCACTTGGGCACCAGAGCCTGTAAAATAAAATGTCATTTTGGAAAAGGAAAGCACCCATAATGCCGTCTTCATTTGTGTGGTAATGATGGAATACTAACACCTACACTGGGCTTTCTATGTGCCAGGAGCTGTTCAAAGTGCTTTACACTTATTAACACTTCCTAGTTCTCACGCAACTCTCTATGGGAGGCACTTGAATCGTCATCATTTTATGGAAAGGGAAACTGAGGCATGTAGGTCATCCATGTCAGCAGCAGAGCTAATACTGGAACATCATCAGTCTGACTCCGAAGTCTGTGCTTTTGACTCTGCTGAATATGTTAACAAGGAAACTCTTACCCCATTTGTTATAACATTTCTTATCTGTCAAGGGCTGGGAAACCAGGTAAAATAAGGCACCCTTCAACAAACGAAAAGTGCTTCTATGGAGCTCAGACTTTGCAACACCGTTTTGACCCCTGGGGGTCTCTTTTTGTTGTTTCTTTCCAAGTACTCAACTGTGTTCTGAGAGAGTGAGGTTCTGGATAGGTAGTGTGATTGGCTGGAAGAAAGGATTAACTTTCCCTTTTAAAAAATCAACATATTTTACCCAAGGGAGGATTGAGAATATCCTACCTCTCCATAAGGCTGATCATTTCTCTAATAACTACCTGGGTTTTTTTTTTTTTCCAATCACACCTAGAGAAGACATGAGCTCCACTCTAAGATAATAGGAATGGCTCAGATTCTACTCATTAATATAATGATTCCATAACACAATGACAGATAAAAGAACTCTTTTTTTATTCTACTCAAGGCTGGTTTTACATAAAAATAGACCATAACTCAGAGTCTGTAATGTCTATGAAAAGGTTATACTCGTTACCATCCAAATAGGCTGAGCTAATAAAAATTATATTTGTTACAATCCAAATAGATTAACCGGCCTTAAGGGCTTAGCTATGTATTACACTTTTCAATTTTCTTATAATTAAATTAACATAAAATAGTCTTCACAAATAAATGGCTGTTTCAGAAATAGTTAAGCTCTGTTTAACAAAAATAGCCATTCTATTTACATGTGCAGCCACTCAGGTAGACCTGGGAATTGGAAGAGGCTCTTCTCTGTGGAGTGGACTCATGATCAAAAGATTAATAGACAGATCCCCTCTCACATGTCCTGCTGATGCCTCAGGCACCCCCAGAAGACGGCCCAAGGACAAATCCAGGCTCCTCTTGCATTGTCCTCTGGACTGAGGGCCTCCTGGACCAACCGCCTACTCTTCCCTGGGTGCTCCCAGCCATGCGCCACAGGGTGGAGCCTCAACTGGCTCACCTGTTAAATGGGAGACCTATGGCAGGTCTCCTCAGTCCTAGTGCTCCGATTCCTGCCAGCCTCGAAGCTCATGAATAAAGGTTCTGCTGAAATTTTCTCAGCTCATCCCCCCTTTCCTTCTCCCGAAGCCTGGTCTCTGGGTATTTGCCTTCCAGCTGGAAATCCTGTTGAAATATTGCTTCTGTTTGTAAAACTCAAGATTCAAAATGTTGATGTTTTTGTTGAGGTGCCATTTTGTAATTCTGTCCCAGAAGCACGCTGAACATTAAATAAACGACGACTTAAGTCTCTCAGCTGAAGTCTTGAACAAAAGAGTTGATGCCCTTAGTTTAATTCCTTAAATGTCATCATGCTCAAAAAACTAATTAATTTTGCCGATCAGCCTTTTGTTTTTTTCTATAGATGTCTTAAGGAATGGAAAGAAGTGGAACAAGTTATGTATCTGTTGCCATTTGAAACAATCAGAAGCTTGAGTTTCCTCAGTTCTTAAAGTCAAGAGGGAGAAAACTCACAAGGAAGAGATGGGAGCTTATGCTGCCTGTGAGCTCAGATGTCAGGCATGGGGCTGGGTGCTGTGTTGAACAACTTTAATTGCTTCATCTCATTTAATCTACTTATCATCCTGAGAATTAGGGAAACTTACTCAATTTCGAAAGGGGGAAGTAAAGGTCACAGAGCCAGTGTGAGTCAGAACAAGTTGTACAAACGCAGAAGCAAGGAGACAGATTGGTAGAGGTGAAAAGCCCAGTGCATGGAGAAGCCCGGTCAGAGTATTACTGAAACCAGAAGCAGAGTGTCCGTCCATGATCTCATCATATACAGGGGTTATGCAGATAGCCTGAGCTTCACAATATGGTCAGTTCCCATCAATCTTGAGTGTTCTTCTTTGAGCTCAGTGACTCGACTTTATCAACAGTAAAATGTAGTCTAATTGAGCTATGTGATAATATAATGTAAACCCTCACATGAGCAGCCCTTTGTTTATCATTGTGATTATTTCCTTGGAAGTAAATAGAACTTAGAAGATATCTTGATTGACAGATGGCAGCTCCATCAATCTCTGCGAGCCCTTAGCAGCTGCCCACCTTTTGGGCAATCTAGTCTTTCCTCCTTGGCATCTCCACAAAAGGATGAGCAAGAAAAATAGAGATGAGGCTCAAAGGAGCCCATTTTGCTGCATGTCACCAGCTTTTGTCGAAGCTATGATAAGGGAGGAGGTCAAAAGTAATGGTGCAATAAAATGCCTAAATTATCTGGGGATCACTCATTTATGGCGCCCCTATTCCTCATCATCATGGATGAACAAGACCTGGATGCACATTTAACAAGATTAAAATGCTTTCATTCAAAGTGTTCCTGTGAAGCAAGTAGGTGAGAAACATTGCAATTTGCATTTGGTAGCTTTTCCCCTCTCTTGGTGTAGACAGTAGTAAAGTTATTCATCTTTACCTCCCAAGTGCGTAGCACAGAGTAGATGCTCAACAAATGTTGTTTTGAAAGCACAGGTTTGGGATGTTGTGCACAGGTTCTCAATGTTGGCTGCACATTGCTGTCCCCCAGGGAGCTTTCCTTGGAGATCCCCAGGAGACCATAACATGCACCAAAGTTGGAGAACGATGAGAATTATCTGTGTTGCTGGAGGGCAGCTGTGACAGAGTGTCATGGCACAACAGCAGGGTCACAGGCCTGTTACCCTTTCCCAGTCAGATAAGAATCAGGAAACAGCACCCAACTGACAAGGCAGCTAGCTAGTGGGTGAGTTAAAAAACAAAACACCTGGGACACTGAGACAAGAAAAGGGAGTGAGATGAAAATTCTTTCAGAGGCTGAAGGCCAAGTTTTGTGCTATTTCTGATGGACCTCAACACCCTCAGCATAAAACAGGTGCCTCTTAAATGACAAGATTGGCCTCACCCTGGAGCATTGGAATGGATAAGTAGAAAGTGCATGGGCTTTAAACACCAAGCTGTACTCCAATTCCATCCCCACTCTGCAAGCCTCATGGCCTCAATGGGCTCATCTTTGAGATGGGATCTCTCAGAGTTGTGGTGAGGTGGACTGAGGGGTCAGTCTGCATGAGGAATGGACACACAGTGGGCACCTGATACATGCAATTTTACATTTACATACAAGCAAGTACATGTGTGTGCACATACACACACATGCGTGCACACACACACGTGCACGCGTGCACACACGCACACACACACGTGTCCTTCCCAAGCTTGTGCTGGCAAAAAAAACCTCAAGAGACCATTTTGGCAGAAGTCATCCTTGCCAAAACTGCTTCCTTTTTCTACACATAAACCAGTGTAAAAATGTCTCTTGCAGGGTCTCGGGGGAAATAGTTGGGAAGGAGCTGCTGCTGTGATGCCTGACAAAATCAGCCTCCTCACTGCCATCCTCACACTTCTTGGCTCCTGCTGGTCCCAGCACATACCCCCAGGGCACTGGGACAGCAAAGCCCCTGGGAGTCCACTCTGAGCAGCTCCAGCCACGCCTGGTAGGAGCCCTGCCTTCCCACCACCCACTTTCCCTCTCTGCTTTTCTTCCACTCGCTTGCCTGTGTGGTCCTTTCAGCCCATGCGGGGCTGACAGACAGGTCCCTGGCCTAAAGCATATCAGTTCATCCCACTGATCAAAAGCTAAATGACTCGTGCCTCCCTGGGCACTTTCTTTTTTGACTTTTTTTCCTTTGGAGCCTGTGTTTAACTGATTCAGTAATTCTCCATTTCACCAGAGAGCAAGTTGTCTGGGGAATTCAGCATCAGTCTCCTCATTCCCAGAGCTGAAATCGATGTGTCCACCCTGTCCTATTATAAATGCACGACGTTCCTCGTGAGAATTACTGTGTGCCATAGACCCGCTCTTCACATGAAATTAGGCCACGCTTAAAACAAACAGCGTCGCAGACAGCGTGGGAGGAAAACAGTGGCCTACATATTAAGAAACTCTCGGAGCCTTCAATTTGAGATCTAAGCAGGATGAAATCCCTCCCCACACACCTGTGACATTTATCCTACGAATACTTGGTAAAAATCGATTGTCAGAGTTAAAAAGGGCCCTTGGGATGACCTAGCCCAGGGATTATTAAGTAGGGACGGACATCAAAATCACCTGAGGAGGTTTTTCAACCTGAGCAAGAGATTCTGATTCACTAATTCGAGTTGGATTTTAACGGAATTAAAATGTTGCCAGTGGATGCTGTATTTTGCATTCACTATTTGGGTGGGTGGCGGAAGGAGGTTATTTTTATCATTGTCATTTTCTGCAAAGGGAAAAAGCACAAATTGTTCATGAATGATGGTTGCTCCTTTCACTTTTATTTTGTCATATGAATTCCCTGCACCCTCACAATCTTCGATTAAGTAAAGGAGCCAGAAAGTGGAAGAATGGTGGGCGATCATATAGGAACAAAGGAAAGCCAACGAAGTTGAAATATTTGATCTTTTTCCCCAGGTCTTTGATAGAGGCCCTGTAACATTTCCTCTCCTGCCGCTTCAATGGCTCATTCATGTCATTTCTTTGCTTCATTTGCCTTTCTCATCTTATAGATTTTTCCCCTTTACGGACTGCTTTTGGTCCCATTTCCCTCTCACCTTCCCATTCCCCTACTCAAATCCACCTGGATAAAAATGAAAATAACTACTGTATGTCAGACACTTGGTATTTCATGATGCAGGTCAAGGACCCACCCTTCAGGAAACTCAAAAAGGTGGCTTTGTCCTGAGGTCCTATCCAGGCCACTCCCTGTACAAAGTATAGTTTGGTGATTCTCAAACTTCTGCAAACCTAAAAAAAAAGTCACCTTGGATAGCTTGTAGAAATGCAGACCCCCAGGCTTCACTGGACAGAATTTGATTCAGTGAGTATAAGGTGGGTGCCCAAAGGTTCAAAGAACACAGAACACAAAGGGATTATAATGCAGGTAGCCCAAGGAATAGATATCAAAGAAGGCTGGTGTGGTCCCAGAGCCCTCAGGTTCCTGTTTGCAACCTTAGTACCAAAAGCTCAACCACCAGCTCTGAACTCTCGATGTCTGCTTTGGTCCAGTGAGGATTCCCGTCACACCCACCTCACGGGGCCAGGATACCGACTAGATGAGAACATCGTATAAAGCACCCACACAAGGCCTGGCCTGCACAGGCAGTCGCTTTATTATCATCTCAGCTGTTCTACACGCATTTTCAAAAATCAAGCAATTGCTTCTGATGAGTGTGATTTCAAGAGAAAATAAAACTCTAAGAAATTAAACTTTTGCCTTAACCTCAATGTTCTTCCATGAAGCGCCAGACCTGAAACTCGGGAACTTTAATGAGGGAAACGGTTTCCTTTGACCACTTCCTACTTCCAACATCACTTTTCTCTGTCAACTCTTCCATGTGGGCAAGATTCGTCTTTGTTAAAGACAATAATACATTTGCATTTGGCCTTTAGTTCTAATCTTCTTCATCATGTAAGGAATAAAGTCCAAGAAATGACCTCAGTTCATGTGACTAAGCTCCATTCCCCACCCCCCACCACCTGTCTTCTTCCCAGATGCATTTCCCCTTGTGCTCAATACCCAGCTCAAATGTCTTGTGCAGATATTATCTGTAGCTCTTTTCCCCACAGTTTTATATAACTTTGGGTTCCTTTGTGTTTTTCCCACATTTTCTAGTCTTTTTTTTTTTTTTTTTTTTTTTGTCAATGTACATATCCATCTCATCCCCTGGACCTAGGATACTCTCTCTATACTCTCTGGACAGGAAACACATCCTCAGGAGCCCTCAACCCCCAGCTTCTGACCCACAGCATGATGGGCATTAGACCCTCAGTGATGTGTAAACAGGACCTGAACTTCTGACTCCTTAGGATCAGAAGTGAGAAATGAAAAAAGTACTGGGGAATTACCTAACATTTGGATGAGGGCACCTGATATATAAAGCAAAAACAAAACAACTCTTCTTTCATGGTTTTAGCCACATCTCCTCCCACTTCAGTCAATGCTTCAGTTGCAATGCTTAATTACAAATGCATGCTTGACTCCCCCCATAGTTACAGTACAGACTGAGAAGAATCTAGCTCTTCAATGACTCAGGAAATGAAAGGTAGAAACAACCTCCCCAGATGTAGCTAGGCCTAATGTGTCCCTGTTTTTTTTTGTGTGTGTGTGTGTGTTTTTTTTTTGAGATGGAGTCTTACTCTGTCGCCCCGGCTGGAGTACAATGGCACAATCTCGGCTCACTGCAACCTCTGCCTCCCGGGTTCAAGTGGTTTTCCTGCCTCAGCCTCCTAAGTAGCTAGGACTACAGGCACCCACCACCACACCCAGCTAGTTTTTGGATTTTTAGTAGAGACAGGGTTTTACCGTATTGGCCAGGCTGGTCTCGAACTCCTGACCTCAGGTGATCCACCAGCCTCGGCCTCCCAAAGTACTGGCATTACAGGCGTAAGCAACCTTGCCTGGCCTATGTCCCTGCTATACACAATTTCAGGGCCCAGGATATTGCTTAGCACACCATGGGTACCCAATAGATATTTATAAAATGAATAACCATGCATATTTGTCATTTTATTAGTATCCTTCCAAGCCACAGTCATTGGTTACATGGTGTTGTTTGGGAATTTTTGCAATATGGGGGGCAATTGATTTATGCGAAATTTTATATATTGATTCCAAATATAAATAACTTGCATTTGTGGTTTATTTAACTCTTGAACATTATATTTGTTTCCTGGGGCTGCCATAAAGAATTGCCACAAGCTGAGTGGTCTAAAACAACAGAAATGTATTCTGCATGGTTCTGGAAGCTGGAAGGCTGAAATTAAAATGCAGGTGGGACCATGCTCTCTCTGAGGTCTCTAGGAAAGAATACTTCCTGGATGCTTCTAGCTTCTGGTAGTTGCCAGCAATCCCCAGTGGCTGGCTTGTAGATGCAGCACTTCAATCTATGTCTCCATCTTCACGTGGCCTTCTCTCCTGTGTGTCTGTGTCCAAATTTCCTTCTTCTTAGAACACCAGTCATATTGGAATAGGGCACACCATGGGCCCTACAGGAAGTAGGGCCCCGCCCTTATGATCCCATTTAACTTGAATTACCTCCTAAAATCCTTGTCTCCAAATACACCTCTTCTTAGCTTGATTATATCTACAAGACCCTATTTCCCAATAAGGTCATATTCACAGGTTCCCAGTGAACATGAACTTTGAGGGACACTGTAACACTATTCAACCCAGTACAGACATCTTCTTGACCTGAGAACTGTGAATGTGTAGTACACTGAAATTTTCCTCAGCCAGTTCTTTTATGGGGGAAAAGCAGTTTTATATTTCCCAAAAGCCTTGACCTTAACAGTTAATTGGAGGAAGGTGTTAGGGTGGGAGATGAATGTGATGACCATTCAAGAGTGTGTCCATCTGCACTGGGAGGAGGGTCTCATCACAGAGAGAAGACCCTTGAGTCATGGAGCTAAGACAGTCAGGGAAAGGGACAGGATAGAAAGGGTTAGGTCTCTACACCCTGGTGACCCCCTTTAAAATTTCAGAGTTGGAAGGTGTCTTCGTTAGCTTGAGTTGCCATAACAAAATACCATGGGCCACGTGGCTTAAATAATGAAAACTTATTTTCTCAACAGTTCTGAGGGCTGGAAGGACAAGATGAGGGTTCCAGAATGGTCATTTCTGGTGAGGCTCCTCTCCTTTTCCACAGATGGCCCACTTTGTGCTGTGTCCTCACATGGCCTTTGCTCTGTGAGTGCCCATCCCTGGTACCTCTCTTCTTATAGGTACACTAGTCCTATAGGATTAGGGCCCTGCCCTTCTGATCCCATTTAACCTGAATTACCTCCTAAAAGCCCTGTCTCCAAATACAGTCACAATGGGGGTTAGGACTTCAACATATGAGTTTTGGGAGGATGCAATTCAGTCATAGCAGACAGAACCTTGGAAGTCATTGCAGATGAGGACCGTTCTGCCAGGTGCAGAGATTTGATAAAGGTCTCTCTGGTTGGAAAGGGTCTCATGTTCCTGATGCTCCTCCACTCTGCTAGAGCCTCAGGTTGAGTCTTTTGACTTTCCCTTTTGCTTTACTTTTCCCAAAACACAGAAAAATAAATAAATATCTCTTAAATAAGCAAACATAGATGGCAACCCCTTCATTTTGACTTATGTCTAAAGACAATATATAGGAGTTTGAGCTATAGTCTCCTTTGAGGCAGAAACCAAACAATATGCATAACCCATGTTGGATTCCCCATGAACCCAGCACTGGTCTTACACAGAGTAGGCATGCATAAGTACAGATACTAGTAATATTAATAACAAAATTGTATTTAGTACTTATACTAAGTGCTTTACATATATTAAGTCATTTAATCCTCACTATAATTTCATAGATAGGTTCTAGTATAAGTGGCATTTTGCAGATAAAAAAATCAAGGAGGCTGGGCATGGTGGCTCACGCCTGTAATCCCAGCATTTTAGGAGGCTGAGATGGGCAGATCACGAGGTCAGGAGATGGAGACCATCCTGGCTAACACGGTGAAACCCTGTATCTGCTAAAAATACAAAAAAAAAAAAAATTAGCCAGGCGTGGTGGCGGATGCCTGTAGTCCCAGCTACTCGGGAAGCTGAGGCAGGAGAATGGTATGAACCCGGGAGGTGGAGCTTGCAGTGAGCCGAGATCACGCCACTGCACTCCAGCCTGGGCGACACAGCAAGACTCCGTCTCAAAAAAAAATAAAAAATAAAAAATAAATCAAAGCAC
The DNA here is from genome assembly GCF_000001405.40 of Homo sapiens. Lineage (NCBI taxonomy): Eukaryota > Metazoa > Chordata > Mammalia > Primates > Hominidae > Homo > Homo sapiens. The sequence continues at coordinate 104,580,095 of NC_000002.12, forward strand.
AGGGAAGTTTATTAATTTATTTGTTTCATTAATGTATACATGAGAGAATGGATCAAGACATTTAAAGACTGCTCTAAGCTCTATGCTTCAACACTGCATAGCCATATCATTTATTTTATTTACAATATTTGGATATAGATTTTTTATGTATTTAGGAGTTGTTATTGTTTGATTATTGTTGTTAAAGGTAAGAGAATACCAGGCAAATCACACTAATAATAAAGTCACTAACTATAAGTATTCAACTCTTTATATCAGTGTATTTATATCATTACCCAATATACATACTTTTACTAAAACAAGTTTCCCAAAAATAATACTTAGCCTTACTATATACAGTAATGTACTCTGCTATTTTCTCTTGTATTCTATTTTGGTCTATTTAGTTTATCTATTGAAGTTTTTAATGCAGATCATGACCAACCAAGTAGAGATTTCAAGAGCCACAATCCAGTCACAGTCAGCTGTTTGAAAAACAACACTACTATGTATATACAGCATCTATGTATTACATATATAGCATCTATATTATATATTTATATACATATTACATTTTTCTCAACAACATACACATGCATATATACACCTAATAATTAGAATTTTCTTTTTCCCTCAGCTGCTGAAATTCAGGAGTATAAAGATGTTATAATATGTGTACATTTTAAAGCTTTCAGAATGTTTAAAAAAATGTTTTGTTGTTACCCTAAAGTAAAAGGGACTAACATATTTCAGAGGTTTAGGCTTTGGGAAGTCATTTAATTTTTCCCCAGTCTTCTCTCACAGTATGTTTCCTTTTGTTGTATGTGACTTTCCTAATAGGAACATATTTTATAGTTAAACAATTCAGGTCAGGCATCAGATTGTGTCTCCATTTAAGTTCTAAATTGCATCAGACGCCAAAATGCCTCCTAAGATTCTGGTGGTGAATCGAGTTTCTGTGAATGTTCAGAACTGCAGGAAACCCTGTTTTCTTAACATGAAATCTATTACATAAGGAACTTCTGCAGAGGGTAAGATCCAAAGCTGAAAAAGTGATGCGGTTTGATACATTGTCAGAAGCAATAGTGCGACATGGAAGATTTGATCTTCCAATGCTGTGGAGAAAAGAATAAATAAAGGAATAAATTAAGATGTGTCTTGGAATGGTGTGCTCAGGAAGGAGATATATTAACAGGCAGGTATAGAACAGTAATAGCCTAGGAAGAGCTAATATATTAAAAAGGATGATAAAGAGATAGGTTTGAAGCATTCCCTATTTATATATTATTTTTAAATATGCCAAAGAAAAGGAACCAGTGCACACCTAGTTGAACTGAAATGTTGTTTCCTGAAAATACTCAGATCTTATTTAGAGGAGTATATGTTTTATGAAGACCAGAGGCATACAAGTAAGCATATCACCACAGAATTTAAAAGTTGTGAGAGCTCCTTTTTAAAGAGTCCCATTGATATCAGTTTCCTTTCCCTCAAAAAAATGTTAGTTCCATTGCTCTTCTTTCTTCCTAAAGCAAGTTACAGTCGTCTTTGGATGAGCCATGCCGAGAGAGGGTTCTACCAGCACTGGCTCATCCAACACTTTATTTGTATGCAGCACTGAGTCCACTTTATCAGAGCAGTGCTCCTAAAGCTGGCAAATTTGTGTGCTCCTTTCCCTGAGGATCTTCCTGGAAGCCTGGGGTAAGTCAGGGAGGGGCCGACAAAAGTCGCTAATACTGCAAATAGATCACCTGTTTGTGGTTCATCAAGACTTTAGTCCATTGATTCTCAAACTTGAACAGGCATCAGAAACACCTGGAGGGACTGTGAAACCTCAGACTGTTGAGCCCATCTCCAGGGTTCTGATTCAGTGGGTCTGGGGTGGGGCCAGAGACTTTGCATATTCAACAATTACCAGGTGCTGCCTGCTGTGTTCTGGAACACACTTTGAGAATCAATGCTCTGGTCCCATTCTGTGGAGTTAGGACCTTAAAGTTAATATCAAATTAAGGTGTAGAGCCTCCCTGATTTCTTTAGAGACACCAGCTACAAACTGGTGATCAAATTGACTGAAGGCCAAAGATCACAAATGAAAATGATCAGCAAATAAGTACAAAAGGCAACTATTATAATCGCAAAAATGCCGTGAGTTTCTCAAGGTTGTATCTTTCAAGAAAGGAAGGGAAAAGAAAGTTGTATGAGACGTAATGACCATACAAGTAAATGGTGCGGACCGCATTCTCCCTTTTTTAATAAATAGCTGACGTATCCTCATGTCACCAAAGAGCAAGAGAGGTGGCACATGGATCACACAAGCAACCTGTAATTTATCTGCAGCTAAAAATAAAGATTTCAGAGTACAAACGCTGTGAAACACAGGAGATGTTAAAATAGAAAGAGAGAGAGAGATAAGGAGAGAAAAAACGAGAGAAAGAAAGAAAAGTTGAGCAGGGTAATTGAGAGAAACAGTCCTCTGGCGAAGACAGCCCTGTCTCTCTGAAATAGTTTATCAACTGATTCGGGGGCAGGAGGCTGACTGCAGCAAGCCTAAACGTGATTCCATTTCCCACAATGCCACAGGGTGGTTCACACAGAACAAAGCTCCGCTTCTTTACCTAAGAGTGCCAGGTAAGCCGTCGGAAACAGCCACCGTCAGTGGGAGGAAAGCAGATTGCTTTAAGAGAAAAAGGCTTTATTAAAATTCAAAGAAAAAAATAAGCTGAGATGATTTAGAAAGCATTTATTGAACAAACACTGCTAAAGACATTTCAGCAAACTGTGTGTTTAAAAAGTAATAAATAGCTATTGTGCTTACTTCATAAACTTGTCAGACTGTCTTCATTATATTTTCCTGAACAAACTGAATTTCTGTACTGCTCATCCCCAGCCAGTTAATAAATACATCACCCTAAAAAGTGCTGTGGTATTAAATTTACAGCAGATAAAATATGGATGAAGTTGCTGTGCCTCAGGTACGTCAAGTGTGATTTAATATCTCACACTCCTCTTATGAGGAGTAAAAGATTATTCGGCTGCTTCAACTGCCGGAGAGCGAGGTGACCTTTGCCCCCAAGTAACAGCCACTCAGCAAATAGCACCAAATGAAGACGGAGAATAACATATAGATTTGCCGTAAGAAAAAATTGATCTAAATCCATATATCAAATCTGCTGATCAGAGCTCTAGAGAAATGCTTCACAATCCTTAGCAAGCACTTGCAGGAAGTTTGGGCAGAAAGAAGACCTTCCTGAAGGTATATAGGATATTTTGTTTTTTCAATTTTTTACTTTGTTACTATTATCCTTATTGGTCTTTCATATCATTGGAATAAAATCTCCTTAGAATAAAGTGCTCTTTGACTTAATGTCTTAGTGGTGAGTATTTTCTTCTCTCTGGAGAAAGTATAACCTCTTTGAGCATTTCAGAGATCCGGAGAATCTTATAAATGAAGGCGTTGTTCCCCAGCGAAATTTCTCAACAATCTGATTTAATTTATATCTTTTTTAAAAGTTCCATCTAAAATGATAAAAAAAAAAATCTCCAAGGAAAACGTTTGTTAGCACAGAAAATAAATTCTTATGATTAACATTCTACCATCCAAAAAGGCTGGTGACTGAGAGAGTTCTCTACACTTCAAAGGTAGGAGAGGAATGAGTTTTAAAACAAGGGTAAAAAAAAAGCAAATTGCTGCTGAGCTATTTTTATTTCAAATATATAAAAGTAGAGTTGGTAAGTGCCATGTATAAATCTTCAAAGTGCGGATTGCCAAGGGTCTTCCTCCAAAGACTGCTGTGAAAAAATAAACTTCGGCAATTAAAGCGGCTTTTTCCTTTCGCCATGAAGTGAGGGAAGTGGCCGGGTGTCCCAGGGGCTCCTGGTATCCTCTGTGTTCCCAGGCAGTGGTGAGCCTTTGCTAATTTCAAAAATCTCTTCAGCTCTGGGCCTTCGCAAATAAAAGCTTCTGTCACCTCCCCTAAAATGTGACTGCTCCACGGTTTGAGGTTTTGTGTTTGTTTATTTGTTTTTCACTGGGCACTTTTGTTCTCAGTTGGTAATTGGTTTTACTGAGCCAGAGGGGGCTGGGGACAAGGCTGTTTATTTCAACTTCCTTCAATGGTGAATAGTGAGGCACTGGCACTAGCAGATAGGTTCACACAAACGCTATGATTCTTAACATATATGAATTTGGAGGGAAATAGTCCAAAATCAGGTGAGAGAGGGGATTGAGTAGGGTGGTTTGGTGGTGGGGGTGGGGGGGGGGCGGCGGGGAGGGGGAGGTGTGTGTTTGTGTTTGTGTGCAAGAGCCTATTTATAATAGAAGATTTCCTACCACAAATGAACATTCTCTTGAAAGCAGATGTGCTGGACAGGCCTGCACCCCCTTCCTAGACTGGCCCAGATGTCACTGAGTTCAACGGCTGTTCATCTCTGCACCTTTCCAAATAAGCGCTTTCCCCATTCCAGCTATACAATGGATTGGTCAAGGCAGGGTGACATTTCTTGAGTGACAGATGTGTCTACTGCTGTGGCAGCACCAGCCCGCCCACTTGCTGGCAATCTCTGGTTCCAGGAGGAGCAGTACTATTTCCTTTGTTTGCCTCTGTGGGGAGAGGTGAACAGGGCTGGCTGAGGGTAGGGGTTTGAGAGAAACCGCTGGGAAGAGAGGAAAAGAGAGACCACCTCCTTATGCCAGGGATTATTTTCTTTTTAAAATACATATGTGCACATTGTGAACATAGAAGAATTTACGCCAACTGGCAAGGATCTAGAAGTTGTGCAGGGCTGGGAAAGTTTTAAAGGCGTGCAACTTCAAATCCCATGACAGAAAGCCTCCTCACGTCAGTCTTTCCCAAATTGACCAGACAGGGAAGGAAAATTGCATTGGGACCACCGAGGAAAGGAAAATGATGTCCTGATTTCTAAATATCATAATAGATTCCAAAGGCTAATTTCTCTTTTCAAGCTGCTATTTTATTTTTATTTTTTGTTTCCCTCCTGTCCCCAGCTTATATTAATAAATCATCTTGTCAACTGTTTCTCAATGTGGAATGTGTTCCTCAAAAATCTGCTGAGAAATCAGATCCCCAGGGATTTACGTGCACCTTGCGCTGTGATGATCAGCAAGAGCCCCGCCTGAGTAGGTCCTGAAGGGAGTCTCTTCAATTAAGAGTCTTCCTTTTTCTTTTCATATAAGTTGAATAGATCTACATGTGAGCAATATTGACTGAGGTTCTGCACTGTATTTGCAAAACTAGCTTTGCGGGGAATAAACTTGACTAACTGGAAATGATCCCATGGTAATTAATTAGCATTTCAAAACCACAGTGGCCATTTATTTTCTAATTTTTTAAAAAGCTAACAATATCATTAATTATTCCTTTTATGAGTCTTGATAATGGCTGTTTACTGGCAATACATTAATATTACACTATCAGGGACATAACACTCCCGCATATCATAGCACTGTTGCTTTCAACAGGCCACAACATCGATCTCTGCAGTTCTATCCTGAGAAACCCGATTACAGGTGTCACACAAAATCTTGCAACTCCTGGTGCTTCAAGTCAGAGGCATCACTTTTGATTTTTGCCTACCTCTCCTCTGCTAAGGCCCTTCCCTGGAATGTGCCCTCTTGGCATCAACCTGTAACCGATAAGTCACGATCTCAGCACTTAACGTTTCTAATCCAAAAACCTACTCCAGTCCTACTGTCAAATGAAGTTGCAACTAATCGTTTATTGTTTAAAGTTTTGCTTTGTTTTTAATTCAACTTAAAACCCAGGTCACATGCTGGTGTATTTTTCAGTAGATTTTATTTTTTAGAACAGAACTTTAGAGCCTTCCTGGTACATTTTTAATATTGTCTTTTGATTTGTTTTATTTGTCATTCAATCAATGTCACTGAATATATTTAGAAATTATAGGCCGGGCGTGGTGGCTCACGCCTGTAATCCCAGCACTTTGGGAGGCCGAGGCAGGTGGATCACGAGGTCAGGAGATTGAGACCATCCTGGCTAACACAGTGAAACCCCGTCTCTACTAAAAATACAAAAAATTAGCTGGGAGTGGTGGCGGGAGCCTGTAGTCCCAGCTACTTGGGAGGCTGAGGCAGGAGAATGGCGTGAACCTGGGATGGGGAGCTTGCAGTGAGCTGAGATCGTGCCACTGCACTCCAGCCTGGGTGACAGAGCGAGACTCTGTCTCAAAAAAAAAAAAAAAAAAAGAAAAGAAAAGAAATTATAAACCATGGCTTTTGAGCTTTATGGATGAGAATTTGCAGTCCTGAAACAATGATGAAGGAAAAATATCATTTAGAATTGTAATGATGCTATGACTAAAAAAAAATATATATGAAAAGCTAAAGAATAGAACAGACATAGAAATAAAGATCCTTAGAATTTACAAAGAAACTACATTATTCAATGTTGTCCTTAGGGAAAAAAAAGCCTTATAGGTAAAATTAGTGGATGAAAAGGAAAAAATAGTTTTTGAGTATTTACTATATGTCTACACACATCTAGTGGCCCCTCTAAAATGTTGTACCAAATAATACCCTTCAGATCCATTTAGGAGAGAACACCCACTTTCACAAATATGAAAAATGCTGATTATTCTCATTATTTTAAATTTGTGATAAATTATATCATGCTTTAAGTTGTAATTAACTGATTTCTGATGTTTGAAGTTTTTTGCATGTATTTTTCTCTAGTGACCTTCTTCATGACTTTATTTGTCTGTTAGGATATTCATTTTTTTTCTTATTGATGTAGAAAAGCTGCTTTATATTTAAGAATGAATGTTAACTTTTGTCATTTAATTACAAGAATGTTCTCCAAGTTTGTTATTTGCCTTCTATTTTTGAATTAATTTTGCTTTGTTAGTTGTTATTGTAATATAGAAACTAGGGGTGGGAGTTGCTTAATTTTTGTATATTATAGTATGGTAGAATGTATTAGACTTTCCTTTACACTTTCTGTCTCTAGTGTAATTCAATGTAGGCTCTCCCATCCACTTCAACATTATATATTCACCTTGTATTAGTCAGGGTTCTCTAGAGGGACAGAACTAATGGAATACATATATAATCCCAGCACTTTGGGAGGCCGAGATGGGTGGATCACGAGGTAATGAGATCGAGAACATCCTGGCTAACACCAGAGTGAAACCCCGTCTCTACTAAAAATAACAAAGAAATTAGCCGGGCATGGTAGTGGGCACCTGTAGTCCCAGCTACTCGGGAGGCTGAGGCAGGAGAATGGCATGAACCCAGGAGGCGGAGCTTGCAGTGAGCCAAGATTGCACCACTGCATTCCAGCCTGGGCGACAGAGCAAGACTCCATCTCAAAAAGTAATAATAATAAACATATATTTTATATATATATATGTGTGTGTGTGTATATATATGTGTGTGTGTGTGTGTGTGTGTGTGTATATATATATATATATATATATATATATATATATATATATATGGGAGTTTATTAAGTATCAACTCACACGATTATAAGGTCCCACAATAGGCTGTCTGCAGGCTGCAGGCTGAGGAGCAAGGAGAACCAGTCTGAGTTTCAAAACTGAAGAACGTGGAGTCTGATGTTCAAGGGCAGGAAGCATCCAGCACGGGAGAAAGATGTAGCCTGGGAGGCTAGGCTAGTCTCTCTTTTCACGCTTTTCTGCCTGCTTTTATTCTAGCTGCACTGGCAGTTGATTAGGTGGTGCCCACCCAGATTACGGGTGGGTCTGCCTTTCCCAGCCCACTGACTCAAATGTTAATCTCCTTTGGCAACACTCTCACAGACACATCCAGGATCAATACTTTGTATCCTTCAATCCAATCAAGTTGACACCCAGTATTAACCATCACAAGCCCACCCCTTGTCAACTTGAACCCATATACATCTCCTGAGATCATACATAATCTTCAAATAAAGACAATAATAAGGTCATAACATAACATAATACAGCTATGCTTTGTACAACCAGAAACGTACCAATCCCCAACCCAAATATTACTACATAAAGTTAACAATACTTAAATGCTGATGTGAACTCAATAAATTTTGTATCATATGATAAAGAAGAAAGTAAATAAAATAGTTTCTTAGTCCAAGTGTATATATGCACAAACGTTTTTAACAAAAGAAGGAAGAAATACTCCTGACAATTACAGTCCTCATTTCTGCACCTGGTCATGTGGTCGTAGCTGTTATTGATGACTACCTTCTTCTACCCATTCTGTATTCCCTTTGACTTCAGCAAGCACCTCAGCATGTCATGTTTTTTTCCTGGTGGAGTGACCCAAACCTTCATTCCTGAGGGGTCTGGGTCATTCATAGTCCTGCTGGATTGAGCTGTTGTAGTTCCCCATTGACCTTAATCACAGGGCATGGTAATACTAAGAGACGCCCTAATGGATCTCCTGTATTCCATGCATACTCTTCCTTACGTCTGTTGTGGAGTAGTAGACTGGTTTCATCTTGATAGTTGGGTTGATCACCCCAACCATTACTGTAACTCCCTTCTTAGCCTGTTGACTTAAAGGTAGGAGGAACCCAAAACATCCAGGTGGCAATCTTATCTTCCAGTTTAATGGAATCGTTGTTGTGTCTCCTGGTAGCAATATTCCTCCCTCTGGAACTAAGACATCTAGGCCAGCAGATCGTAATGTTGTGGGAACAGAAAGCAAAATTTTGCTAGTGGATCACTAGGGGTGATGGTGAGTGGTGCCACTTCCACGTCCACCCCTTGATTCCTGGACCTGTGAATCCTGGCTATGGGAGAAACAGTACCATATATTGGACACTGATTCAGAGCATACATGGCATTCTGGAGAACTTTGCCCCAGCCCTGCAAAGTATTGTCACCTAGTTGACATTGAAATTGTGACTTCAAAAGGATATTCCACTGTTCTATCAATCCAGCTGCTTCAGGATGATGGAGAACATGGTAAGACCACTGAATTCCATGAGCATGAGCCCACTGCTGCACTTCTTTAGCCATAAAGTGAATGCCTTGGTCAGAGACAATGCTGTGTGGAATACCATGACCATGGATAAGGCATTCCATGAGTCCACAGATGGTAGTCTTGGCAGAAGCATTGCATGCAGGATACGCAAACCCGTACCTGGAGTAAGTATCTATTCCAGTGAGGACAAGTGTCTGCCCTTTCCATGATGGAGGAGGTCCAATATAATCAACCTGCCACCAGGTAGCTGGCTGATCACCCCGAGAAATGGTGCCATACCGAGGGATCAGTGTTGGTCTGGCAAACTGAACACTCAGCAGTGGTTGTAACCAGGTCAGCCTTAATGAGCGCAAGTCCATGTTGCTGAGCCCATACGTAACTTCCATCCCTGCTACCATGGTCACTTTGTTCATGGGCCCACTGGGGGATGACAGGGGTGGCTGGGAAAAGAGGCTGAGTGGTGTCCACAGAATGGGTCATCCTATCCACTTGATTATTAAAATCCTCCCCTGCTGAAGTCACCCATTGGTGAGCACTCACATGGGATACAAATATCTTCACAGTTTTTGACCTCTCAGAGAGGCCCATCCACATACCTCTTCCCCAGATTTCTTTGTCACCAACTTTCCAGTCATGCTTCTTCCAAGTCCCTGACCACCCAGCCAAACCACTGGCTACAGCCCATGAATCAATACATAATCGCTCATCTGGCACCATTTCTCCTTTCATGCAAAGTGCACAACCAGGTGCACTGCGAGAAGTTCTGCCCACTGGAAAGATTTCCCTTCCCCACTGCCCTTCAGGGATGTCCTAGAAAGGGGCAGTAGTGTTGCAGCTGTCCACTTTCGGGTGTTGCCTGCATATCGTACAGAACCATCTCTGAACCAGGCCCTAGCCTTCTCTTCCTCTGTCAACTGATCATACAGAACTACCGTTGAGGACATCAGTGCAGGCTGGGGGAGAGAAGGCAGGGTGGCAGGAGTGGAGACCATGGGCATCTGAGCCATTTCCTCATGTAGCTTACTTGTGCCTTCAGGACCTGCTGGAGCCTGATCACATGCATACCACCTCCATTTGGTGATGGAATGCTGCTGTGCATGACCCACTTTATGGCTAGATGGATCAGAAAGCACCCAGTTCATGATAAACAGTTCAGGTCGCATGATGACTTGATGATCCATAGTCAAATGTTCAGTTTTCACTAAAGCCCAGTAACAGGCCAAGAGCTGTCTCTCAAAAGGAGAGTAGTTATCTGCAGAAGATGGCAGGGCCTTTCTCCAAAATCCTAGAGGCCCATGCTGTGACTCACCTATGGGAGCCTGCCAAAGGCTCCAAACAGCATCCCTATCTGCCACTGACACCTCAAGCACCATTGGATCTGCTGGGTCATATGGCCCACGTGGCAGAGCAGCTTGCACAGCAGTCTGGACCTGTTGCAGAGCCTTCTCCTGATCTGGACCCCACTCAAAACTGGCAGTCTTTCAGGTCACTTGATAAATGGGCTGGAGCAACACACACCCAGATGAGGAATGTGCTGCCTCCAAAATCCAAATAGGCCCACCAGGCGTTGTGCCTCTTTCTTGGTCGTAGGAGGGGCCAAATGCAGCAACTGATTCTTCGCCTTAGAAGTAATATCTCAACAGGCCCCACACCACTGGATGCCTAGAAATTTTCCTGAGGTAGAAGGTCCCTGAATTTTAGTTGGATTTATTTCCTATCCTCTGGCATGCAAATGTCTCACCAATAAGTCCAGTGTGTCTGCTACTTCTTGCTCACTGGATCCAATCAGCATAATGTCATCAATGTAATAAACCAGTGTGATATTTTGTGGAAGCGAAAAGCTATCAAGTCCTCTCCGAATAAGATTATGACACAAAGCCAGAGAGGTGATATACCCCTGAGGTAGGACAGTAAAGGTATATTGCTGGCCTTACCAGCCGATGGCAAATCCCTTCTGGTGGGCCTTATGGACAGGAATGGAGAAAAAGGCATTTGCCAAGTCAATGGCTGCATAGCAGGTACCAGGAGATGCGTTAATTTGCTGAAGCAATGAAACCACATCTGGTACAGCAGCTGCAATTGGAGTCACCACTTGGTTAACCTTACAATAATCCACTGTCATTCTCCAAGATCCATCTATCTTCTACACAGGCCAAATGGGAGATTTGAATGGGGATATGGTGGGAATCACCACCCCTGCATCTTTCAAGACCTTGATGGTGGCACTAATCGCTGTAATCCCTCCAGGGATGCAATACTGTTTTTGATTTACTATTTTTCTAGGTAGAGGCAGCTCTAATGGCTTCCTTTTGGCCTTTCTCACCATAATAGCCCTCTACCTACCAGTCAGGGAGCCGATGTGGGGGTTCTGCCAGCTGCTAAGTATGTCTATGCCAATTATGCATTCTGGCATTGAGGAAATGACCACAGGATGAGTCCAGGGACACACTGGACCCACTGTAAGTCAGATCTGAGCTTAAACTCCATTAATTACCTCACCTCCATAAGCTCCTACTTTAACTGGAGGACCACAATGATGTTTTGGGTTCCCCGGAATCAATGACAACTCAGAGTTAGTATCCAGTAGTCCAAGAAATGTCTGATCATTTCCCTTTCCCCAGTGCACAGATACCCTGGTAAAAGGCCAGAGGTCTCCTTGGGGAAGGATGGGAGAAAAATTAAATGCATGAATTGTGGGTAATGTAGTGGGGTTCTTCCTCAAGGGGACCTGGCCTCCCCTTCATTCAAGGGATTCTAGCTCAAGTCTGGAAATTGATTGAGGGGCTGTGATTCTGTGTCATTATAATTTGAATTAGTCTTTTGTCCATTCAACCTAGAAGTTTTCTGCTTGTATAAATTAAGTAGGATTGCAGTAGACTTCTTATTGATTTTAATTCTAAGAACACCGTGATTAATTAGCCAATGCCAGAGTTCTACATGAGTCAGACTATTATGATTATTCTGATTGCTGCTTTGCCTCTGCTATCCATTATGGTAGCTATGCCCATCTTGCCTTTAATGGTTGAGTGCCACCACTTGGCCCCTGCCACCTCAAGATCCAATTATTCCCATTGTATTTAAATTGTATAGTTGAGTGACTGTGGTTCCTACTGTTAGATCTAACATACAGAGAAGAGCAATTACAGGGCTCTTCAAAGATGCAGGTTCTGCCCTTGCAAATCTATTTTGCAAGGCATTGGGATGAGTAGATCTAAAGTTACTAAACCACTCCACCATCCCAATTTCCCTAAGGCTTTGGATCCCTTCCTCTACATTAAACCAAGGGAGATCAGGCATTTCCAGCTCCCTCACGGTGGGCCATAATTTAATCCATATTTCAGCTAACCAAGCAAATTAACTATTAGAGCCTTTTTTAACTCCCCACACTGCAACATTAAATGCAGAGTCCCTACTTAGTGGGCCCAAATCAATAAATTCAGCCTGATCCAACTATATGTTCCTTCCACCATTATCCCAGATCTGTAACATCTATTCCCATGACTGTTCTCCAGATTTCTGTTCATATAAATTAGAAAACTCAAGCAGTTCTTTTCAAGTGTAGCACACCTCCTCATGGATCATACTCTCAATCTCACCTCTAGGGGCCCACCAGGACTTTAGCCTAGTTATAGGTCTAGAAGCAAACACGGGTGTTGTGGGTGGCTCCTGAGGAGAATCAACATTATCTTGCCTGACAACTGTCTCAGGGAGGCCATCATTGTTGCCTCAGGCAGCACAGGGTTTATCTCCTCAGACAAAGTTGTAAAGGCTGATGGCAGCATGGTTCGGGGAGGGGACGTTGCCAGTACTGGAGTTGGGGAAGCTGCTCCTTCTGGCAAAAAGAGTTCATCAGAGTTTACAAACTCAGTGTCCCTAGCTTCATCAGGGTCCTCCCACACATCTGCATTGCAAGTTGCGGGGTCTCATTCTTTTCCAATCAATGCCCTCACTTTAACAGTAGACACCTGGCAAGGCTGTGCATGAACCTTTTGTTGCAGGTTAGCCACTCACATGATAAGAGCTTCTGTCTGTTTTTCCACAATTTCAGTTCTTTCTCTATAGGAGATAAAACTCTCACTCAGGGCAATCTTAGCAGATTTGAGGCTTAGTATCTGCTTCTGAAGCCGGAAGATAGAATTCCTGAGTTCATCATTTTCTGTCATCACTTTGTCCACTGAACTTAGGAACAACCAACCAGCTTCATTATGTTCCTTGGTTCTCCACATATGGTCAAAGGTATTATGTATAGAGTCACTAAACTCCTTGCCTCTCATGAGTGATGAATCAGGAGTGTCAAATGCATTTATTTTGCATAAGTCTCTGAACAGTTCATGCCAAGGACTCTCAGTGTTCTCCATACTGTTAGAAGTAAGAGTCCTTAGCATTTAGGGGTCTAATTATATTAAGTAGTCAACTCCAGAAACCCCAAAACCAACAAAAGAACTCCATCTTTAATATTCTGTTCCTCTAGAACCACTCCTGGTACCAAAATCTGTATTAGTCAGGGTTCTCTAGAGAGATAGAATTAATGGAATATGTATACATACACACATACATACATAAAGGAGAGTTTATTAAGTACCAACTCTCATGATCACAAGGTCCCACAGTAGGCCATCTGCAGGCTGAGAAGCAAGGAGAGCCAGTCCAATTCCAAAACTGAAGAACTTGGAGTCCAATGTTCAAGAGCAAGAAGCATCCTGCACGGGAGAAAGATGTAGGCTGGGAGGCTAGGCCAGTCTCTCTTTTCACATTTTTCTGCCTGCTTTTATTCTAGCTGCATTGGCAGATGATTAGATGGTGCCCACCCAGGTTAAGGGTCAGTCTGCCTTTCCCAGCCCACTGACTCAAATGTTAATCTCCTTTGGCAACACCCTCACAGACACATCCAGGATCAATACTTTGTATCTTTCAATCCAATCGAGTTGACACTCAGTGTTACCCATCACACACCTATATTTTCTTCTCATATTTGGTTCCAATAATCCGAATATTTTTGTACAATTGTCATGCAGTTTTCATCCCTGTGGTATATTTTGATATCTGTTAAAACAAATTTTTCCTCATTTATATTTTCAAGATTTCCTCTGCATTCTGGAGTATTTAGTCTTACAATTGGATGACTTAGAATAATGTTAGATTCCAAATTCTGATTGACAGTTTTACTAAAATTTTATGAAATTTGTTTTTTTACTTGAAAAAAGTTAATGTTTTTGCCATTACTGAGTCTTCCCATCCAGGACACTGCAATCTTTTTATTCATGCTGGTCTTTTTATTATATTATTCATTAGAGTTTTCATATCTTATTTTCAGTCTGGTACTTTACTTTCCAAACATACTCCTGACTATAGGGTTTTATACCATTTTTTAAGAATTATTGTAATGATATTAACAGGGCATAGTGGTGTACACCTATAGTCCCAGCTACTTGGGAGGCAGAGGAGGGAGGATTGCTTGAGCCCAAAATTTCGAAACTGCAGTGAGCTGTGATCACACCACTGCCTTCCAGCCTGGGTAACAAAGCAAGACCTCATCTCTAAAGAAATTAATTTTTTTAAAGAATTACTGTAATTATGGGAGAAAGTTATCACTTTTTGTATTTATTTTCTTACCAGCTGAAGTTTCTTACTATTATTCCACATAGTTATTCAGTTGCCTCCTTTTTATTTCACAGGTCCATAGTCACATCATCTACAAATAATAATTTTATCTCTCTTTTCTTAATATTTACATACCATATTTTGCATTTTTATCTAATTGTATTGGCTGGCTTTTTCTGAAAAAATAAATTTACAATGAATTAAATAAATTAAAAAATTAAATAACAAGGTGTGTGTGCTTGCTTTCTCCTGCATTTAAAGAAATACTTTCACTACTTCACTATAAAATAGGATGCTATTATTTGGTTTGAGATATTCTATATCCCTTTTGCTATAAGTTATAATCAAGAATGGAGGTTAAATTTTACATAATGATTCATTAACTTCAATGAGATACTGTTTCTTTTTTTCTATAGATAAAATAAATGATACTAATAGATTTGAAGACATCTTTACATTTCTGAGATAAACTTTAATTTTGCAGGGTGGATTAAAATGATTAAATACTACTGAATTCATTGTAGTAATGCTTTACTTAGGAATTTTGTGTTTATGTTCAAAAGTGATATCAATCAATGGTTTCCTCTTCTCTGTTCAATTCTTGGCAAGATTTGTTATCAGAATTTCTCTACCTCGATAAAAATATTGCAAAACGTGCTTTATTTTTATCCTATACATCGGTTTATATAATTTGGAAAATAATTGTTCCTTGAAGTTGTAAACGATCCCGCTGGGCCTAGAACCAGCTTTTTCCAAATGAATACTATTGACATCATGACTGGATTTCCCATGTTTCCCAGACCTCTCTATATAATTTTTCTTCTGGGAATTTTATCCTGACTTACTATGATTCCATTATTGTATCTTTCTTCTTTTAGGCTTTATAATATTTGCATTCCACCAATCAAATCAGCAATTGTTGCTAACAGATTTGTTTAAATGTTAATGTGGTATGTATATTTGTCCCCTTCAAATCTCATGTTGAAATGTAATCCCCAATGTTGAGAGTGGGGCCTAGTGGGAGGTATTTGGGCCATGGGGGCAGCTTCCTCAAGAGTGACTTGATGACTTCCTCACAGTTATGAGGTCATGGGAGAGCTGGTTGTTTAAGATAAAACAGCCTGGCGCCTCCCCCTTCCCTCTCTTGCTCCCTCTCCCACCATGTGATGTGCCAGCCCCACTTCACCTTCTGCCATGATTGTAAGCTTCCCGAGGTCTCACCAGAAGCCAGCAGGTTCTGGCACCATGCTTGTACAACCCGCAAAACCATGAGTCAAATAAACCTCTTTTCTTTATAAATTCCTCAGTCTCAGGTATTCCTTTATACTAATACAAATGAACTAACACAAATGGTACTATGCTCACTACTGATTCTTTTACATTTAGGTTTCCAAGCTCATGAGTTTCAAAATGCATCGTTCACTTAGTACCTCAATTGACTTTATTATATCTGTAAATATTTTTTTCAGAAATGAAACATTATTGCTTAACTTCCTTCTAGGCTCCTTCTACCTCTGATATCTTTCTGTGGTTTTCAGACATAAACATCATCTGCTTGGTATAGAATTTAACGGACATATCACTTTTTTCCCAAACTCTATAGATAATGCCTTATTGTTTTCTGGCATGTAATTTGTGTAAAACACAATGGCTAGCTTGAGTTTGTAAATGTTTTTTCAAACCTGTATTTTAATCATATTTTATGTTTTTGCCTGCCTGAGAGATTTGTATACACTTAAAATTCAACTGTTTGAGCAAGATATTTCCAAGTATTGGTGTTTACTCCCTACCCAGAGAGTCTTTTTAATCAGGGTGACTAAAGAACAAAGAAGAGAAATCACAGCCTTTAGGAAACTCCAATGCCTTTTCTGTCATTACAGTTCTGTTCTTATCATTAGATTCTTTTTAGGGATCTGTGTATTGTCTCATCTGGGGGAAAATATATACTTTGGAAAAAAAATGTTTTACCTTCATTTTCCAATTATAATTTTGAATAGCGTTTCTCTTCCAATTCTCCTATTTATTCTGCCACATTTCTTGTTCTGCCTTTTTATACATAAGTTGGTTCTTTATTGCCTTGCCTCCATGTGCATTATTTTATTTTATTATTTATTTTGTTTTGAGATGGAGTCTTCCTCTGTCACCCAGGCTGGAGTGCAGTGGCATGATCTTAGCTCACCGTAACCTCCACCTCTCAGGTTCAAGCAATTCTCCTGCCTCAGCCTCCCGAGTAGCTGGGATTACAGGTGCATGCCACCATGGCTGGCTAATTTTTGTATTTTTAGTAGAGATGGGGTTTCGCCATGTTGGCCAGCCTGGTCTCAAAGTCCTGACCTCAGGTGATCCACCCACCTCGGCCTCCTGAAGTGCTGGGATTACAGGCATGAGCCACCGCACCAGGCCATCCATGTGCATTATACTTATTATTTTCACCTGGTTGTTCTTTACCTCTGAATTTTCAGAAACTTTCTCAAATTCATCTTCCAGAAGACTGATCAATTTTCTGCAATGTCAATGTTCTTTTTAACTCTTCTACATTCTGCTAGGGTAGAAAATTTTTCTTATTTTTTCTTAAATATTTTCTTTATCTCAACGGTATTGATTTTTATTTCAATTTTTAAAATTACCTCATCTTTCATTTCCTACTTCATAGAACTATCAATTTAAATTTGCTGTTGCTATCCAAATTATACCTGTTTCTTGGAATAACTTTTTTCCCTCAAAAATCTTCTCTTTAGCTATCTCTTGCATATTCTATGATCTTTTTCTTTAAGGTTGCAGAACTTTTAAAAAAATCTAATTACTCATCTGCAATATCTTTTTTCTCATACCACTTCTGACACCAAATGTGTGGTTTTTTTCAGACACCAAATACTTGTCATTTTCTACACCAGTTCTCCAATTCTCTGACACCAACTTGATGTTCAACAATTTAATTCAATTCAATTCTGACAGTAACCATTAGAGTTAGCGCAAACCTCACAGGTAAAGGACTCAGTCCCGCAAGATTGCCCTAACTTCAGATGATAGCCGGATGTCCCAGGAGCTACCCATCCTTCTGACTGACTGCCTGTAGATTTCTCAGGTCTGGTAATCCACTAGAACAACTAACAGAACTCAGGAAAGCACTTTATTATTATTAGTGCATCATTCTAAAGGCTACAAGTCAGGAAGAAACTAATGGAAGAGATGCATGGGTCATTGGGGGAGCGGAGAAACAGAGTTTCCACACCCTTGCTGGGTGCACCACCCTCTCAGCACCTCTATGTGTTCATCAACCTAAAAGATCTCCAAACCCCATTATTATTGGGGTTTTTATGGAGGTTTCATTTTGTAGGCATGATTGAAACTATCATTGGCCACTAGTGATTAAACTCAATCTCCAGCCCCACTCCCCTCTTCAAAGGTAGGAGACTGAAGTTGAAAGCTCCAATCCTCTCATCATGGCTTGGTCTTTCTGGTGACCAACCCCCATTCTGAAATTATAGAGGTCCCCAGCCATGAGTCATCTCATTAGCATACAAAAGACACTCAGCACTCAGGGGATTCCAAGGGTTTCAGAAGCTCTGTGCCAGGAACCACGGGCAAAGATCAAATATATACGACATATATAAACCATAGATAGCTATATTTCTTATTAATAAATACACATATAAAAGGTATGTAATATACAAATATATGTAAATATATAATATGGATAAATAGTATATAAATAATAAATACATGTATTTATTTATTTTACACTACATTATCTTTAAAAAAGAAATATTTATTCTTATCCTCCTAGTTTCTAAAAATCTGTATGATTAGATTATCCTGGGGTCTCCCTTCTTGTTCAGCAACAGTCTCCAACCTTTTTGGCACCAGGGACCAGTTTCATGGAAGACAATTTTTCCACAGACTGGGTAGGGAGGATGGTTTCAGGACGATTCAAACACATTACATTTATTGCGCATTTTATTTCCGTTATTATTACATTGTAATATATAGGGAAATAATTATACAACTCACCATAATGTAGAATCAGTGGGAGCCCTGAGCTTGTTTTCCTGCAACTAGGCAGTCCTATCTGGGGGTAATGGGAGACAGTGACAGATCATCAGGCATTAGATTCTCATAAAGAGCATGCAACCTAGGACCTTCACATGCGCAGTTCACAGTAGGTTTTGCGCTCCTATGAGAATGCTGATCTGACAGGAGGCAGAGCTCAGGCAGTGGTGCGAGTGATGGGAGCAGCTGTAAATACAGATAAAGCTTCGCTTAGTCAGCTGCCCACTGCTCCCCTCCTGCTCCACGTCCCGGTTCCTAACAGACCACAGACCAGTACTGGTCCATGGCCTAGGGGTTAGGGATTCCTGTTGTGCAGGACTACTCTCTTAAAATTTATATTTAAGGGCTAAAAGGGAGAATTTCTGTTTTCAATTAGCACATTCCCCAGCTGGCAGCTGGAGAAAAGTAGCTGTGAAAGCTGGCCACCAGAAAGAGCCTGCCAGCATCAGAGTTAACTGGTCCCCATGAGCTGCCATCACTAACAGGTTGCAATCTTCAGTTTGGAAACACCAACTTAGAAAGTAGAAGTCAGAGAATCTGGTAACTGCTTGAATATGAAAAATATAAAGAAAGAAAAAATTAAAATTAGGATTTCTAGCTTGGCATCTGGATGATGAAGGATGTCTTTAACCAAAATAGGAACAGATAAATAACTGGGAGTACACACATTTTGATTTGTTGGTGTAGCAAAGTCTTATTTTGTGCACACTGCATTTGGAGTTACAGTGAGAGTTGAAAATGTTGGGTTTAGAGACCAGGAGAGAGGGAGAGGCTGGAGAAAGAGAACTTTTCATGCTTAATGCATTAGAAATGGAAGCTGTGGGATCAGTTGAGGTCAACCCACGAGAACACTTAAGGTGAGATGAGAGGAGCACCAAAGACAGGATCAAGATAACGCAAAGCTGTTAAGAAGACTGGAAAAGATGTGCAGAAAGTTAAAAGGAAAAGTAGAAATAGGCATGAATACTATTAATAACACTGGCTGATATTTAAAGAAATGGAGCAATTATGTGCCAGGCACTATGTGACACGTTTTAAATTTATTATCTCATTTAAACCTCTCAACTTAAGAAGCAGGTATTATTATGTCCATTTTGAAAATGAAGAAATAGAGGTTCAGAAAAGCTATGAGTCATTTCCACAGTTACACAACAACCTAGCAAAGAAGCCAGGATTCAAATGCTTTTAGCCTTAACTTGGAACTGTGACATCGCTGTGCTTGAAACGGAAAGACTTTATATGGTTTCTGTACAGCAGAGGCCCATCCCAGTGTGTGAACTGCTCAGAGTGCAGCATAAGCCCTATTGGAATGGACTAGTGTGGAGAAGGATGAAAAGCAGAGCCTGAGGCAAGTATCCCAGAGCAAGCAGTTTATTTGAGAGGTGTGAGAAACATGGGAAATGAGACAGAGAAGGGAAGGCAGCCAATACATTGTGCAATAACAGGCAAGCTATCACTGTGAACAAATAAAACTTAACCCAGCATGAAAACTCTGGAAAATGAAATGCTTCAGAGTTACTCCAATAGGGTGAGGGAGCTGGGGTATTTATACAGCCCTTCCAGTCAGTTATTGTTTGAGGGCTGTTTCCATGGATTTTAATTCACTGGACTCCTAAGTAGAGAAGCTGACCATAACATGGGGAAAGCACCCTGGTGGAATGCTGATGTTGGTAATTATAATAGAAGTCATCAGTGACACACCATGGCCATAATGCATGCCAGAGGGATGAGAGTGGGCACCTGGAAATGTCTGCTAGTGAAAGTACAGATCTGCTGACTGTTGTAACCAAGATAAGAAAAGAGGGCCAGGTACAATGGCTCACACTTGTAATCCCTATCCTTTGAGAGGCCGAGGCAGGAGGATCACTTGAGGGCAGAAGTTTGAGACCAGCCTGGGCAATGTAGCAAGACTCTATCTCTACAAAAATAAATAAAAGCAGAGAATTAGCAGGGGTGGTGGTGTGTGCTTGTAGTACTGGCTACCCAGGAGGCTGAGGTGGGAGGATCACTTGAGTCCAGGAGTTCAAGAATACAGTGAACTGTGATCCAACCTAAATGACAGAGCAAGACTCATTCTCTAAAAAGAAAATTAAAAAACAAACAAACAACAACAACAACAACAAAAACAGAAAGAAAGAAAGGAAGAAAAGACACCTTGCAGTCTTTTGACACTAAATCTCACTTGACAAAAGCAACCAAAGTCTCAAAATTAAGTATACCTGATAAAAGATTTTTAAATGATATGGGGCTTCTGCTTGGAAAGATGGAATAAACGCATTTTCTCTAATTTTTCTGCTAAGTACATCTAAAAGCCCTTGATGTAAAACCAACCTCAGAAGAGTCTGAAAAGTGCAGAAAGAATGCAGAATGGCAAGTGAACTTGGGACCGGAGGAAAGACATGATGATGAGTCCTCTGGATTTTCTTTGTGCCTCATATACCCCAGAGTTGGAGCTGAAGAAACAGGGAAAATGGAAAAGTCAATAGATACAAACAAAATCCCCCAAAAATTCCTGCTCTTTCTAGCCAAAATGACCAGAAAAGGTGAACACTATCAAGACTAAATTTTAGACAATAACCACTCTATTCCAGCCAAACACCACAAAAGAAACTACATCCCCAGGACTATCCACACCAGCAAATGTTGAATGGGGAGCCTAGACTTTCACCCTGAACAGGCTGTAATGAATGCCCTAAATCTTCTGCCAGGGTGATATCAGAGAAGGCCATTAAGGAACTGGGCCTTTAAACTCTGCCAGCAAGTAACAGGGCACCTCTTCCTTCAGAGTCAGTGGTGACTACTTAGGGAGCCTGAACTTCTACACCTACCTGATAGTAATGAGGCACTTTTCACTTGTCTCACTGGGGTGATATTAGAGGAGGCCTGATGGAGAGTCAGGACTTGTATTACTACCCAGCGTCACTCCCCACAGAAGTATCAGTGGAGAGACCACATGGGGAGCCAGAAATTTCAACCATAACCAGAAGTGACAAGGACGTCACCCTTGGGGATCAATAGAGGTCACATGGAGAACCTGGATTTCTGCTTCCATCTGTAAGTAACAAGGCTGCATATTCCTTTCTCCCCACTTTTTCTTGCCAGAGTAATGCTCAACAACATCAAGTAAAACAGAAAATTTAAATAAGATCCAGAATCTCATAACCTGACATGAACTAAGAACCAGGATCTCAAATGAATGAAAAAAAGACCATCAATAGGCACCAAAACCAAGAATGGTAAAGATGTTAGAGTTATCTGACAATGATTTTAAAGCAGCTATATAACAGTGCTTTGAAGAGCAAATATGAGCATAATTGAAGCAAATTATTAAAAATAGAAACTCTCAGTAAGAAAGTAGAAGACAAGAAGAACCAAATTGGATTTTTTTTTCTTTTGTTTTTGGAGATAAGATATCTCACTCTGTTGCCCAGGCTGGAGTGCAGTGGTTCAATCAAAGCTCATTGTAGCCTTGAATTCCTGGGTTCAAGTGATCCTCACACCTCAGCCATTCAAGTAGCTAGGACTACAAGCATGTGGCGCCACATCTGGCTAGTTTTTTTCTGTTTTTTGTTTGTTTGCTTATTTATTTGTTTTTTGCAAAGATGGGGTCTCACTATGTTACCCAGACTGGTCTCAAACTTCTGATCTCAAGCAATCCTCCCACCTTGACCTCCCTAAGAACTGGAACTGCAGGTGTGAGCCACTGAACCCAGTCCAAATGGAAATTATAAAACTGAAAAATGCAACAGCTGAAATAAAAGCCCAGTGAATGAGCTCAACAGCAGAATAGAAGGGACAGAGGAAAGAACCAGTGAATTAGAAAATAGAACAATAAAAAATGTCTGATCTGGAAGATAGAGAGAAAATAGACTGAAAAAAATAACAGAAATTTAAGAACCTGTGGGAGTATAACAACGGTTCTAACATTTGTGTCATTAGAGTTCTAGAAGAGTATAGGGCTGAAAAGCTCATGAAGAAATAATGGCAGAAAATCCAAAATTTGCCAAGAGCTGTTTACCTACAGATTCAAGAAGCTGAGCGAAACCCAAACAGAAGAAACCCAAAGAAATCTACACTAGGGTAAATCATAATTAAATTTCTGAAAACTAAAGACATAGAAAAAGTACTGAAATCAGTCAGAGAAAAATGACACCTTAACAGTAGGAGACAAAGAGAATGAAAGCACATTTCTCAATAGAAACCACAGAGGCTGAAAGAAATGACGTGATATTTTTCGGGTACTAAAAGAAAAGAACTGTTAACCCAGAATTCTCTGTTCAGCAAAAATATCCTTCAGAAATGAAGAAGAAACCAAAATATCTTGGATGAAGGAAAACTAAGATAATTTGTCATCAGCCAAACTCACATAAAAGGAGAGCCAAAGGAAAATTCCTACACAGAAAAGGAAAGATAAAAGAAGGAAATTTGGAATATTGAGAAGGAACAAAATTATAGTAAGGCAAAACATGAGTAAACACAACAGGCTTTCCTTCTTCTTGTGAGTTTTCTAAATAATTTTTAAAAGTAGAAATAAAAATTATGATACTATCTGATTTTGTTCCATATCTGTCTGAGGGAAATATTTAAGTATATTATATAATAAATAGGGAGAGAAAATAAACAAAAGTGAGTTAAGATTTCTATAGTTTATATAAACTGATAAAATGATGACAAGAGTAATGTGAGATAAGTTATATATATAATGTAAGACCTAGAACAACCACTAACACAGGTATATGAAGAGATAGGGGCATACCTGGTTTTACTGTGCTTCATTTTATTGAGCTTTGCAGATATTGCATTTTCTACAAATTAAAGGTTTGTGACAATTAAAGGTTTGTCAAGCAAATCTATTGGTTCTATCTTTTCCAACAACATGTACTCATTCATGTCTCTGTGTTACATTTTGGTAATTCTCATAATATTTCAAACTTTATTATATTATTATATCTGTGTGGAGTTCTGCTGTCAGTAATCTTTGATGTTATTCTTGTAATTGTTTTATATTACCACAAATGCATCCATATGAAATGGCAAACTTAATCCACAAATGTTGCGTGTTCTGACTGCTCCCCTGGTTGACCATTACCCTGTCTCTCCTCTCTCTCTCTCTCTCTCTCTCTCATTTCACTGTTCCTTGAGAAACAATAACTTTAACATTAGGCCAATACATAACTCTACAATGACCTTTATGGGTTCAAGTAAAAGAAAGGGTTACACATTCCTCACTTTAAATCAAAAGCTAAACATGATTATGTTTAGTGAGAAAGGCATGTCAAAAGCTGAGATAAGTCAAAAGCTAGGCCTCTTGCACCAAAGAGTTTCTTAGGTTGTGAATGCAAAGGAAAACTTCTTGAAGGAAATTAAATGTACTACTCTAGTGAACACATGGATTATAAGAAAGTGAAACAGAAATATCTCTATTGCTGGTATAGGAAAAATTTTATTGGTCTTGACAGAAGATCAAATAAGTTACCACATTCCATTAAGCCAAGCCTAATCGAGAGCAAGATCCTAACTTTTTTCAATTCTATGAAGGCTGAGAGAGGTGAGGAAGCTGCAAAAGAAAAATTTGAAGCTTGCAGAAGTTGCTTCATGAGGTTTAAGGCAAGAAGCTGTCTCTATAACATAAAAGTGCAAGGTGAAACAGCAAGTGGTGATGTAGAAGCTGCAGCAACTTATCCAGAAGATTTAGCTAAGATCATTGATGAAGGTGGCTACATATTTTTAATGCAGACAAAGCAGTCTTATTTTGGAAAAAGAGGCCATCTAAAACTGCCATAGCTAGAGAAGATAAGTCAGTGCCTAGCTTCAAAGCTTCAAAAAAATAGGCTTGACTCTCTTGTTAGAGGATAATGTAGCTGATGTTGCTCTAAGATGAGCCAAGGCTCATTTACCATTCCAAAAATCCTAAGGCCCTTAATAATTATGCTAAATCTACTCTGCCTGTACTCTATAAATGGAACTACAATGCTTGGATGATAGCACATTTATTTATAGCATGGTTCACTGAATATTTGAAGACCACTCTTGAGACCTACTGCTCAGGGTAACAGATTCCTTGCAAAATATCACTGTGCACTGACAATGCACCTGGTCACCTAAGAACTCTGATGGAGATGTACAAAAAGATTAATGTTGTTATTATGTCTGTTAATAGAATGTCATGCACTCTATAGACTGTATGTCAAACAGCAATCTTGACTTTCAAGTGTTATTATTTAAGAAATACATTTCATAAGCTATGGCTGCCATAGATAGTGATTCCTCTGGTGGATCTGGGTGGATGTAGTGGAAATAGCAATAGAACTAGAATTACACTGGGCACAGTGGCTCACTCCTGTAATCCCAGCAGTTTGAGAGGCCGAGGTGGGCAGATCATTTGAGGTCAGGAGTTTGAGACCATCCTGACCAACATGGTGAAACCTCGTCTCTACTAAAATTGAAAAATTAGCTTGGCATGGTGGCAGGGGCCTGTAATCCCAGCTACATGGGAGGCTGAGGCAGGAGAATCACTTGAACCCAGGAGGTGGAGGTTGCAGTGAGCAGAAATCTCACCAATGCACTCCAGCTTGGGCAACAGAGTGCGACTCCCTCTCAAAAAAACAAAACAAAACAAAACAAAACAAAAAAACTGGAATTAGAAATGGAGCCTGAAGATGACTGAATTGCTGCAATCTCATGACAAAACTTGGACAGATAAGAAGTTCTTCATATGCATGAGCAAAGAAACTGGTTTTTTTAAAAGATGAAATCTACTCCTGGTGAAGACGCCATGAACATTGTTGAAATTCCAACAAAGGATTTAGGCTATTGCATCAATTTATTTGATCAAGCAGCAGGAAGTTTTGGAGAATTGGCTCCAATTTTGAAAGAAGTTTTGTCATGGATAAAATGCTATCAAACAGCATCACAAGCTACAGATAAATCTTTCTTGAACAATAACGAACAATGTGGCAAACTTCAAACTTCGTTGTTGCCTTATTTTAAGAAACTACTGGCCAGGCGCGTGGATCACACCTGTAATCCCAGCATTTTGGGATGCCGAGGCGGGTGGATCACCTGAGGTCAGGAGCTTGAGACCAGCCTGACCAACATGGTGAAACCCCATCTCTACTAAAAATACAAAAAAATTAGCCAGATGCAGTGGTGGGCACTTGTAAACCCAGCTACTTAGGAGCCTGAGGCATGAGGCTGAGACAGGAGAATTGCTTGAACCTGAAAGGCGGAAGTTGCAGTGAACCAAGATCACACCAGCCTGGGTGACAGAATGAGACTTCACCTCAAAAAAAAAAAAAAAAAAGAAATGAAAAAGGAATTACTACAGCCATTTCAAACTTCAGCATCCACCAACTGATCAGTCAGCAGCCATCAACATGAATGCAAAACCCTCCACCAACAAAAAGATTATGACCAATGAAGATTCAAATAATTATCAGCATTTTTAACAATTAAAGTATTTTTAAATGGTTATGTACCTTTTTTTAGACATACTGCTGTTGCACACTTAATAGACTAAGGTATGCTTAGACACAACTTTTCTGTGCTCTGGGAAACCAAACATTTCTTCTGACTCATTTCATTGCAATACTCACTTTTTTTTGTGGTTTGGAATTGAATCTCTAGTATCTCTGAGGTATGCTGTACACTCAAAAACACTATAAATAAATCAAAATGGAAATCTGAAAGTATTCAAGTAATTCACAGGAAAGCAGGAAAAGGTAAATAGAAAAATGAAAAATAGAACAAAAGAAAACGAAAAATGAAATTGCAGACTTAAGTCCTAACATATCAGAAATTACTGTATGTGGGCCAGGTGCAGCACTTTGGGAGACCGTGGCAGGCAGATCACTTAAGGTCAGGAGTTGGAGACCAGCCTGGCCACAGGACAAAAACTCATCTCCAACTATGTGCTATCTACAATAAACTTATTTCAAACATAACAAAATAGGCAGACTGGAAGTTAAAACATGTGAAAAGAGTCATGCAAACACTATTGAAGGAAAGCAGAAATGAATATATGAATATCAGATACTGTGAACTTCAGAGCAAGGAAAATTACAAGGACCAGAAAATAATACTAAATAATGATAAAAGGTCAGTCCAAAAAGAAGACATAGCAATCCTAAATGTGTATGCCCCAAACAAAAGAGCTGCAAAATATGTAAAGCAAAACCTGGTAAAACTATAGGGAAAAACATACAAATCCATTGTAACAGATGGAGACTTTTTGACACTTCATTCTCAGTAATTGATGTAAAAGTATACAGAAAATCACAAGAACATAGAACTCAAACAAGAACAAAAACAAAAACACATACACACATCAACCACCAGGGTGTAATTATCATTTATAGAACACTACAGTGAATAAGAGCAGGCAGGCAGTATATTCTTTTCAAGTGCCTGTGGAATGGAAAATATAACAAGATACAACATTTCTTTGGTGACAAAACAAACCTCAATAAATGTAAAAGGATTGAAATCATGCAGAGTGTATTCTTTGACAATAATGATCTCAAACTAAAATCAGTAACAGAAAGATAGCAGGAAAAATCTCCAGACATGTGGAAAGTAAACACTATATTTCTAAATAATCCATGGGTCAAAGTGAAAGTCTCAAGGAAAATTTTTAAAATACAAGAAACTGCTTCCGTTCCAAGATGGCTGAATAAGAACAGCTCCAATCTGCAGCTTCCAGTGTGACCAATGCAGAAGATGGGTGATTTCTGTATTTCCAACTGAGGTACCTGGTTCATCTCATTAGGACTGGTTGGACAGTGGGTGCAGCCCATGGAGGGTGAGCTGAAGCAGGGTCAGGCATTGCCTTACCCAGGAAGTGCAAGGGGTGGGGAGATTTCCCTTTCCTAGCCAAGGGAAGCTGTGACAGACTGTACCTGGAAAATTGGGACACTCCCACCCAAATACTGTGCTTTTCCAATAATAGTCTTAGCAAACGGCACACCAGGAGATTATATCCCGTGCATGGCTTGGCAGGTCCCACATCCAGAGCCTTGCTCACTGCTAGCGCAGCAGTCTGAGATCGAACTGCAAGGCGGCAGCCTGGCTGGGGGAGGGGTGTCCACCATTGCTGAGACTTGAGTAGGTAAACAAAGTGGCCAGGGAAGCTCGAACTGGGTGGAGACCACTGCAGCTCAGCAAGGCCTGTTGCCTCTGTACATTCCACCTCTGGGGGTAGGGCATAGCTGAACAAACGGCAGCAGAAACTTCTGCAGACTTAAACGTCCCTGTCTGACAGCTCTGAAGAGAGCAGCGGTTCTCCCAGCACAGTGTTTGAACTCTGAGAACGAACAGACTGCCTCCTCAAGTGGGTCCCTGACTCCGTGTAGCCTAACTGGGAGACACCTCCCAGTAGGGGCCGACTGACACCTCATACAGGCAGATGCCCCTCTGGGACTAACTTCCAGAGGAAGGATCAGGCAGCAATATTTGCTGTTCTGCAGCCTC
Organism: Homo sapiens; assembly: GCF_000001405.40. Taxonomy (NCBI): domain Eukaryota; kingdom Metazoa; phylum Chordata; class Mammalia; order Primates; family Hominidae; genus Homo; species Homo sapiens. The sequence continues at coordinate 104,608,155 of NC_000002.12, forward strand.
CACTGGTGATACCCAAGCAAACAGGGTCTGGACTGGACCTTCAGCAAACTCCAACAGATCTGCAGCTGAGGGACCTGACTGTTAGGAGGAAAACTAACAAACAGAAAGGAATAGCATCAACATCAAAGAAAGGACATCCACACCAATACCCCATCTGTAGGTCACCAACATCAAAGACCAAAGGTAGATAAAACCACAAAGATGGGGAGAAACCAGAGAAGAAAAGCTGAAAATTCTAAAAACCAGGGTGCTTCTTCTCCTCCAAAGGATCCCAGCTCCTCGTCAGCAGAGGAACAAAGCTGGATGGAGAATGACTTTGATGAGCTGACAGAAGTAGGCTTCAGAAGGTTGGTAATAACAAACTTCTCCCAGCTAAAGGAGGATGTTCAAACCCATCTCAAGGAAGATAAAAACCTTGAAAAAAGATTAGATGAATGGCTAACTAGAATGAACAGTGTAGAGAAGACCTAAATGACCTGATGGAGCTGAAAACCATGGCACGAGAACTACGTGATGCATGTGCAAGCTTCAATAGCCGATTCGATCAAGTCGAAGAAAGGGTATCAGTGATTGAAGATCAAATTAAGGAAATAAAGTGAGAAGAGTTTAGAGGAAAAAGAAAAAAAAGAAATGAACAAAACCTCCAAGAAATATGGGACTATGTGAAAAGACCAAATCTAGTTTGATTGGTGAACCTGAAAGTGACAGGGAAAATAGAACCAAGTTGGAAAACACTCTTCAGGGTATTATCCAAGAGAACTTCCCCAACCTAGCAAGACAGCCCAACATTCAAATTCAGGAAATACAGAGAACACCACAAAGATACTCCTCAAGAAGAGCAACCCCAAGACACATAATCATCAGATTCACCAAGGATGAAATGAAGGAGAAAATGTTAAGAGCAGCCAGAGAGAAAGGTCGGGTTACCCACAAAGGGAAGCCCATCAGACTAACAGTGGATCTCAAGGCGGAAACCCTATGCCAGAAGAGAGTGGAGGCTAATATTCAACATTCTTAAAGAAAAGAATTTTCAACCCAGAATTTCATATCCAGCCAAACTAAGCTTCATAAGTGAAGGTGAAATAAAATCCTTTACAGACAAGCAAATGCTGAGAGATTTTTGTCACCACCAGGCCTACCTTACAAGAGCTCCTAAACATGGAAAGGAACAACCAGTACCAGCCACTGCAAAAACATGCCAAATTGTAAAGACCATCGAGGCTAGGAAGAAACTGCATCAACTAATGGGCAAAATAACCAGCTAACATCATAATGATAGGATCAAATTCACACATAACAATATTAACCTTAAATGTAAATGGGCTAAATGCCCAAATAAAAGACACAGACTGGCAAATTAGATAAACAGTCAAGACCCATCAGTGTGCTGTATTCAGGAGACCCATCTGACATGCAGAGACACACATAGGCTCAAAATAAAGGGATGAAGGAAGATCTACCAAGCAAATGGAAAGCAAAAAAACGGAGGGGTTGCAATCCTAGTCTCTGATAAAACAGACTTTAAACCAACAAAGATCAAAAGAGTCAAAGAAGGCCATTACATAATGGTAAAGGGATCAATTCAACAAGAAGGGCTAACTATCCTAAATATATATGCACCCAATACTGGAGCAACCAGATTCATAAAGCAAGCCCTTAGAGACCTACAAAGAGACTTAGACTCCCACACAATAATAATGGGAGACTTTAACACCCTCCTGTCAATATTAGACAGATCAACAAGACAGAAGGTTAACAAGGCTATCCAGGACTTGAAAAATACAAGAAACTGAAATAAAAAATATATAGCAAGATTTATAGAATAAAGGTAAAGTACTTTTCAAAAGGAAATTTATAGAAGAAATAAAACTGTCTCTATATGCAGAAACATGGTTGCCTATGTAGACTACCCCAAGGAATCCACCCTCAAAAAACTTCTAGAACTAATAAGTGAACTAAGCTTGGTCACAGAATACAAGATAAATACACAAAAATCAATTGTATTTTCATCCACTAGGAAAGATATAGTGTCTCAAATCAACAATTCAACTCCTCACTTCAAGAACCTTGGAAAAAGAGAGCAAAATAAATCCAAAGCAAGCAGTAGGAAGAAAAAATAAAGATTAAAGCAGAAATCAATGAGACTGAAAACAGAAAAACAATAAAATGAATCAATGAAACAAAGAGCTGGTTAATTGAAAAGATCAATACAATCAATCTTCTAACAAGACTGACAAAAACAAAGAGAGAAGGTACAAATTACTAGCATTAAGAATAAAATGTGATATCACTACAGAGACTGCCATGTAAAAAGGATAATGTGGGAACAGTAAGAAAAACTGTACATACGTAAATTTGACAACTTAGATGAAATAGAACAGTTCTTCAAAAATTACATATTATCACAACTTGCCTATATAAAATACATAATTTTAAAAACTTTACAATTTTCAAGAAAATTAAATTTGTATGTTAAATTCTGTAAAAAGTAATCTCTAGGCCCAGATGGTTTCACTGGGGATTTTGTTTCAAATATTTAAGGAATTAACACTGGGCACAGTGGCTCACGCCTATAATCCCGACAATTTGGGTGGCCAAGATAGGAGGATCACTTGAACCCAGGAGTTCGAGACCAGCCTGGGCAACATAGTGAGACTCCCATCTCTATAAAAAAAAAAAAAAAAGTTTTTAAAATGCCAGGCATGGTGGTGCCCACCTGGGAGGTTGAGATGGGAGGATCACTTGAGCCCGGGAGATTGAGGCTGCAGGGAGACATTGCATTCCAGCCTGGGCAATAAAGTAAGGCCCTATCTCAAAAAAAAAAAAAAAAAAAAAAGATGACTATTGATTTTGCACAATTTCTTCCAGAAAATAGAATTTGAGAAAATGCTTCCTAATTCACTTTATGAAACTAATATTACTCTGATAACAAATCCAGATAAAGACAGTACCAAAAAAAGACAAAACAAAAAATTATAGACCACTATTCCTTATGAATGTAGATGCAGAAGTTCTTAATAAAATATTAACAAATAATTAACAAACAAAATATTAACTAATCTTAACAAATATTAACAAAACAATATTTGTTAATATTGTAAAAGGCAATTAAGTGGGTTTATTCCAGGGATGCAAGACTGGTTTAGTATTTGAATATTAATCAGTGTAGTCTACCATATATTAACAGGGTAAAGAAGAAAAAACACATGATCACACCAATTAATGTAGAAAAAAATATTCAACAAAATTGAATATCCACCTGTGATAAAATCTCTCAGAAAAAAATAGAAATAGATGAGGATTTCCTAAGCCAAGTAAAAAGCATCTACAAAATATATATGGTTAACATTATACGTAAAGGTGAAAGACTGAATTATTTTGGCAAAGACTGGAAACACAGCAAGGATGTGTCTAACCATTGCTATTGAACATAATGTTGAAAGATCTCAACAGTACAGTATGGCATGAAAAGGAAATAATAGGCATATTGATCAGAAAAGAAGAAATAAAACTGTCTCTATATGTAGAAACATGGTTGCCTATGTAGACTACCCCAAGGAATCCACCCTCAGAAAACTTCTAGAACTAATAAGTGAACTAAGCTTGGTCACAGAATACAAGATAAATACACAAAAATCAATTATATTTTAATCCACTAGTAATAAATACTAAAAATAGAAGTTAAAAATGTAAGACCATTAGTGATTACTTAAAATGAAGTACTTAGGTATAAACCTAACGAAACATGTATAGATCTTGCATGCTGAAAACTGCAAATGCTGATGATGGAAAACAAAGATCTGCATAAAATGGAGAGATATACTTAGTTCACGGATTGGAAGACTGAACCAGGTGAAGGTATCAATTCTTTCCAAATTGATACACAGCCATAATAGTTGGATAGGGCTGCCAAAACAAAACACCACAGGCTGGATAGCTTAAACCATAGAAATTTAATTTCTCAGAGTTTTGAAGGCTAAAAATTCAAGATCAAGGAGCCAGCAGGATTGAATTCCTCTGACACCTCTCACCTTGGTTTGCAGATGGCCACCCTCTTCCTGCCTTTTCCCGTGGTCATTCATTTATTTGTGTTCATCCTTGACGTCTCTTCCTCTTATGAATGGATCAGTCCGATTAGGGTCCCACCCTAACAGCATCATTTTAACTTAATTGCCCCTTTAAAGATCTTATCTCAAAGTATGATTACATTATCTTAAAGTATGATTACATTCTGAGGTACTAGGGGATCATAGACTTAAATGTCACATGTAAAAATATAAAACTTTTAGAAAAAAGATAAGAGGAAATCTTTAGGATCCAGGACTAGGCAAAATGTTCTTGGACTTGACACCAAAAGCACAAGCTAAGAAAGAAAAATTGGAAAAATTGGATTTCATCAAAATTTATAACTTTTGCTCTGTGACAGATTTTTTAAGAAGATAAAAAGATAAACTACAGAGTGGGAGAAACTGTTTGCAAACTGCATACATAACAAAAAATAAACATCTAGAAATTTTTTTAAAAAAAACCGTCAAAACTCAACAATTTAAAAAGAAACAATTAGGTCATGAACAAAAGACGTGAAAAGACATTTTACCAAAGAAGATACAGTCATGTGTTGCATAAAGATGTTTGGGGCAATGTTGGATCACATATATGATGGTGCTCCCACAAGAGTGTAATATTAATATACTCCTAATTTTTGCCATTAAAAGTAATGGCAAAACCCGCAATTACTTTTGCACCAATCTATACCATATTTTTGCTGTACATTTCCTATGTTTAGATTCACAAATGCCATTGTGCTACAATTGTTTACAGTATTCAGTAGAGTAACATGATATATGGGTTTGTAGCCTAGGAACAATTAGACTGTACCAGACTTATAGCCTAGGTATGTAGTAGGCTATACCATCTAGGTTCCTGTAAGTACATTATAATAATCCCATAACGACAAAATCACCTAATGATGCATTTCTCAGAATGTATCCATGTTGTTAAGTAACTCATGACTGTATACAGATGGCAAATAAGCACATGAAGGCATCTTCAGCATCATTAATTATTAAGGAAATGCCAATTAAAACCACAATGAGATACCACTATACAGCTATCAGAATGGCTAAAACAAAAAGTAGTGACAACACCAAATGCTGATGAGGATGCCGAGAAACTGGATCATAAATACATTGCTTAGTTTGCCTTAGTTTCGTGGATGCCAGTATAAGACATGAGATTCCTGGGTCAGCAACAAAGGGCAATGTGTTACTCACAACTGTAGAAGTAGCCAGATTATCAGCATTTGGACAGATTCTCTAAGCCTCAATTTCTACAACATAACACCTGTATGCATCATGAACTGTGCTACAAGAGAGGACCTCTGAGCTTAGGGAATGTAAACCTTTTTTTAACAGGCACTAAGCCTGCCTGTCCTTTGCTCCACAGTAAGACATGATCTTCATTATACTACACACATCCATGAAACTACGGCAAACTAACTTGCCGGCTTGCAAGTAGGGTAAAATCTCCTTCTTTTCTCTCTCTGTCTTCCAAAGCTGCTTTGCTATCCAATGTCCTTGAAAAGATGGTGCAGAACAAAAGCAGCCAGTGCCTCTGCTCACAAGATGCTTAGAAGCATGAGAGACCTGTGGAGAACTGATCCTAACACTGGTATTCTGAATACAGAAACTTAAAGTTTCCTTGTGCTCTGAAACATTGTTCAAATTATTTACCTTTTATGGGTGGAAAGGTGTTTTTGTTGTTGTTGTTGTTGTTATTGTTGTTATTGTTTTTTAAGAAAGAAAAATAAAGAAAGAAAAAGGAAGGAAGGAAAAAGAGAGCCCAGGAAAATGATCACTTCAGTTTTGGTGTTTGTTTATTTGTTTAGCTTTTGAGATTACATAAGATAGAAATGTAATGATGTTTTCAAAGGAAAATAGGGAAAGCTTTATACATCCCTATTCTAGTTATCTATGGCTGCCTATCACACTACCCAAAACTTAATGATTTCAAACAATAATGTATTATGCTCTCTCACAGAGCTTGGCTTGGCTGGGTGGATGTTGCTCGAGGTCTCTCAGTGGCAAAGCCTGAGTTTTCTGGAAGCTTCTTCACCACCATTTCTGACACCTGGCCTGAGATGACTGGAACAGCTGAGGCCTGTCAGCCATCTCTATCTGTGGCCACTCAAGTGGCTGGGCTTCCTCCCAGCATGGTAATCTCAGGTGGTCAAACTTCTGAATGGTAGCTGGCTCACTAAACAATGAGAGTTCCATAGGACCAAGGCCCAACCTGCCAAGTATCCTTAGAATTTAGCCTAGAAAAGTCACGTGGCATTACTTCCATCTCCTTTGGTTAGTGACAGAGGGCAGCCTAATTCTTGGTAAGAGGAAGCTGCATAGGGTTGGGAAGGGATAGGTCTTAATCCTGAAAGACACAGTCCTGAACACCATAATCCCAAATTTTGAAATCTTGACAGAACGAAATCCTGAAAATCAAAATTATGAAAGATCAAAATCCCAAAAATATAATTCTGGAAGAAATAATTTTTAAAATTCTTTAAAAGATGTTTATTTACATTTTAAAAGAGGATTTATTTGAGAAACATAAAAACACAACAGAACACTTTATAAGCCACTTAATACAATAAAATAGACAGTAATAACATACTAATAACAGTTAAAAGACTGATCCAAAATGAAGTGGGTCACCACTGCATATGTAAGTTGCCCAAAGGTCTGAGTTTTTGAGAAATTTTAATTTTCACAAAAGCAAATGTACAAAAAGGACATCTCTTCATTTATTGGGGAATTTTCAACATTTTTACATGCACACATAAAACACTTACAAAGTCAACATTGTGATAATGCAGAGTCAAGTTTGCAAAAAAATGCATAAAACGAACTAGAACTCTCTAAAAGTCTTTATATAATTTGTACCTCTAGTATTGGAAATGATGAAAAGACAAAATATATGGGACAGTGAATTGTAAACAATAATGCTGATAATTTAAAATAGTGGGGAAAAAAAGAACAAGAAAAAGAAAATTTAACATATGAAAGAGTATGTTATGGGGATAGATTATGGGCAATTGCATGGAGATAGTCCACAAGAGCTGGCTGACTCTCACTATCATTAACTGTATTTTGAAGTGTTGTAACTTGATGAAAAGCTGTTTTTTTTTTGTTTGTTTGTTATTGTTTTTTTTTTTTTTTTTTTGAGACTGAGCCTTGTTCTTGCTCTGTCACCCAGGCTGGAGTGAAAGATTCTCGGCTCACTGCAACCTCTGCTTCCTGGGTTCAAGCGATTCTCCTGCCTCAGCTTCCCAAGTAGCTGGGACTACAGGTACATGCCACCATCCCCAGCTAATTTTTTTGTATTTTTAGTAGAGATGGGGTTTGCCATGTTGGTCAGGCTGGTCTCAAACTCCTGACCTCAGGTGATCCACCCACCTCGGCCTCCTAAAGTGCTGGGATTAAGGAGTGAGCCACCATGCCTGGCCAGCTGCTATTTTTTTTCTTTTAGGATGTGGCTCTCCTTGGAGAATTTGTTCACATTCATTTTCTATGTGGCTCTGCTCTTGCTGAAATTCTTTTATGATTCAATATACACCGACATGAGCATTCCCTATTAAATTTTCCTATCTTCTGTGCCATGCTTCTAAGTTGTTTTGGGCATGCAGAGATCCATTTTGCATGCACGCCTGTGTAGGCCACAAATTTGGCAGAAACAATCCTCGTGATTGAAAAGCACCACCGTTGCTTAAGTGTCTTCTTATCCTACCATGCCCATAATTATTTTTGAACTAGTCAATAACTTCTCTGGCTTCTTCAAGCAAATGCAGCTTTAATTTATTAAAAAGTCTGGAATTTCATCAGGTGGAAGGAATGCCAATGTAGACAAATGATGAATTTTTAAAGTGAAGTTTTCATCGTTGCCATATCTTGTGGCTAAGCCACTCATCTGAATTTTCCACCAAATGCATAGGACTGAATGTAAAAAAACAAACTTCATTGGTGGCAACTTGAAATTCACTTTTAGAAGCCTTGATCATGCCTAATTCCAAATCTGTCATTGTAGTTTGGGATTCAACTGGACATTAGGGATTTTAGACTGTAGACAGTGATTTTGATCTTTAGGGATTTCAGCATTTGGGATTTTGGCATCCAGGATTGTATCTTTCAGGATTCTCATTGGTACCACTGCACAGGAGTGTGGGTAACAGAAGATATTGTCCACTGGAGCCTTCACTTTCGAATCTGCCACTTTAATAACAGAGAATTTAGCACTGTGTATATATACACATTTACATTTGTATACTTCATGTTAAACATGTAGAAGAGAAAAATTGGTGATCTGGAATCATAAGCTCCAAGTTTGAATCTTTAATTTTTACACTTACTGATTGTGTAATCACAAACAAGTCATTTGTCTTCAAGCAAAAATAATATTACCCACTCACACAAGTAGACAGTGAAGGATGCTTAAGATGACATGAAAGTACTTTGAAAACCCAGCAGAAATACACATGCTAATTCCGTAGCTTTATACAGACCAAATTCTCCCACCTTGCCTATTTTTGAAATTTTGACTTTTCTTTTACAAAACGGAACATGCTTCTCTACTTAAATCACCCAAATGTAGTATGGAGAGTGCAAGTAAATGTGAATCTTGGTTACATTTCACAGGGTTTCAATTCTTTTTCAGGCTCATTTTATCTGCATCCAAGCGGGATACACAGTGCCCACTGGACAGGTGATATGGCGCCTCTGTGTATCACAGGGTGACCAAAGTGGGTGGTAGAACACAGGGGAAGGTGGCTTGCTCCCAAGTTGTGCTATTGAATTACAGTCTGTCCAAGGAGAGTGATCTCTTGTTTTGGCAGCAAGTACTAATCCTGGAAACTATAAAAAGCCGAAGCATTCAAAAATAGGCTGTCACATAGAAAACCATAAATTACTGCAGCCAAGTAGTCCATCACTCTCATTCATGCTGCTACCTTAAGCTAAGAAGAGTGGTCTGCCTGAGGGGGAAAAACACAAAACCAAACCTTATTTCTGTTATCTTTTGATTCCCTTTCTTGCCCATTTCAGGAGAAGCTAGAAGACAGCTTTATTTAATTATGTAATACCTTTTTTTAGTTTTATATGTTTAAAGGCTTCATGGAGCTGCTCGGCATAGAAAAAGGAATCTATTCCAGGAGCAAAAGTGAGATCATCATTCTTAGATGCCATACAGCTGAAAATGTCACAATAGTAAGGGATTCGTATGTAAAGCAAAATATAGAGAGACAAATACATTCTCACCTTGATTTCCATTATAATTTCTGATTTGAATACTCTTGGGAAATTGATCTGAAATGCAATACAAATCACCTTGTAGAATCTTGCTGTCTATGCCAAGGCATGCTTTGCCTTTATGGGCATGTGCTTTGTGTAAAAGAATGTCCCCTCAGGCCACTTCTCCTAGAAGAGCTGGTCAAAGAAACACGACTGTGAGATTTTGACACACTCACTAAATGTAACATATATTACCATGTACCCCTCGGTGAATATCCATTTGTTTGGAAGGTCTTAAATACTCTATCAGTCTTATGTGTACAAGTACACACCATTGCTCCAGATATTCAACCACATGGAGGCTGCTTTAGACTGAAGGTAGGCTAGACCACCTTGTTTTTATCACACAGTTATTAAAAGACCAGCACAGAATGGAAGTGTCTCATCATCTGGTTACCAGGATATTTCCTTTAAGTGTTTTCTATACCAGGACCCATTCATATAGCAGTTAATTACAATGGACTTTCTAAGGTGAAGAAAGAAAAGAGACAGGGAAGTAACCTGAAAGATCATTTCTATAATTTTTCAAAGTTTATCTGCAACAAGCAGAAAAGTCAAGATAACTACCAAATTGAACTACAATATAGATAGATGATAGATAGATAGATAGATAGATAGTTAAAGATAGATAGATACATAGATAGAGATAATAGGTAGAAATAGATAAGTGGAAGAACTTTCATTGTTTTTAACTGCACAAAATGGAAGTTGTCCTAACTCGATATGCATAGATCAAGGCGGACTTATACCAATGAGAAAGGAACTTCTCAGTTGACAGAGTTTAATTCTAGTGACCCTGGCATTCATCCATACATTCACTTATTTGTCACACATTTATTGTATCAGAAACTGAAGAGGAATTCAGGGATGTAAGACTTAGTCCCTGTCTTCAAGTAGCTCGCGATCGAGAATGGGAGAAAGATATGCAAGAGTATAATTATCATGCAATGTGGTGAGCATGATGATGGCCACAGTGAGACAGTGGGTCCTGGGAGTGAGACTCACATGGAACATGAGAGTGAGAATCAGAGAAGGTGGATTGCTAGGGAGATGAAGGTGAGTTTTTTAAAAAACCTCTCACAGCCTAAAAGCACAGCATGGCAAAGTCACAGAGTTCTGAAACAGCCTGAGGTTGTTCTGCAGATAGTTCAGGGAAGACATAGACCGGGGGTGGGGAGTGAGGAAGCATGGTAGAAGAAGGGTGACCAGATAGGAAACTCAGGCTGGGCACGGTGGCTCATGCCTGTAATCCCAGCACTTTGGGAGGCTGAGGCAGGTGGATCACCTGAGGTCAGGAGTTTGAGATTAGCCTGGCCAACATGGTGAAATCCTGTCTCTACTAAAAATACAAAATATTAGCCGGGCGTGGTGGTAGGCTAGTAGTTCCAGGTACTCGGGAGGCTAAGGAAGGAGATTGCTTGGACCCGGGAGGTGGAGGTTGCAGTGAGCCAAGGTCATGCCACTGCACTCCAGCCTGGGCAACAGAGCGAGATTCTGTCTCAAAAAAAAAAAGAGACTGGATGATGAGCCACGCCCAGCACACCAGTTGCCTCCTGGGCTCTGCCAGGGACTTGAGGCTTGAGCCTAACGATAATAGGAAGCCACTCATTGAGCAAACCCATCAAATTCCCCAAACAGAGCTTTCACCAGTATTTGGACAAATAAGCTCTGTTCTTAAAAAGCAATACTTTTTGAAGACCAAAAATTCCATCATGATCCTGGCCATAAAGCTCGCAGGCTCACAGGTCTGACTGTCAGAGGGCGGGGTAAAAGAATGTGAGAGTCAACACAGTGAGCACCGTTCCTGGCTTGTGGAAAATGACAGGGGTCTTCAAACTGCATGTGCTCTCAACTTTGAAGAGACATCAACGTTGTTGGTGAGGAAAAAGGCAAAATCATTGTCTTTTGTGGAGTGACTTCTTTTAAACATGGGAAAACAGAACACTTAATGTGTTGTAACAGTGTTTAAAGATGATAAACTCATTATGTATTAATATTTTACAAAAGTTCCTCCGGCCAGTACAGGGAAGCAGTTTGTGTGTTGCGTTTGACATTAATTCCATCAGAAAACTGCACAAAAAGCATGGAAGTCACTAATATGACGTGAAAATCCTAGTCTTCAATTATATTAGAGGCGTTAGTCCATTATATTAATCTCTTACACAGTTCCTTTCTACCAATCAGATTAGCAAATTTGGTTTAAACTAATGTACTATAAATATCTTATTTTTATTAAGTATGAGAAAATTGTGGTTTTGCTTATATTGAATGGTTGATATCATTTATCCCCCTATGTCAGATTAATGATAAAGGAGATATTTGGTGGACTGTGTTCCCTGTCTCTTAGTAATGAAGTCAAGAATGTTATTACTCTGGGACAACTTTGGATTAATACAAAGGGATGGCCCAGGCATGCTGGCACTTACCTGTAATCCTAACACTTTGGGAGGCTGAGGCAAGAGAATCACTTGAGGCCAGGATTTCAAGACCAGCCTGGGCAATACAGCAAGACCCCATCTCCACAAAAAATAGTCAATCACAGTAGCACGTGCTTGTAGTCCCAGCTACAAGCAGACCCAGGTATTTGGGAGGCTGAGGTGGGACGATTGCTTGAGCCCAGGAGATCGAGGCTGCAGTGAGCTATGATCATTCCACTGCACTCCAGATTGGGTGATAAGAGTGAGACCTGGTCTCAAAAAAAAAACAAAAACAAACAAACTAAACAAACAAAGAAATAACAGGACACTTAACATGAAAACTACAAGTTTAAACTTAGAGAAAGGAGTTTATGACTTTCCATTTTGTTTACTGTCCAGCTTCAAGCCAAGCAAGATATCAGTGCCTCTCCACATCTGAAGAATGTTACATGGTGATTCAGCCCATGGCGATCCCTAAGACATGTTACTTCCATTGAATTAAGACACAAAAAGTTGCCTGATGGCTCTTCTCACCATGCTAACTGGAACGCCTGAGAAGAAAATCAAATCACCGCAGCCGGCACTCCCTGCTTCCCCATCCTACTTCCCTGAGAAAACTGAAGCTGTCAGAAGAGAACTTCCACAGATTCCTACCACCATAGATGCTCTCCAGATGGTTAAATCCAACTGTACTTGGTGTAACTGCCTGGAGCACAGTGGATCACTCACTCCTCCTTGATACACGTGCTTCCCTGCCCTCTCTTAGGTTTCCACCTCCCTCTGACTCTTTCTTAGTCCACACGACTTCTTCATCTCTTTCCCCAGATGTCTCCATGTGTGACTTCTCCAGGCACAGTCCTTTCCCTTTTTCTGCTGCTACTCTCACTTCTGGGGTGACCTGGGCAGCACTTGCCCAACTGCTGTTCTCCCTATTACGTGTGACATCAACTCTGTCCTCCCAACTGCTCAAGTCTTAGCTATCCTTGACTCTTCCCTTTCTCTCACACCCACATCCAACCCATCAGGGATTCTGCCACACTGCCTTTAAAATGTATTCATGACCCAGTTTCTCACAGCTTCCACGTCTGCCCCCATGGCAGAGCTGCCACACGCTTGCCCACGTCACCACATCGGGCTTCCTGCTGGACATCCGGTGTCTGTCCCTGCCACTGCCATCTAAAAGCCCCTCAACGGCCACAGGAAGCCTTTAAAAGCAGAAGTCAATCATCTGTTCAAAACCCTTTCCTGGGTCCTATTTCTATTCAGAGTAAAAACCAAAGTGCTTGCAATGGCCACCAAACCTTGCTAATACCTGTCCCAGGCCCCTGCAAGGGTCGCTCTGATCTTGTCTACTACACTGTCCATCACTCACCCTGCACTACCCCTCCCGGCTTCCCTGTTCTCCCCCAGCTGCAACCCCTAGTCCGAGGGCTTTTGCTCTGGCAGTTCTTTCTGGCAGTAAAAAGAGGCCCTTTTCCCCAGGTATCCACGTGGTTAATTTCCGCACTGGCAAGTCATTGCTCCTATGTCACTTTCCCAGTGAGGCCAATTGCAACCACTTAACACCTCAACCTGTCTCCCTTACCCCCACACCCCTGCTTTATTTGATTTTTGATCCTTCTTATCCTATTTTTCTTTTTACTGTAACACTCTTATCATCCTAATATACTACATAACTCACTTATTTGATATGCTTACTGTTAATTTTCTGTCTCCCACTGCTACAATATAAGCCCCACATTGGTGGGGGGGTGGGGGGGCTTTAGTTTGTTCATTGACAAACCCTAAGCACATGGAACAATGTCTGATATATAATGGAAGTGAATAAATGTTTGATAATAAATGCTTACACTAAGCATTTCACCATCCATAACAATTATTTGTAAATATGAAACTTTTATTTTGTATTTCCCTGACAATTAAAGTAATACAAATCCATTTAGAAATTTTTGAAAATGCATCACACATTAATGTCAAGAAGATATAAATAAAAATCATCAATAAGTTCACCAATCAGTTAAAAAAGTTAACTTTTTAGTCCATTTTTCTATAAATGTTTAGATCATATTGTAAACACTATTATATATATTACTCTTTTGTTAAATACTATATCAGAATCATTTCCATTACATGAAGAATGTATCAAAACATCTTTTCCAAATAGCTGTGTAATATCCCATCATGCACGTTACCATGTTTCATTTAACTATGGTCATTTAGATTGTTTTCATGTATTTCATATTATTTGCAGTTGCATTGAACATTGTTGTGGAGAGTCCTTATCCACATATATGATTTTTCCTTGTGACTAATTCATTGAGAAGGGAGACAATTGGCATGAATAGTTTTAAGGATATTTATATATGCAGCTAATTTGCCTTTCAGAAAGGGGATGCCAATTTGTACTTCCACCAGCAGCATATCTGTACCAATGAGAGGTTATAATAGAATTAAACATCATAAAATTCGTTACTTTTTTCCTTAAAAAATTATAAATAGAATTTCCTTATATTCCAATAATCCCACTTCTAGGTATATATCCAAAAGACTTGAAAGCAGTATCTCTAAGAGATATATGCATAACCATGTTCACAGCAGCATTATTCACAATAGCCAAGAGGTGAAAGTAACCGTATGTCCACTGATGGATAAGAAGATAAACAAAATGTGATATATACCTGCAATGGAATATTATTCAGCCTTAAAAAGGAAGAACAATCTCTCACATGCAACAACATAGATGAACATCGATGACATTATGCTAAGTGAAATAGGCCAATCCACAATAAGACAAATACTGTATTATTCCACTTACATGAGGCACCTAAAGTACTGAAATTCATAGGAGCAGACATTAGAATAGTGATTACCAGAGACTGGGAAAGAGAAGAAGGGGGGAGCTGTTTAATGGGTATAGTGTTTCAGTTTTGCGAGATGAAAATGTTCTGGAGATCTGTTTCACAAAAAATGTAAAGATACTTAACACTACTGATCAATTACTGATTAAGATGATCAACTTTATGTGTTTTTACTATACTTACAGATAAATTTTTAAAAAATATTCTATAGGGTGGGCACGGTGGCTCACACTTGTAATCCCAGTACTTTGAGAGGCTGAAGTGGGAGGATTGCTTGAGGCCAGGAGTTCAAGACTAGCACAGGCAACCAAGTGACCTCATCTCTACATAAAAATTTAAAAATTAGCCATGGAAACAGTGCATGCTCGTAGTCCCACTTACTCCAGAGGCTGAGGCAGGAGGATTGCTGGATGCCAGGAGTTTGAGATTTCGGTGAGTATGATCCCACCACTGCACTCCAGCCTGGGTGAGAGTGAGACCCTGTCTCTTAAAAAATAAATTATTTAATGTTTACTAATTTTGCTAACTTTAGATAATTAAAACTATAATCTCATGATTGCCTGATTGCCAGTAAAACTGAACATTACTTGCTATTAGCTATTTATATTTTTCTTTTGAGTGTTATCTTTCCATTTTCTTTGCCAATCATCTACTGAAGTTTTCTTTTTTCATTTCAATGAGCTCTTCATATATTAGAGGTACTAAACTTTCACCTTTTATATTTGTTACAAAGATTTTCCAGTGTTTTCTTTTCTTAAGATATATTTTTGCCATGCAATTATTCAGTCTTTAGGTAGCTAAATTTATTAATATTTTCCTTAGTGATCCTTTTTGTTTTTAAGCCCTTCTCCATTCAAAGATCAAGTAGATGTTCATAATGATATTTGTGTAAGTTCCACTCTTTAATTCCTCCAGAATTTGTCTGTTGATATAATGTGAGTTGAGACTTCAATGTGATTTTTCCCAAAAAGAGTACCTAATTGTCATAGTATCTTTTTTTTTAAATAAATTATACTGTAAGTTCTGGGATACATGCATGAACGTGCAGGTTTGTTACATAGGTATACATGTGCCATGGTGGTTTGTGGCACCCATCAACCTGTCATCTGCGTTAGGTGTTTCTCCTAATACTATCCCTCCCCTAGCTCACCCCACTGACAGGCCCCAGTGTGTGATATTCCCCTCCCTGTGTCCATGTGTTCTCATTGTTCAACTCCCACTTATGAGTGAGAATGCAGTGTTTGGTTTTCTGTTCCTGTGTTAGTTTGCTGCGAATGATGATTTCCAGCTTCAACCATGTCCCTGCAAACGACATGAACTCATCCTTTTTAATGGCTGCGTAATATTCCATGGTGTATATATGCCACATTTTCTTTATACTGTCTATCATTGATGGGTATTTGGATTAGTTCCAAGTCTTTGCTATTGTGAAAAGTGCTGCTGTAAATACATGTATGCATGTGTCTTCATAGTAGAATGATTTATAATCTTTTGGGTATATACCCTGTAATGGGATTGCTGGGTCAAGTGGTATTTCTGGTTCTGGATCCTTGAGGAATTGCCACACTGTCTTCCACAATGGTTGAACTAATTTACACTCCCACTAACAGTGTAAAAGTGTTCCGATTTCTCCACATCCTCTCCAGCATCTGTTGTTTCCTGACTTTTTAATGTTCACCATTCTAACTGGCGTGACATGGTATCTCACTGTGGTTTTGATTTGCATTTCTCTAATGACCAGTGATGATGAGCCACATAAATGTCTCCTTTTGAGAGGTGTCTGTTCATATCCTTCACCCAATTTTGATGGGGTTGTTTGTTTTTTTCTTGTAAATTTGTTTAAGTTCTTTGTAGATTCTGGATATTAGCCCTTTGTCAGATGGATAGATTAAAAAAGTCTCCCATTCTGTAGGTTGCCTGTTCACTCTGATGATAGTTTCTTTTGCTGTGCAGAAGCTCTTTAGTTTAATTAGATCCCATTTGTCTGTTTTGGGTTTTGTTGCAATTGCTTTTGGTGTTTTAGTCATGAAGTCTTTGCCCATGCCTATGTCTTGAATGGTATTACCTAAGTTTTCTTCTAGGGTTTTTATGGTTTTAGGTCTTAGGTTTAAGTCTTTAATCCATCTTGAGTTAATTTTTGTATAAGGTGTAAGGAAGGGGTCTAGTTTCATTTTTCTGCATATGGCTAGCCAATTTTCCCAAAACCATTTATTAAATAGGGAATCCTTTCTCCATTGCTTGTTTTTGTCAGGTTTGTCAAAGATCGGATGGTTGTAGATGTGTGGTATTATTTCTGGGGCCCCTGTTCTGTTCCATTGGTCTATATATCTGCTTTGGTACAAGTACCATGCTGTTTTGGTTACTGCAGTCCTGTAGCATAGTTTGAAGTCAGGTAGCTTGATGCCTCCAGCTTTGTTCTTCTTGCCCAGGATTGTCTTGGCTATACAGGCTCTTTTTTGGTTCCATATGAAATTTAAAGTAGTTCTTTCTAATTCTATGAAGAAAATCAATGGTAGCTTGATGGGGATAGCACTGAATCTATAAATTACTTTGGGCAGAATGGCCATTTTCATGATATTGATTATTCCTATCCATGAGCATGGAATGTTTTTCCATTTGTTTGTGTTCTCTCTTATTTCCTTGAGCAGTGGTTTGTAGTTCTTCTTGAAGAGGTCCTTCACATCCCTTGTAAGTTGTATTCCTAGCTATTTTACTCTCTTTGTAGCATTCATGAATGGGAGTTCACTCATGATTTGGCTGTTTGTCTATTATTGGTGTATAGGAATGCTTGTGATTTTTGCACATTGATTTTTGTATCCTGAGACTTTGCTGAAGTTGCTTATGAGCTTAAGCAGATGATGAGGTTTTCTAAATATCCAATAATGTCATCTGCAAACAGAGACAATTTAACTTCCTCTCTTCCTATTTAAATACCTTTATTTCTTTCTCTTGCCTGATTGCCCTGGTCAGAACTTCCAATACTATGTTGAATAGGAGTGGTGAGAGAGGGCATGCTTGTCTTTTGCCGATTTTCAAAGGGAATGCTTCCAGATTTTGCCAGTTCAGTGTGACATTGGCCATGGGTTTGTCATAAATAGCTCTTATTATTTTGAGATGCATTCCATCAATACCCAGTTTATTGAGAGTTTTTAGCATAAAGAAGTGTTGAATTTTATCAAAGGCCTTTTCTGCATCTATTGAGATAATCACGTGGTTTTTGTCATTGGTTCTGTTATGTGATGGATTACGTTTATTGATTTGTGTATGTTGAACCAGGCTTGCATCCCAGGGATGAAGAAGCTGACTTGATCGTGGTGGATAAACTTTTTGATGTGCTGCTGGATTTGGTTTGCCAGTATTTTATTAAGGATTTTCGCATCGATGTTCATCAGGGATATTGGCCTGAAATTATCTTTTTTTGTTGTGTCTCTGCCAGGTTTTGGTATCAGGGTGATACTGGCCTCATAAAATGAGTTAGGGAGGAGTCCCTTTTTTTCTATTGTTTGGAATAGTTTCAGAAGGAATGGTACCAACTCCTCTTTGTACCTCTGGTAGAATTCAGCTGTGAATCTGTCTGGTCCTGGGCTTTTTTTGTTTGGTAGGCTAGTAATTACTGCCTCAATTTCAGAACTTGTTATTGGTCTATTCAGAAATTCGACTTCTTCGTGGTTTAGTCTTGGGAAGGTGTCTGTGTCCAGGAATTTATCCATTTCTTCTCGATTCTCTAGTTTATTTGCGTAGAAGCGTTTATAGTATTCTCTGATGGTAGTTTGTATTTCTGTGGGATCAGTGGTGATATCCCCTTTATCATTTTTTATTGTATCTATTGGATTCTTCTCTGTTTTCTTTATTTGTCTGGCTAGCAGTCTATTTTGTTAATCTTTTCAAAAAACCACCTCCTGGATTCATTGATTTTTTGAAGGGTTTTTTGTCTCTGTCTCCTTCAATTCTGCTCTGATCTTAGTTATTTCTTGTCTTCTGCTAGCTTTTGAATTTGTTTGCTCTTGCTTCTCTAGTTCTCTTAATTGTGATGTTAGGGTGTTGATTTTAGATGTTTCCCACTTTCTCCTGTGGACATTTAGTGCCATAAATTTCCCTCTAAACACTACTTTAGCTGTGTTCCAGAGATTCTGGTACGTTGTGTCTTTGTTCTCATTGGTTTCAAAGAATTTATTTCTTTCTGCCTTCATTTTGTTATTTACCCAGTAGTCATTCAGGAGCAGGTTGTTCAGTTTCCACATAGTTGTGCAATTTTGAATGAATTTCTTAATCCTGAATTCTAAGGTGATTGCACTGTGGTCTGAGAGACTGTTTGTTATGATTTCTATTCTTTTGCGTTTGCTGAGGAGTGCTTTACTTGCAATTATGTGGTCAATTTTATAATAAGTGCAATGTGGTGCTGAGAAGAATGTATATTCTGTGGATTTGGGGTAGAGAGTTCTGTAGATGTCTATTAGGTCCAGTTGGTCCAGAGCTGAGTTCAAGTCCTGAATATCCTTGTTAATTTTCTGTCTCATTGATCTGTCTAATATTGATAGTGGGGTGTTAAAGTCTCCCACTATTATTGTTTGGGAGCCTAAGTCTCTCTGTAGGTCTCTAAGAACTTGCTTTATAAATCTGGGTGCTCCTGTATTGGGTGCATATATATTTAGGATAGTTAGCTCTTCTTGTTGCATTGATCCCTTTACCATTATGTAATGCCCTTGTTTGTCTGTTTTGATCTTTGTTGGTTTAAAGTCTGTTTAGGGTTGCAACCCCTGCCTTTTTTTTTTTTTTTTTTTTTGCTTTCCTTTTGCTTGGTACATATTCTGCCATTCCTTTATGTGTGTCTTTGCACATGAGATGAGTCTCCTGAATACAGCACACCGATAGGTCTTGACTCTATCCAATTTGCCAGTCTGCATCTTTTAATTGGGGCATTTAGCCCATTTACATTTAAGGTTAATATTGTTAAGTGTGAATTTGATCCTGTCATTATGATGCTAGCTGGTTATTTTGCCTGTTAGTTGATGCAGTTTCTTCATAGTGTTGACGGTCTTTACAATTTGGTATGTTTTTGCAGTGGCTGGTACCGGTTGTTCCTTCCCATGTTTAGTGCTTCCTTCAGGAGCTCTTGTAAGGCAGGCCTGGTGGTGACAAAATCTCTCAGCATTTGCTTGTCTGTAAAGGATTTTATTTCTCCTTTACTTACGAAGCTTAGTTTGGCTGGATATGAAATTCTGGGTTGAAAATTCTTTTCTTTAAGAATGTTGAATATTGGCCCCCACTGTCTTCTGGCATAGGGTTTCTGCAGAGAGATCCACTGTTAGTCTGATTGGCTTCCCTTTGTGGTAACCTGACCTTTCTCTCTGGCTGCCCATTTTTTCCTTCATTTCAACCTTGGTGAATCTGACAATTATGTGTCTTGGGGTTGCTCTTCGCAAGGAGTATCTTTGTGGTGTTCTCTGTATTTCCTGAATTTGAATGTTGGGCTGTCTTGCTAGGTTGGGGAAATTCTCCTGGATAATATCCTGAAGAGTGTTTTCCAACTTGGTTCCATTTTCCCCATCGCTTTCAGGTACACCAATCAAACATAGGTTTGGTCTTTTCACATAGTCCCATATTTCTTGGATGCTTTGTTCATTCCTTTTCGTTCTTTTTTCTCTAATCTTGTCTTCACACTTTATTTCATTGAGTTGATCTTCAATCTCTGATATCCTTTCTTCCACTTGATCAATTCGGCTATCGATGCTTGTGTATGCTTCACGAAGTTCTCGTGCTGTGTTTTTTAGCTCCATCAGGTCATTCATGTTCTTCTCTAAACTGATTATTCTAGTTAGCAATTTGTCTAACATTTTTTCAAGGTTCTTAGCTTCCTTGCATTGGGTTAGAACATGCTCCTTTAGCTCAGAAGAACTTGTTATTGCCCACCTTCTGAAGCCTACTTCTGTCAATTCGTCAAACTCATTCTCCGTCCAGTTTTGTTCTCTTGCTGGTGAGGAGTTGTGATCCTTTGAAGGAGAAAAGGCGTTCTGGTTTTTGGAATTTTCAGCCTTTTTGTGCTGGTTTTTCCTCATCTTCATGGATTTATCTACCTTTGGTCTTTGATGTTGGTGACCTTCAGATGGAGTTTCTGTGTGGATGTCCTTTTTGTTGATGTTGATGCTATTCCCTTCTGTTTGTTAGTTTTCCTTTCAATAGTCAGGCCCCTGTGCTGCAGATCTGCTGGAGTTTGATGGAGGTCCACTCCAGACCCTGTTTGCCTGAGTATCACCAGCGGAAGCTGCAGAACAACAAAGACCACTGCCTGTTCCTTCCTCTGGAAGCTTCATCCCAGAGAGACACCCACCAGATGCAAGCCAGAGCTCTCCTGTATGAGGTATCTGTCAACCACTGCTGGGAGGTGTCTCCCAGTCAGGAGGCACAGGGGTCAGGGACCCACTTGAAGAGGCAGTCTGTCCCTTAGCAGAGCTCGAGTGCTGTGCTGGGAGATCTGCTGTTCTCTTCAGAGCCAGCAGGCAGGAATGTGTAAGTCCACTGAAGCTGCACCCATAGCCACCCTTTCCCCCAGGTGCTCTGTCCCAGGGAGATGGAAGTTGTATCTATAAACCCCGGACTGGGGCTGCTGGCTTTCTTTCAGAGATGCTCTGCCCAGAGAGGAGAAATCTAGAGAGGCAGTCTGGCTACAGTGGCTTTGCCAAGCTGCAGTGGGCTCTGCCCAGTTCCAACTTCCTGGTGGCTTTGTTTACACTGTGAGGGGAAAACTGCCTACTCAAGTCTCAGTAATGGCAGACTCCCCTCCCCCCACCAAGCTAGAGTGTCTCAAGTCAATTTCAGACTTCAGTGCTGGCAGCGAGAATTTCAAGCCAGTGGATCTTAGCTTGCTAGGCTCCGTGGGGGTAGGATCTGCTGAGCTAGATCACTTGGCTCCCTGCCTTCAGCCCCTTTTCCAGGGGCATGAAAGGTTCTCTCTTGCTGGCATTCCATGTGCCACTGGGGTATGAAAAAAACTCCTGCCGCTAGCTTGGTTTGGGCAGTGTCTGCCCAAACAGCCCCTCAGTTTTATGCTTGAAACCCAGGGCCCTGGTGGTGTAGGCTCCCGAGGGAATCTCCTGCTCCTGCTCTGTGGGTTGTGAAGACCTTGGGAAAAGCATAGTATCTGGACTAGAGCGCACCATTTCTCATGGCACAGCCCCTTATGGCTTCCCTTGGGTAGAGGAGGGAGTTCCCTGACTCCTTGCACTTCCCAGGTGAAGCAACACCCCAACTGCTTTGGCTCGCCCTCTGTGGGCTGCGCCCACTGCCTAACCAGTCCCGATGTGATTATGTGATTAGCCATGTACCTTAGTTGGAAAAGCAGAAATCACCCACCTTCTGCCTTGATCTCGCTGGGAGCTGCATACTGGAGCTGTTCCTATTCGGCCATCTTCCTAGTATCTTTATTAACCTTCCTTTTCTCTTGACTCAGAAGACCATCTTTGTCACATATCAAATCTTTATATGTAAATGTCACCTTAATGGCTGCATGATTTGCCATCCTATTGTTGTTATATCAGATGTTACCTTAGCATTTTTACCTGATTTCTACCACAGCATTTGTTGTTCTATATTATAACCATTTGCTTTTTCTTTGTCTCCTATTAGATTCTGAGCTTTCTGATTTTCTTTTTGTTCCGGATCCATTATGGTGGTTTTTCCGCAGCAGCTGTTAAACAGATTTTAATGACTAGGTGACAATTCTAGACCCCACTGACAGTCAAAGAGCTAAGTAGACTGGATGAGGTGGGAGAATCAAAGCCTTCCAGCTTTTCTCTCCTTGGGGGCTATAGAATGGGTTTCAGAAGCAAAACTATAGCATCTCAGGTTGGGAAGAAATTTAAGAAAAGTAGGAGCCTTTCCACAGAGCAAATATTAGGAGGAGGCGTAATATTCAGATTTTAGGAAAGCTGTCTGTGTCCAAAATAAAATTTTTAGTGTCTAAGTTTCAAGTATCTAAACTTCTACAGCTACATATACATTCCTTTGGCTTTAGACTTTAACCTGGGCAAAAGCCATCTGCTTATTTAACCAGCTCTATCCCTTCTAGACTGCAAGTCCCTATAAGACTGGCAGAAACTCTGACTGCCTTGTGTATTGTTGTATTCTGATAGTGATTCACATGTGATTAGCACCTGGCAGACAACAAATAAAAATTTTCCTAGCGACACAACAGATGAATAGAGATCAAAGCAATAAGCCCAAGCAAACATTTGACTTAATATGAATAAGTCTGTAGTACACTTTTTTCAGAAATAGTTCTCATAAAATCAAAATAAACATAACAAATTAATGATCTGAGAATGGAGGAGAGGAACTCAGTCAGCTGGAGAAAAATAGCACAGAAGAGCAGGAATGAGGGCTGGCTGTCACCTTAGGTCAAGAGCACTATATCCAAGTGACCCCAGATAAGAAAAATTATGATAACTATTTGAGTCAGATATTGTTTCTCATATTCATAATCCCCAGATAATAATATTTTACAATGCCACTCCCAAGAGAATTTTCCCAAGTTTTTTAAGTACCTACTATTCCAGTTATCTATCATTGTATAACTAATCACCACAAAATTTGGTGGTATGAGCCATCAATTAGCTGTTATCTCTCAGCTCTGACCAGCTCAATTAGGTGATTCTCACTTGGGTCCCATACAGTTGTAGGTAGATGTGACTGGGGGAGGGCATCAGTCCATTTTCACACTGCTCTAAAGAAATACCCAAGTCTGGTAAATTTATAAAGGAAAGAGGTTTAATGTACTCACTCACTCACAGTTCTGCATGGCTGGGGAAGCCTCAGGAAACTTACAATATGGTGAAAGGGAAAGCAGGCATGTCTTACATGGTGGCAGGTGAGAGAGAACATGTGAAGGAGGAACTGTCAAACACTTATAAAACCATCATATCTCGTGAGAACTCACCCACTATCACGAGAACAGCATGGGGGAAACCTTCACCATGATCCAATCACCTCCCACCAGATCCCTCCCTTGACACACGGGGATTATGTGGATTACGATTTGAGATGAGATTCGAGATGAGATTTGTGTGGGGACACACAGAGCCAGACCATATCAGGGAGGATCATCTGAAGGCTTCTTTCTCACAGTGTGGCATCTCTCCACACAATTTCTCTCCATGGCTAGCTTGGGCTTCTTCACAGCATGTTGCTGTTGGGAGAACCAGGCTTTTGAAAACTCAAGCTCCAAAAATGACTGTTCTCAGAGACCCAAGCAGAAGCAGGCAGGTTTCTTATGACTTAGCCTCAGAAGTTCCAAAGTGTCACCTCTACCACATTCTATTTGGTCCATAAGGCCAGGGCAGATTCAACGGGAAGGAATTACACTCTGCCTCTCAAGGGAAGGAATGTCAAAGAATTTTGAGCCATATTTAGTTCCTCATTTCTCCCCTAAGAAAAAATGCCTT
This sequence comes from Homo sapiens, assembly GCF_000001405.40. Classification (NCBI taxonomy): domain Eukaryota; kingdom Metazoa; phylum Chordata; class Mammalia; order Primates; family Hominidae; genus Homo; species Homo sapiens. Next base: position 104,632,205 of record NC_000002.12, read on the forward strand.
GTAGAGGCTGAACTTATACCTCTGTGAAATCTTTCTTGTAATCATAAGCTATTTTTCTTATTTTGTCTTCTTAAAGATAGACAGGAGATAACTAGAAAGCTTTCATTTGGTAGCAATAATTTCTATAATTTAAGACATTTATATCCTATCTGGGACTGGAGTTTTCCTTCCATAGTATGGGCATCGAGAAATTATATGGCACATTCCTACTTATATGGAGCTCTTTACTCAAACTTTAGTCTTGTACAAAGAGTCTAAAAATGTTTCACAATAAACAGTTATTTTTCATGGCTGAAACCCAACCACTCAAATTACTGACAAAACACTCCTTTCCTTCAATTGCTAACTACTACTGAATTATTATTGTCCAGATAGGAACAGTTCTGAATTTGCACATAAAAGATGAAGTTATTACAACATTTTGAGGAAAATCTTTGAAGCTAATTATCTAAAGATTAGAGAAAGGATATATTTTAATTAATTTCAAACCCTGGATTGAGTACTAAGCAGAAACATGAAAGAAAGATTTCCAATAGGAAGTGATAGTTACGGAGGAGCCCCCCCTCCCCTTGAGGATTACCATTTATTTTTCAACATCGATTTGAAATAAATGCTGGTATGATCTCCAAGGGCAGACTGTTGCAGTTATAAACCTAAGGAGAAGCAAACAGTAGAGTAAGCAAAATATATGCCGTGCTCCTGTATTAAACCACCTTCCTCACGCTATGCTTTGGTTTCAAGGGGGATATTAGCTTCTTCACATTCACTGTCACCATAGATGTGATGGATGGTGAACTTTAGAGGGACAGGCCTCAGTCCTTTGCTGATCTGTTATTTGCTTTCTCTCCACCCAGCGTCCAAAACACTACTTGGCACATTAATGTTTGATAAGTGAATGGCCACAAATATTTTTATTTTCCTTATATTATGGAATAAACTTAAAATGTAAAACTATTCAATTTAGATTTTGGAGAAGGAGGCATACTTTTTGTCAGACTAATCTAAAAATTACCTACAAGTTAAATAATGTATAATTTTCTGGATTTTTTTTTTTTTTTGAGATAGAGTCTCGCTCTGTCATCCAGGCTGCAGTGCAATGGCACCATATTGGCTTACTGCAACCTCTGCCTTTTGTGTTCAAGCAATTCTCCCACCTCAGCCTCCCAAGTAGCTGGGACTACAGGCGCTCACCACCATGTCTAGCTAATTTTTGAGCTTTTAATAGAGACGGGTTTTGACATGTTGCCCAGGCTAATCTTGAACTCCTGGCCTTAAGTGATCCACCCACCTTTGCCTCCCAAAATTTGGGCAGGGCAGTAAGCCACTGCACCTGGTTGATTTTCTGAACTTTTTATATATCTTAATTTCTCGATTCTTTTAAATGTTTTTCTTTAAAAAAAAAAACACACACACATACACATTTACCAAGTACCTACAGTATGCCAAATACCAAGAGGGAGATGGTCTCTGGTCTCAAAGAACTTCCAGAAATCCTCAGGCTTTTGGAAACCAAAATTGCTTTTCCCCTCTAGTCTGTGTAAATGTAACTCTCTTCTCAACTTCTATTTTTTTCCTTTTCCTTTCAAGGTTAGTTTTTATAATATACACTATTCCATCTTTAGAACTGATGTATAGCCTATGCCCTTGCAGACATGATGCTTAAATTTTAAAAGCAATGGGAAATGGTTCTTTCCTTCAGCAGCCTTGGCCTTCCACAAACTCAACTGTAACCTCTGCAGAGCACTGCTTCTGTGTTCCACAGGCCAGAGAGCCTGCCTAGACTGAAACAGTGTGCTTTGCACAAGGTGCAGAAATCTTCCAGACGGTCTCATAGCAATATAGTACATGATGATAAGAAGTCCACACCATCAGCCCATCGAGTCCAGTATCAATATGGATAAGCAAAAAAAATTCACAGTAATAGAGCCATGCCCAGAATGATCTACAAGAAATTTTCGAATCCAAATTAATCCCCACTTTAATTTCAGGTCACTTTATTGACACAAATTAAATTCAGGTCCTCGTTCTTTCTCTCTTAGGCTATTAAATGACTCTTAACTGGACTCCCCTCTTTTATTAAGGCCCTCATTTATTTACTCATTCATTCAACATTTATTTTTTAAGAGCAATGTTGCCATCATTTATTTATTCACACTGCTTTTTTTTAAATCTGTTGACCCTGTATTTCCTAGGCATGAGTATCTAAAATTTTGATGAGGGTAATTTGGATTCAAGAACATTTTGACTCTGCCTAAAAACCTACTAACCCATACGTGTTTATTATCAGATAATGTACACAACAGAAAGCCTCTGCTCAGCCATGACTCTTGCTTCCACCTGACCCAGGGTCCCAGCATCTTGACCTGCTGCACTGGGGAAGCAGAAGACACCATCAGAGAGGTTGGTAGGGACGAAATCATGAACATCTGTGGATATCCTGCCAGTGCCATTCTGCAAACTGTAGGATCCACTGAAAGGTTTGAGCAGGAGGATCATGAGATCGGACAGAAGCTTGGGTTGATGGAAGGAATGTTAAATAGTATGACTATTATAGTCCCCCAGTATGCTGGGAGAAACAGAGATGAAAAGAAGGCTGAGAGCAGGGATGAAAGCCCTCAATGGACAAGGGGAGGAGGACGTAAAAGCTAAGGAATGGACAGGGCTGAGCTGATAGCATGATTTTCAAAGGACAGCGTTTTACAGGAGTCCTGGTGGCAACAGGGAGTTAAGAAATGCAACTGCATCCTCCCAGTGCACTGCCTTCTCTACCCCACAGCTCCCAGAAAGCTAACAAGTTCATCTCAGCATGTCTCTCCACTTTGTAAAATTCCTCATGACTCCCATCTCCTCTGGGTGAACACCGTTTACGAGCTTTGCTTCCCTCCACAACCCAGAACTGTTGGCTCCTATCAGGGTGACAGAGCCCCAGCACTCTGCCTGTGCACATGCTGGTCCTTCTGCCTGGGGCCTTCTTAGTAATCCTAACAGATTCCCCCTCAGCCCATCCTGACCCTACGGCCTCACTGATTGTCTGCCAGGTGTGCTCAGGGAGCCCCTCTACTTAACTCTCTTGTGGTACTTTCTCTATTGTGTAGTGATTAGTGATACAGGGGTCTCTTCTCCTACTAGACTGATCACTTTGAGAACAATAAATTTTTTATCGTTCTCTGTATCTCCAGACCATAGCCTTGTGTCTGAAATGTAGCAAGAACTCAGTAAACATTGACCAAAGTGGCATTTGCCTACCGAGCTACTGAGTTGATGCCTGTCACAGGAAGGCTTTAATTTTATTTGATTCATAATCTCAGAGAGTCACCTCTAACTCACACACGGTTTCCGAGAATGACTGTAAAGATCTAGTTCTCAAATGGACATATATAAATAACAGGTAGGAGCCCTCACCCTAATGCTTGCATGGAGGAAATAAAATGACACTTTTCCAGAAGCAAAAGGAAGAAACTTCTCCTACTTCACCCCCTTTAAGTGCCCTTGGCCACACCCAACAGTTCCCCGGCAAAGAACTTTGCTTTACTTGCAGCTTCTATGTTGAACCGGCCACGCCTCTGAGGGAGTGTTTGGTCACCTTCCATGATGTCTCTAGTAGTCCAGCCCTTGCTGTTGATGGCCCCTGGACCCTGCTGAGATGGCATATGCCTCTGTGGAAGAACAAGTGGAACACCCATGCATAAATACGGAAAGAGGAAAACACCACCATCCTGCCCCACCTACCATCCCCAGCCTGCTTTTGTTATCTACATATTCTGTGTCAGATGAAGCCGTGTCCAATTCATTTGGGTTTTTTTTTGTTTGTTTGTTGGTTGGGTGGTTTTTTTTTTTTTTTTTTTTTTTTTTTGAGATGGAGTCCTTCTCTGTTGCCCAGGCTGGAGTGCAGTGGTGCGACCTCGGCTCACTGCAACCTCTGCCTCCTGGGTTCAAGTGATTTTCCTGCCTTAGCCTCCTGAATAGCTGGGACTACAGGTGCCCACCACCACGACTGGCTAATTTTTGTGTGTTTTTTTTTTTTTTTAGTAGAGATGGGGTTTCGCCATTTTGGCCAGGCTGGTCTCAAACTCCTGACCTCAAGTGATCCGCCCACCTTAGCCTCCCAAAGTACTGGGATTACAGGCATGAGCCACCACACTGGGCTCAATTTATTGTTTTTAATTTGCTTCTACTATATCTCCCTGGGTCCTTCTTATCACTTTGTTATTCACCAAGGTATTCACCAAGGTCTGGCTACCAAAATTACTACCAGTTAACTGCTCCTAGCATGGGTAGAAATCTCCTATTGGTGGCGGGAGCAAAGAAAGTCATTACCTGAAAAAGCATTATTTTCTGGCACCTCTAGTGTTGCTGCTATATAGATTTCTAAATGCCACATCATAACTATGCACTATTTTAATACAAATATTAAAACGTGATAAACATTTCTCCTCAAAGACAATTCCTCAATTGCCATATTTTATGATACAAAGAGGAGGCATCCTTTGGAAGTGCCCTCATGTTTCGTCAAGTTTATCTGAAGAAAAATATCGGCACAAAAAAGCAAGATCAATGTTAATGCTTACTTCGCACCCCCAAATTTCATGCTGTAATTATCTATTTTTTAAAGAATGGCTGTACTTTTACATTCTCTCCCTGGGGACAACTTCAAGTAGCTTATTGTGTTAAGAGGCCAGGAAGTTGTCTTTCACTCTTTCAACTTCTGAACTTAAAGCCAGATCCAGACACTTGAGGAGAGGCCTCCGAGGCAAGAGGCACCAAGGATTTTAGGAACGCATGTCAAGTCTCCTGGGCTTTCCTTCGCTGTGAGATATTAATACTTCGTAGAGTTTTGACAATGGTTGTTTGGCCACAAAGGTATTTAACTGGAGTTAGCCACTGCCCTTTCCGCCAGAAGTTTTTGAAAAGGAAGACTGCAGAGAGTGGGTTCATCAGAGCCTCCACTCATCCTTGTGGAAGAACTCTCTCCCTAAGGAGTTTGGTCTGTGCCTTTGAGCATTCCAAAGCCTGCAACTTCCCATGGCTACATATGGCCCATTGACAGTTAGCAGCTGTCAGGTGAACAGGCCGCGCACACCCAGCTGGTCAATTGAAGCCATGTTTAGACAAAATGAATGGACACAGCCCATCAGTTCCATTTGGCCATCAAAGCAATTGATGCAGATCAGCTGGGCTCATTGCAACTACAGAGATGAGCGAGGGAGCCTGGAGCTCATCAAAGTGAAGCAGACAGCCACACCACAGTCCTGGCTGCAGGGCAGTCTCCACACACCTGTGCTGAGAAAGGGGAAGACCTGCTCCACAACTGTTGTTGTTCATCTTCCTTTTAGTCAGGGACTCATTGTGACCTCAAGTCCCCACCACCAAAGTCTCTCTCAAGAAGCATTTCCTAAAATGTCATTGCTGAGCATCTGGTCCAGCAGAGGAAACCAACTCGAGACTCCAGAGAGATTTCAAGAGACCTTGAGTCTCTTTCCTTACCAAATGCAGGCTGTAGTGGAAAAGGAGTATTTACCCTATTTGCTCCATCACATGTTAAATATTGAAGAAAAAAACTTGTAAAACATAATACAGTCACACATGTAGAACAATCAAGGTGCCCATTCCCTCTAAAACAACCAAGGTGTCCATTCCCTCTACTGCCTAAAATTTACAAGATTTAAAAAAAAACAAATCTCTTTTGAAGAGTTAAAAACAGCACATAATCTGCCTGCAGACATAAAATATTTTTCTATAAACTTATTAGCTCTTCTAGAGACAGGCTGGCCTTCATGATGAATAAAGAAAACTAGTTATCAAAATAGTTTCAGCATGTTTCAAAAGAGGAAAAAGACAGACGACACTTCAAAATCTGTTTGAGAAAACAAAAGTTGTATGGCATCCAACAACTCCAGGGCTGATGCGATGAGCTCCAAGCTTCTCACCAAACATGTGGGCCCCTGCAGAAATATGCCAAAACAACACAGTTTGGGCTCATTGTATCCTAATTAATACTATAATGAGTTTCCTTAGATAGCCAAATTCTTAATCAGTCCTATCAAAACTATGTCTGCCCAGAAAAAGATTCATGTTAATTCTGCTTAATGCCTAACAGTGGTTAAGCACCATTAATACTCCATAATTTCATTGTATGTTATTGTAATCATATCAGCGTATATCTCAGTGGCTACGCAAAGCTCAATAGGCTGCCTTGAATTATCAGTCACGTGACTCTGCTTCACTAAGAGACTATCTTCCATCACAGCCAGACCTCCTTTGCCCTCCCCGCAGTCAGTAGCCTAAGCAGGTATTAATAAAGGTCTCCTTTTTTAAATTGCACAGCTCTAAATGGTCTTTAAGGGACCCAGCAGTAATCTCAAGATCCCTATATTTTAGCAGGAAGGCAGGACAGAGGAATTAATAAGAGCCCTTTCTGTGTAAACTGCTCCCTGCTCTAAGGCTATACCGTGATGTCAGGGCGCTAAGAGAATTTTAAATGCACAGGATGGATTGTTTGTGTTGCAAAAGCGAAACAGGGGGCAAAGGCTAAGAGACTTGAGAAAATTGAAAGACTGCCAGGATGCTGGGATGCAAATAGCAACAAAACAGGGATAAATGCTCCTGCTCACATATGCAGGAGTCCTGCAGAAGGGGAAAAAAAAAGGTTATTAATTTTCACCAGGCTGTATCTTACAGCTGGTGGCTCAGCATCAGTTTTTGGTGTAATGAAAATGGTCTGAGCAGAAGATAAATGGTTCATAAAGTGGACCATTTAGATGCAATCGAGGCTCAATCTGCCCAGTGACTAATCACGTCCCCCCAGTAAAGCTGAATTCCACTAACAGACTTTTTTTTTTTTTCCGGCTGTACCAGTGAATTGTAGCCGGGTCTAAGTTCAAGGCAGGCAGAGAATTATCTTGATTTATTAGTGCACTCCCTAGCTGTGCCACTCGCTCGGCTGTGCCTTTGTGGGCTTCTGCCCTGTTGCTGTCGGAGTGTAATTTTTACTGTTCCCCCGTGACTAGTACACAGCATCATTTTCAGCTGCTAGAAAAATGGGCTGCTTTTCCACCTGTAATTTTTCTTCTTTTGCTGCTGAAGGTATATAATATATCTCTAAAGTGCGTAATAAGTTTCTGAAAAACGTGTTTTTAAAAGAAATTGATTCCAGTAGTTTGTAAGCCTGAGCAAGGCCACATAAGGAAATGCACCAGATTGCAAAGGTATGCATGCTTGGCGAGGCAGCCATTTTTTCCCTTCCATTTAGTGAATTCCGACTTCTAGTCCAGAGTGTAATTTCAGACATTTTTCTATACAGTAGTGCTTCTCATAATGAACTCTGATCAAATAAAAATGTTGTTTATATTGAGACTTTACAAGTCCTGATTATGTATAAAATAGAGTAGAATCCCTCATAATGACATTTAATTGTGAGAAAGAAAAGATTCCAATAGAAGAGCATTCAGCTGCATTTGTTCCATGTTCCTTTGCATAATGCCGTTTATAGATCGTTCAATTATGACATTATTATGAGCTGCATAAGAGTAACTCACTGGTTCCCCATATTTTTAGACCTATGGAAAATAAACTTGGGTGCGATTTTCGCTATTTTGACTGCGACTTAGTCACAAAAGGCCCTTCATTTTTAGAAGAACTGACTGCACCCATTTGGCTAACGAACTCTGATGCTTCACCTTTGATCTTGCAAGCATCTTCAGAGAAGAACTCACACTGTTGAGGACACTCGGAAAAGTCAAGTCTCCTCCTCTTTGATACTCCAAAGATTCTAACTAAACATTATTAATAACCCAACCAATGGCAGGGGGAGGGTTCTGAGCGGGCTTATTCTGAGACTTCCAAGGTTATTTTTCTGTTTTCTGAAGGACCTGACAGATACGATAGGTAAATTATCAGGCAATAAGCAGGGGGGAATGCTGCCTAAAACCTCAGTGATCATACATCTTCAATAAAAGGAGCCCAAGTTCTCAGATACTGCCTCTGTGGTTTCATTCTTTCAATAACATCAGTTTTCTGAAGGTGGCAGAAAGTGTAATTCATTACTTTCCAAGCAGCCTCTCAGAACTGCAGGTCTATTTAGCAGTCTAGGCGCTCACCTGCCTTCTTCCCTTTTCCATGGAGCTTTGACCAGTTCAGCCAGGAACTGGCTTTTGCAGCACAACAAATGGGCTTAGATGATGCTGACCACACCCACAGCTCTGGCAGCAAAAAAACGTAGCGAAGCATTACAGTCCTCATTTGCAGCCACATGTATTAACAGGACACGTTTTGTAACAACACAAGCAGAACAACCAATGATTTCTGTCATTCATGTAACAAACACCCATTGCATGCTTAGTATATGTCAAATACTATGATGGGTTTGCAGAACACACAGATGAATGAGGCAAAGCTCCTTCCCTTAAGAACTTGCAATCCTGAATGGCTAATGACTAAATGAATGAATGGATGCATGCCTCTGGCCTGCACAATGCTCAATGTATTAGAAAAATACAGTGAAAGGTCAAGAAGCCTCTGTTTCTAGTCAGAATCACCTAGGATGGGTGTGGCTTTGGGGAAGTCACTTAATTTCTCTATACCTTGCTCCCATAACTCTAAAATGAGGATAAGGATCTTTGCTCCATTCATCACTCAAGATTGCTCCGGGAACTAATGACATGGCATTTGTGCAATTGCTTTGATGCACCATGGGAAGATAGGGAATTATTATTATTGCCTGGAAGGTAAGAGGTTGTCATAGAGTTGTGGACATGCCCTGTCCAAGGACACCTGAAATACAGCCCACTCTGGGCTCATCAAACCCTGTGATTGGGCATGGGCCTGGGACGTCACTGGAGAAAGGAGCATGTTTTCCTAATTTGCGCAAAGGCACCAAATGGGCTAGTAACAGTGTGTGCAAATGTGCAAAGTATGTCAAAGCAATTCTTGGAGCCATTCCATCACTGAGCATTTCCGTAAGCTGTAAGTGCTCGGGCCTCCACTTGCTCCTATTACTATCTACACTGGGCTCTGACATCAAGCTATAATATCTTGGAAAACTACACCTTGGGTAAACGACATGATTCTTTTTTATTTAGCCCATGCAAATGTAGCCTGAATTTTTAATTCACAAGAATATAAATGTCCTTGGAATGAGAAGGTTTTCGTAAGTGCAAGCATGGTTTGTACAGTGGGTGGATAAAATTTCTTAGAAATATTCCTTGATTGAATCACACTGCTGAGAGTTAAATCAGTTTGTTGTGCCCTCAACACAGGATGCAATAAACTTGGAGCCAGAATGATCTTTGCTGCTTCTAAGCCTCCCCCAGCAATCCAAACTCACAACCCTGCCGCATCATTAACTCTGCCCCAGGCCGCCTCATAGTTGTTATAGTGCGGATAAATGCTGAAATTACATATTTTGTTTTGTTTACATTTTTGTTTTTTCTTTTCCCATTTAGGGAAATCCAGCAAATCTTGAACCTGCTGCCTCACCTGTCAAATAAAGATACTGAGACCCAGCAGGACCACCAGAAGATGGGAAAGGTAAAGAATCAGATACAGGCTAAGATGAGCACTTGACAGTACCAGGCAAAGGGCCCCAAGAACGCCTGAATCCTGCCCAAAACATAGGAAGTCTTACACACAGATCCCTGTGGGGCAGATAAACCTCAATGACAATGGCAAATAAAATGAAAGTAACTGCCCCCACCATGAGTCTGGAACAGTGGCAAGGCCCCAAAACCATCTGTTGGTTTAGACTTCCTCCAAGTAAAGCAGTGGATAAAAGAGATAAGAGTGTCTGGGCACAACCAAGAGAAGAGAAGGCAGAGTTTCCTGCTTGACATCACACCAGCCACAAGAGATGGAGACAGGGCCAGGGGTTGCGTGTGATGGAGTGGCTATGGGGCTGTTGGAGGGAGAGGTAGACCAGCAGTCTGATTACCCCTTCTGCAGCCAGCAGGAAAGGATGAATAGAGTACCAGAGGGAAGCAAACCTAGGAGCCTAATTTGAACTTACAGTAGCTTTACCCATTCGAAAAATAGCATTCTGCAGTAAAACCAACAAATAACAACTCCTCAGAGGTGGTAAGTTGGGGGCTGGGAGACTAGATGCAGAAGTGGGTCTGGAGCACCTGACACCTACTAGGTACTCAGGATCCAACAGTGACTATGACCGTAATGATCTTTGTGTGTGTGTGTGTGTGTGTGTGTGTGTGTGTGTCTGTGTGTGTGTGTTTCTTTTTTAAGACTAAGTATTGCTCTGTCACCCAGGCTGGAGTGCAGTGGCACAATCTCAGCTCACTCCAACCTCTGCCCCCCAGGTTCAAGCGATTCTCCCACCTCAGCCTCCCAAGTAGCTGGGACTACAGGCGCGCACCACCACGCCTGGCTAATTTTTTGTATTTTTAGTAGAGATGGGGTTTCACCATGTTAGCCAGGCTGATCTTGAACTCCTAACCTCAAGTGATCCACCTGCCTCAGCCTCCCAAAGTGCTGGGATTACAGGCGTGAGCCACCACACCCAGCCCACGATGATCTTATAATAGAAGGTTTTCCAAAGAAAATGGGCTACAAAGAATTCATCCCTTCTGAGTGACTAAATGAGGGTGACCCTCAGGACTGCAACACAGGGATATGTAGGTGGTGGTCCTCGGTGAAGCTGCCCCACCTCACTCCACGGTTGTCTCACATTGGGGAGTTTTTGATTTTTTGAATAAATTTTGTATGCCCTGAAAGGATTGGCAATAATGAAAGATAGAGTTACATGACCTCATAACTTCTATTATTTTTTAAAGTATGTGCAAAACAGAGAGTGGCCCAGGGGCTCTTGGCTGCCATTTGTGTTGAAAGACAAGTCCTTATTGTTTCCACCATCTAAGTCTTAGGATGCTGAATGGCTTACTAGTTCTATGTTTGCAAGTAAAATTAACACTTCTCTCTAGAAGTTATTGGCTTGTCTCTAATAACACGTGGATTAATGTAGTATCTATTTGTCTCTATGCTAAGATAATCATGACAACCAGGTAAAATATTTATCAATAGAAACTTGAATCCAAATACACTAAAAAATTCACTGAGTAAATTTTACAAGCCAGTCGAAACTAGGTGTAAGACCTCCGCCAATGGTGACAGCATCCTACATGATAAATATTGGAGACTAGGTTGCTACGTTGGATCTGAAGACAAAAATAGAGAGAAAGAATTCACATGGACAGAGACAGCACTGCCAGGGCCCGACACATTCATAGGTTCTGTACGTTTCTGTGAACCTCTTTATATATACTGATGTGACAATATATTTGTCCTGTCAGTAGGGGTGTGTGTGTGCGAGAGGGACAGAGAGAGAAGGAAGAGAAGAGTATGTGTTATTCATGCAAAGACACGAGTATGCTAATTGGCTAATTATTTATTGATTAGACAACGAAAGATGATGTTTAAAGCGCAATTGGCCACATATTATTGACTTTTTTCCTCTACTTAGGAAAACTGTTCTCTAAGTGGAAAATTACATTAACAGTAATAATAAAAATAATAAGCATCATTCCAAAAGCTGACATCTTAATTTTATCTTTACATAATGTCATGTTCTATTACAGTCAAATTTCTTAAAAATGGGTCCATACATAGTTTCAAATTTTTATCCAGCTTGGCAAATGGTACAGTTTAGCCAAAGCCTAAAGGGCTCCATTCTCTCCTTACCCAGAATCAAGATGGACCATAAGAACTGATGGATTGACCAGGCAGGAACTTACAACACCCTCTAGTTTTCACGTTCTGTTTTCCTTTGTGCTTTCTACCAGAGCCTGGCTGAGACTTCTAAAGGTGAAGGGCAGCATATGGAAGCTCCAGGGGATTTAAATCAGAGGTGCTGCCTTAGCAGTTGACAATATTCAAAACTACTTCTCAGACTATGCTTTACCCCAGGACAAAGTTGGTGGGCAAGGGAAGAGCCTGGGCAGAATCCTACTTGCCAGCCACACTTAAACTTTCTTCTGCCTTTTCGAATCACGTGCTTGGCAAGAGGGTCCTTTGGTTAGGTTCAGAAACCAAGGTGGGTGCTCAGTCCCCATTTGTCCTTGTTCGGAATGTAGCTTTTCCTGCTAGGCAGCAAAAGAAGGCAGGCATTGATCCGACACCTCACCTTTCTACTGAGATTTCCAAAGCACTGGCATGACCCATACCCTGCATGTGATTGTCAACCACAGATATAAGAGCAGCTGAGGATGGAAAAAAATCATTATATCCATGATCTGTGTTTACATCTCCAAAATCAAACACCCGCATAGTGCAGCCATTGAAAACAGCCTGGAAAAAGAAAGGACATGGGGTCACATGATATTTTAACAGCATCAAGATCCAGGCCTTGGGTATAGCTTCTGAGGGTGAGAGGGTGCATTCTTTACTCACTAAGTACCCAGCTAGGGACCTAAAGTCTACAGGCTTCGGCAGGAATTTCAGTCTAGCCAAGCCATTCAAATGATGTGTAGAAAGAGCATCAGTGAAAGAAGTAAACATTCTGGCATCTCTGAGTTTTAGTCAATATTTTTATGGACCTGATTGCTATAACCTCATAATGAAGTGTCACCATGGGGCTCAAGATACCTAAGCAGCTGCAAATACCAATTCCTAAAAAGTTTACAACCACAAAGAAAAGAAGCCTTCCTTGTGTTAGCACTTGATTCTTCACAGGGAGAATTTATCAAACATTGACCTGATGTTTGAGCAACCGATGGTACCTGCTGCTCTCAAAAGAATATTTTAATACTTAAGTGTTAGACCTGAAACCATAAAAACCCTAGAAGAAAACCTAGGCAATAACATTCAGGACATAGGCATGGGCAAGGACTTCATGTCTAAAACACCAAAAGCAATGGCAACAAAAGCCAAAATTGACAAATGGGATCTAATTAAACTAAAGAGCTTCTGCACAGCAAAAGAAAAAATCATCAGAGTGAACAGGCAACCTACAGAATGGGAGCAAATTTTTTCAGTCTACTCATCTGACAAAGGGCTAATATCCAGAATCTACAATGAACTCAAATAAATTTACAAGAAAAAATCAAACAACTTCATCAAAAAGTGGGCAAAGGATATGAACAGACACTTCTCAAAAGAAGACATTTATGCAGCCAAAAGGCACATGAAAAAATGCTCATCATCACTGGCCATCAGAGAAATGCAAATCAAAACCACAATGAGATACCATCTCACACCAGTTAGAATGGTGATCATTAAAAAGTCAGGAAACAACAGGTGCTGGAGAGGATGTGGAGAAGTAGGAACACTTTTACACTGTTGGTGGGACTGTAAACTAGTTCAACCATTGTGGAAGTCAGTGTGGCGATTCCTCAGGGATCTAGAACTAGAAATACCATTTGACCCAGCCATCCCATTACTGGGTATATACCCAAAGGATTATAAAACATGCTGCTATAAAGACACATGCACAAGTATGTTTATTGAGGCACTATTCACAATAACAAAGACTTGGAACCAACCCAAATGTCCATCAATGATAGACTGGATTAAGAAAATGTGGCACATATACACCATGGAATACTATGCAGCCACAAAAAATGATGAGTTCATGTCCTTTGTAGGGACATGGATGAAGCTGGAAGCCATCATTCTCAGCAAACTGTCTCAAGGACAAAAAACCAAACACCACATGTTCTCAGTCATAGGTGAGAATTGAACAATGAGAACACATGGACACAGGAAGGGGAACATCACACACTGTGGCCTGTTGTGGGGTTGGGGGATGGGGGAAGGATAGCATTAGGAGATATACCTAAGGTTAAATGATGAGTTAATGGGTGCAGCACACCAACATGGCACATGTATACGTATGTAACAAACCTGCACGTTGTGCACATGAACCCTAAAGCTTAAAGTATAATAAAAAATTTTAAAAAAAAGAATATTTTACATAAGCAGGGTCAAAGAGTCAAAATAGGATCTGCCTATGTAGCCTCAAGTTTCTTTTTATGGACAAGGAGTAAAGGCTCAACTGCTTTAAAGTATTGAAGCAGAAGTCTTCAATTTCCAGCTCAGTGATGGTTGCTTGGGAAAAGCAATGCACGTTTTAGGTTTAAAATCACTGTTCAAACAACTGATCCTTCCCTTCAGCCCACAGATCTTTGTTGAGCATATACCATGTGCCTGCTACTGTTCTGGGTGCTAAAGATAATGTCAGTAAACAAAACAGACAAAAATCTCTGCCTTCATGGAGCAAAAAATGTCTGTGTATTGATTTGATAAAAACATCCCCACCCTCAAATATCCCCACAAAGAGTGTTACCAAGACAACCGAATTTTGTTTTTGCGGAGTATTAATTTCTAAGCTTCACTTACAATCAAAGACACTTTAATACATACACTTTGATGAGGCAATAAAAATGGGAGCAGTGGCATAGAACACTAAAGTCAACTGTTTCTGCAGGGTTGAAATTGTTGATGCAGTGAACTAGTAAAAATCCCAGTGTTATGTTTGTAGTTGTATTCAGCCAATCCTACCCTGGACCAATTCTAGGAATGAAGTGTACAGGTCAGAGTTCAAAACCCTTCAGTCAGTCCTCACATGGGTCACAGTCCTGAAGGAGAAGTCTGTCCCCTTGGGAATTCGACCTGAGCCCACCAACTCACCCCACAGTCCACACCCATGCAAGGGTGAAAAGTGTCTCTTGGGGGCTTTGCAGGTTCTGGTTGGATGTCAGCCAGTCATTCAGAGTAAAAGTTGTCCAGCTCTGACAACCCACAGCCATCCAACTCCCTGCAAGGTAAATGGCTTGCCTGTGCTTGCCCCGTTCCTTTCTTCCTCCTTCATTTTTCATTTGTCTTTATCAGCGGACGTCTGGAAAACCTAATTGCTGTTATTTCCATCTTGAACAGGCTAATAGGTATCAGAGAGTCAGAGAAGGAAAGGCTTTTTTTTCTTCTGAATTTATAATAATAATAATAATAATAACAACAACAATACGATAAAAGCCCATATTGGTAAGGGAAATATAACTCAGTCTTTCACCTTAACAAAATTTGCTTTCATTTAAACAGAATATGCAGCCCAGCTCCTTGACTACTTTGGTGCATTGCATTCACCAGCGCACCAGCGTAAATAAACCTACCGCGTTAGAGCTGGGAAGGCTGCTATTTTAAAGATGAAAAAATTTCAGCTTCTGGATGGCTGCTTTCATTTAACACAGCTTCAAATGAATTTATGAACTGTTCTATAATGTTTTCTGCATACACCAAATGGCAGACTTTAGGCAGAAACCCAATATATGTTTAGTTAGTATATAATAAACATAATATTTACATGGGCTATGCACTGTGTGAAGAATCAAGAGCAGTTGCTCTATAAACTGTTATTGAATTCTCTAACATACAGCCCTCAACCAAGGGGTCCATCAAGATTCTAGAAGAATTCTTGAGAAGAGGCCCTGACCTCCTCCCAGTGCACACACGCACATGTGTGTTTGTTGGCACATATACGTGGGTGTACAAACCTATGCCTCTTTCATTTAAAAATATCTCTTTAATCAAAATCTTGACAACAATCTCATTTTCCTCAGCCGCTAGGATGACAATGTAGTTTTAGATATTGTTTTTAACTTTAAAGGTGTCTCGGTGGTTTTGAAAAATGTTCCAGGAGCTAAAAAAAATTGTTTTAAAAAAATTAAATCCCAGTAGATAGAGAAGCCAGTTCATTTCTTAGGCAATAAACAGAAAGCCGGGGTGGGGGGTGCTGAACAAGCATGCTCATACGGAATTTTTCTCTTGAAAAGCCCACTAGTTAGGCATTATAACAGTTCAGTTGATATTTCTACAGTGCAAACACGATAGTGGAAATTAAGTTGCCCCAGAAAATTCAGTTTAGTGGAAATTTGTTATGAATAAAATGCTGCTATTGGCCCTAGAACATTGAATTTATCCACCAAATAATATCTCAGAAATACCACTTCAGAAGAAATCAGCTCTAAATAATTGATAAATTTGGTTTGTTTGGAAACCTTTTGACCTCTGTAATAGAAAGTAAAAACACATTTCAGTTATTAAAGTCACATATATTCCCTCTGGTGGGGGAGCTTTTAATTTTAAGCTGGACTCTGTAGGGGCCATTTGATAAAGCTTAGAGAAATTTTTCAACTGCTGCTGCTGGATTTGGGTCAGCCTCCTTTGGGAAAATGGCAAAAGATAAATCTGTAGTTTTTCATAACGTACTGGAAAACTTCAGAGGTTTTAAACATTAAGACCTATTGGAAGCAAAAGGATTTTTTTGGTAGCCCCTTTTCTTGACTACCTTCCCCCATCCAAAGTCTCTCTCTCTCTTTCTTCATTTTGTTTTGAAAGAAGTTTAAATGTTCACGCTGTTAAAATAAAGGAACAGTGAATCAGCATATCCTATTAATGTAAGACATTTCATTTTAGATAAGAGCTGTGTCTTTTATCTGCTGTATTTAGTGCAATTCTTCTGAAGTTTCATAGAGAAAAGAGCAAGATACTATTTAAAGTGTTTGCTTTTTTGAATTTGTTTTCAAATACACTTATTAAATAATTTTATTGGCCAAATCTATTTTATAATAAAAGCATTGCATAGTGAATGTTCCCCAGCACGCCTTTCTAAGTTAAAAAAAATGTACAAGCAATACAAAGGATTTACATTTTGTAACATTATTATCAAAATCATTAAGACATACTTAAAAACACAGCTCTCTACGATATTTTTATGATGAAACTCTGGGAAAAATTCATCTCTATTGTTATATTTACCTAAGATAATGTGTTCAAATAATATAGCTCAGGTAAGAGGATTTTTATGAGCACGTTATAAATACTGTGTCTTAAGAGCATACATTGAAATGATGTCTCTACTATCCGTGTGTGTGTGTGTGTGTGTGTGTGTGTGTGTGTGTATCTAGCATAGCCTCACTTGCATTTGGGCATTACTTTATTGCACTGTAGGCTTGTGAAGGTAAAGGGTTATATATGATCTTTATCGTGTTTCCTAGGAAGCCAATTCACCCTTTGTGCCCAATAGATGATTAAAAGTATTCATTGTTAGAAAACGTTACCCTGACTCAAACATCAGACATGACTAGTGATGCTTATAAAGCCCCTCCCAAGTAAACCATTTCCTAATTATGGGAAAGTAAATTTCCCATAATTCTTGATCCTACTTTTCAACGTTCTCCTACTAGGAACCCCACACTCCAGATTTCTTTGTTTCCATGAGTTCCACCCCCATGACACCCCATCCACTCCCTCTGCCTCCTCTCAGTCACATCACAGGCCTGTGTGCTCCCTTCTGAGTAGCCTTCTTTCCTTCCACATGTACTGGGCACTATGGCCAATCACAGGGGCTGGATTCTCAGGGCTTTTGGATAAAGACATAGATGTGGAGTTCCCAAAAGATGGGGAAAGAGTTCTTATCTTGAAGTGGTGAAACACAAGTGGCAGTTGATAATGACCTAGCCCTTCAGCTTGATTTGGAAGCCACCTGACTCAAGAGTATTGGGAGGTTGGTATAGAATTGATGCAAAAAAAAAGTATGTATAAAATATCATGTGTATAAATAAGAGAAGTAACTTCTCTGTTTCTCAACTGAGTGTGAAAGTGGAGGGTTTGAGAGGGAGGAAGAGAAATCGCTGAAAAAAAAAAAAGTGAGTGCATATCTCAGTGTCTGAAGAAAGGAGAGTTCACCAAGCACCAGGTAATGCAATTGTCCTTAATAATAAATATCCTCATTTCCCTAGATTTCAAAAAGCTGCTCAGAGAAGCTCTGAAATGAAACAAGACCATGCTAATCTAGTGTGTTAGTAACTTCAAGGCAATGGAAAGTCCTGCCTATGGGCTCTTTTCTCCATGCACGGGCACATATGACATCATGCTTGCATGACTACATCTTACTCTCTTGCAAAAGGAAAGAATCAGGGCTAGTCTTCACCATTTGGGATTTGTGCTTCCTCAACATTTATTTAGATTTTTATCTTTAGGAAGCAATTGGTTGAAAACAAATGATGTGTTCCCTGATTCACACAGAAAAGAGGATTCTGAAGGACTAGGACCTATACAGATGAGGATGGCTGTTACTTAAAAAAAAAAAAAAGAAAGAAAGAAAGGAAAAAAGGAAATAAGGAAGAGAAGGGAAGGGGAGGGGAAGGAAGAGGAGGGACAGGAGGGGAGGCGAGGGAAGGGCAGGGGAGGAGGGAATGAGGATAGAGGGGGAGAGAGACAGAGAGAGACAGAGAGAGAGAGAAATAAGAAAGAAAGAGAGAAGGAAGGAAGGAAGGAAAGAAAGAGAAAGAAGGAAAGAAAGAGAAAGAAGAAAGAGAGAAAGAAAGAAAGAAAAAAGAAAGAGAATGAAGGAAAGAAAGAGAAAGAAGAAAGAGAGAGAAAGAGAAAGAAAGAGAAAGAAGGAAAGAAAGAGAAAGAAGGAAAGAAAGAGAAAGAAGGAAAGAAAGAGAAGAAAGAGAGAGAAAGAAAGAGAAAGAAGGAAAGAAAGAGAAGAAAGAGAGGGAAAGAAAGAGAAAGAAGAAAGAAAGAGAGAGAGAAAGAGAAAGAAAGAAAGAAAAAGAAAGAAAGATGTGAGACTGTAGAAAAATCAGAACCCTTTTCATTGCTGATGTGAATGTAAAATGGTACAGCTAATGTGGAAAACAGTATGGCAGCCTCAAAAAATTCACCATAGAACTACCATATGATCCAACCATCCCACTTCTGGTACATACTCCAGAAATTGAAAGCAGGACCTCAAAAAGATATTTACACACCCATGTTCATAGCAACATTATTTGCAATAACCAAAAGGTGGAAGCAACCCACATGTCGACAGCTGAATGGATAAACAAAACGTGGGCTATACATACAATCAAATGTTATCCGTAAAAAGGAAGATTCTGACACAGGCTACAACATGGATAAATCTTTGAGACATTATTCTAAGTGAAATAAGACAGTCACAAAAAGAGAAATACCATATGATTCCACTTATATGAAGTTCCTAGAGTAGTCAGATTCGTAGAGACAGAAAATAGAACAGGGGTTGCGAAGGGAGGGAGGGAAGGAGGAAGGAATGGGGAGTTAGTATTTAACAGGTAGAGTTTGGTTTGGAAAGATGAAATAGTTCTAGAGATAGATGATGGCGATGGTTGCCCAACAATTTGAATGTACAATGTGAATGCCACTGAACTGTGAACTTAAAAATAGCTAAAAATATAAATTTTGTGTTATGTGTACATAACCACAATTTTAAAAATAAGGACCAGTACCACTACTCACTGGAATCTCCTGATAAAAAATCCATAAATCCAATATGAGCAGATCTTTCCATTCATGTCAATAAAAGTGCACCCAAAATGATAAGCCTTATTTAATACTATTGCTGCCTTATCTTCTGTTTTATATTCTCTTTTCTGTTATGTTCATCCTATTGCTTTGCCTAGACCTAGCAGTGAGAGAGGGCTTCTAGTCTTGTTCTTGACTCTGAAACGGATGTGTCTAGAAGTTCACAGGGACCGGTTTCTAATAAGCTCCCCCTTATGTCTGGGACATTTTCTTCTATTCTTAATTTCCTATGAATTCTTATTAAGCATGAATAGTTTCTTCTATTACATTCATGGATCAAATTTGTTTGTTTTTCTTTGAGGATATCAGTATTCTTTGGCTTCATATAACTTTGTTTTTCGATTACAAAGATTTTTAGGATATTCGTATGATCTCACACTTAAAATAAGCTCGAGGTTTAATAATTTGAAAGTGTTTTCAATTAATCTCAGCAGGTGGGATGTCCTCATTTACTGTGTCGTAGAATTTTAAATGAGCCATGAGCATTTTGTCACAAATATATTTTTCTTTCCTTTTTATTTTGTTCTTGTGTCTCTTTCTGGTAGGTCCCGCCTATTATAACTTTAGTTTTCCTATCATTAATTCACAAATAATTTAGAGTTCTTTCACCCAAGATCAGATCAGGCCTTCTGGAAAGGAGAGAACTGTCACTTATGACTCTATGCATTTGCTTTTAAAAGAGTTTCAAGGTGTTATTATTATAACTAGTTTGTTGCTATTTTTCAGTTTTACTCAATATCAATTATTTCAATATTAAGTGGTGTCGGTTCAAATGAAAATTAAAATATTCTTTATATGAAATACTCTTCACAATTGAGCTGGTGATGCTGTCAATAGTTAAATTTTCATTGTCATTAGAATGTTTGTCACATAAATAACTTCTTTTTTTTTTCTCCATTTCCTACTGTTAATTTTGGCAAAGACTGAAGTAAAGGTACTGTTTGAAACAACATAGCTCTCCTAAGCAAGCCAGGCTTTGAGAAGCACCATGGTGCCTAGTTACATGCCTGAAATTTGTTGCCTGGTCATTTGACCCTGAGTCCTGCTTTTATTACATCAATCACTCACTCAACTCCTTTTTTCCTCAAAAGATTTTTTTCAGTGTTCATAAACTCCTAGTTGTGAAACACGAGTGAGGGTGGAGAACTTTCATTATAGGGCATTTTGTTTAGCAGGATGAGACGTTGCATTTTTCACATTTCTCTGTCCACACATCTTTATGGTTTATTTTAAAAATGCTAAAATGGGATGAGTCTTTTACTCCCAAAAATATAATAATAGAACCTACTTCAGTCTAAAAAGATTTCATTTTGCTTATTTTAGATTACATACATTATATTTGTATGCTATTTCTATGCTACTTTAATCTGCATATACTACTTTCATAATTAAAAATAAAAAGTTATGTGACTAAATATAGCCTGTTCCTCTTCAAACCCAGATTAAATGCATGTAGATACAGGCTACATGCATGGTTTACAGGATTTACTGATTAATATAAGATCTTCTATTTTTTTTTTTTTCTTTTGAGACAGAGTTTCACTCTTGTTGCCCAGGCTGGAGTGCAATGTCGTGATCTCAGCTCACTGCAACCTCTGCCTCCCAGGTTCAAGTGACTCTCCTGCCTCAGCCTCCCAAGTAGCTGGGATTACAGGCATGTGCGACCATGCCCAGCTAATTTGGTATTTTTAGTAGAGGCGGGGTTTCTCCATGTTGGTCAGGTTGGTTTTGAACTCCCAGTCTCAGGTGATCCACCCGCCTTGGCCTCCCAAAGTGCTGGGATTACAGGCTTGAGCCACCATGCCCAGCCAACATAAGATCTTCATGACTTCACACAGTTATCTCCAGTTCTACTCTTTTAACCAAAATCTAGTCAATGTCTAACTTTCTATCGGATGTTTTACTTGAAATGTTTACAATTTCTTCCTCATACTTGCCCCAAATTGTGTACTTCTTCCCCAAACAAATCAGAAAATCCCTCCCTGCCAGTGGCACAACCATGATGCTAGTCTCCCCATCTGGGGCCATCTCATCTCCAGTACTCACGTTAGTCTATGATTAACCTTGTTTTGACTGCCCACTGAGAGTCAGGCTCTTTTTGTCTCTGAAATTTCTGAAACATTCCTTTTTCTCATTTCTGCTGTTATTCTATTTCAGGTTCTCATTATCTGTCACCTGATAACTGCAACCATTGACTTTTTTGCACTCTCCTGCCCCTGCTCCTTCTGGCCACATATATACACCCCAATAGACAGCAAGCCCACAGCTGTCTAAGCAGTATCTTGAAAAGGTCTCCTTTATTAAACCATGCTGCTGCCCAGAAATACTCGTTGGTTTACATTCTACTGCCTCAAATCTCAGCTCGTTTACTTAATCACTAGACATTTATTAAACATCTGATATACCCATTAAGAGTCTTCACAAGCTGGCTGCCTATTCTTCCACCCTGTTCCCATCACTACACAGTGCATAATATGGGTCCATCCCATGACCATGGCAGAATCATTCCTTCATTCACACCATCTCCTATGCTCTTTCTTCATCTCTAATCCTCTCCATTCTGATTTCCTTCAGACAAAATTATTTCTATCTTCGACATCAACAACTCTCCTGAAAAACATATAGTCAGTTCATCCAATTTCATATTTACTCTTTACTCTTGAGCACAATTTCTTGCCTACCAATTTATGAGCTCTTTCCAGTGAAAGTCCATATCTTCCATTCTTCTGTTACCCCTTTGGGGGTGATTAGAGTGCTTTACATGCTGAAGAAACATGTTGGTTGATTAATTACATAGCTCCCTTCCATCTGCCTACTGTATGCACTATGAAACAACCTAGAGGGCTTTATTCATAACTATATGTACTTTAGCTACTTCAAGAAAAGGGGAGACAAACAAATAAGGTTAATGGTTATTGTATAGGGACCGACTGTCTTAAGGAGAGAGAATGCAGCCAGCTAGCTCCCACGGAAAGTCATTTGGCCATATTTCTAGGAAGTTTGGCACCCTCCCAAAATAAGGTGCACTCTGGTAGACTATCATCCAGTGTGAAAACACATTTTTGAAGCTTGGAAGTAGGGTACTTCTGATTATTTGCGAATTCAAGATCAGAAGTATCTATAAATGTTTGCATTGATAGGGTGGGTGGGATTGTTGGAAATGTTCCTGTAATTAGGATCTTGGCCTCGCATCCCTTGATGATTTGCATGCGCAGACCCTGTCAATATGTTTCCAGAGAGTATAGTAAAAAAAAAAAAAAAAAAAATCTAAAAAAATACAGGAATAAAAATCAGAATTGCATTTCCTGCCTGGATTAAATGAGGAGAAACTTGAAGGGTGGGAGTTGCCCTCGCCTTTGGCCATGAGACAATTGTATCAGAGTGTTCTGTTTTGTTCTGGCTGGATAGTGTCTACTTATCAAAAGCAGGAAATTGCATTTTAACTTGGATCTGTAGGATGCTGGGGAGGGGCTGATCTGGTTAGGAGGGTGGAGCTGGGAGGAGGACAGGGGCAGAGAACAGTCAGTACTAGACCATCACAGGGCCCGCGGCCATAAGGAGATTGGCCAGAATGGAAACTGCATTTAGGGGGAAAAAAGACACGAGTTGAAGATAAGAGCAAGTTTGTCTTTTCCAGATGTGAAAAAAATTGAGGAGTTATTTCTCTGATCTGGTGGGAACATTGCTCCCACTATAGAGTTGTAGCATCCTTCCCAGCTACATAATATAAGTGCTGATTCAGTTAAAGCCCTGAAGAGGAAATAAGCGCAAAGTTTTCTGATGCCAGATTACAGGCATCATTGATATTGAGATAGGAATATCTACATGCCATGAAAGAGCCTGGGTAGGAGGAAAATGAAAGGAAAGCATATTTTGTGAGCAGTCTTTTGTTTGTGTTCAGTTTATAATGAATGTGGTGAGAGATTTGAGGACTAATTTTAGCTAATGAAAAGACAATGAGAGCTATTAGGTAATTTTAATATACAGAAATATGAAAGCAAAATCACATTTATTCACTCTTCTGTAAACAAAAGCAAATAAATACTAATTGGACATTTAGTAATTAAAATTCGATCTAACAGCATGCATAAAACTAGTTGATTCTTACCTTTTAAGTAGGTGTTCAGAAAGCACGGGATTCATCCATTTTCCAAGTAAAAGATGTGTGTGTTTTTGTGTAAGTGTGTGTGTTTCCCAAGGAAATGAAAATGGCAACAACAGGGTTTAAATATAAAAGGCTTGGCGTGTGTGCACACACACACACATGCACACGCACACACACAGAAATGTGGAATCTGTTAGAAAGACAACCAACATGAAAAAATGTGACTAAAATTATAACTGAAAGTCTACACTGGAAGTTTTTCTTCTTAGACTTTTTATTCTTTTATATTCTTGTAACTCAGGCCACATTATAATTATCATTCTGACATTATATGTTAGTGTAAATAATAAATTAAATATGCAAAAACACTACGATATTTTTCTAAATCTTGGTTGCTTTATTTCTGCTTGTTATTATAAGCCTTTCAATAAGAAAACCACCAGAGTTTTTTTTAATGTTACTGTAAATGATATTCCATCTTCTATAATAACATTAAAGAATCAAATCAGAAAATAAACCAATTCAACTAAAGGTTTATCTTCATTTGAAAAGTTTTATATTTGAGAATGGTGTACACAGACTTGGAACCAGATATTTACTAGATAGACTTTGCAGCGAATATTTAATATAAAAAATACAGACAGAGGACATTTTGAAGGCAGAATCAAAAAAGAAAGGGCAGAGAGAGAGAGAGAGAGAGAGGCCTTCCTAGGATTTAAAGTAGCTTTAGTGTCATTTTAAAAATGTTAATATTTGTAAATTTACTTAATTACAATGTTAAAGATACAGGAATCCATTTTGTATTGTAATACATATAGCAAGTAAAACCAATATTAACTTTGTGGTTATTTTAAGTGTTTTTCGTTGGAAATGCCTAGGCTTGCTTTATTTTTTTAATCTACTTAGATCCCAAACTGCTCTGGTTAAAACATAGTTAATGTACCAACTGCAATTAGCCAACTGTCATAAGGCTCAACTCCCAACCGTCGACAAGCTTCATTTAACTAATTTGA
The DNA here is from genome assembly GCF_000001405.40 of Homo sapiens. Classification (NCBI taxonomy): domain Eukaryota; kingdom Metazoa; phylum Chordata; class Mammalia; order Primates; family Hominidae; genus Homo; species Homo sapiens. The sequence continues at coordinate 104,656,649 of NC_000002.12, forward strand.
GAAGTAGAAGTTTGAATTTTTTTTTCCAGGAAGGTAGCTTGTTTCCTTATTTCCTGTCAAGAGAGCCAAGTCCTGTGACCTATGGTTAAAAGGGCTCTTTGTAATTAAGACAGGGAGTCTCCAAGTGAACAGTTCTCACAGTAGGAGGGAAAAATTAAAAAAAAAAAAGAAAAGAAAAGAAAAAGAAAAAAAAGAAGAAGAAGCATGACACTGCTTAACGAAGTAATCGGAGCGCAGCCAATGCCGGTGGGCGCCCGCCGGGCCATCTCCGCCGTCACTGGCTCGGTGTCCACTTTATGGAGCGCGGAGTCTATTAAGACCTTGGCGAGTGGTGGTGGTGCTCCCTCCGCAGTGCCTGCGCACAGACAACCAGAAACCGATCAACCGTGTTATATCAATAACATTCTCACACCAGGTTGTGTAAATTGATCTTTTACAATTTCTCTCGGTGACAGTCTCTGTAACCAACAAGATAAATCATTCCTCCTGTGTCTTTTTTATTGATTGCTGAGACCTGTATAAAAATTACACTGTTCAAGCTGTGAAGTGAACATCCTCATAAAAGAAGACTTTTTATTTACAATCAAAATATGTCTGGGCCCAGATCAAGTGCAGATAGCTCAGAACTACGTGAACAGTGAAATTTAAAGAGTCAGAGAAAACTAAAAGTTACAAAGAAACACTCCCCACCACCATAAACCAGCCATCACAAACTGTAAGACTACACACAATGTACCTCAAATTAAGATTACTATTTTCTTTTAAATAAAAAGCTTTACACATTTGATTTTAAGGTTAACAGTCAATAGAAAGCCATCTGCTAAAAACAAGAAAGGAAAACTGCCACAACCAAAATCACCTTTGCAATGGATTTTACAAACGAATACAAACTGTATCCTAGTTCTTGTTAAAATATTAAACACAAGAACCTAAAGTCCTTTTTAGCCTATCAAGAAAGCTTTGGACAAAATAATAGGACAACATGCACCCCAAAGATGAGACTTGGTCTTTTTTTTAAGAAGCTTAATTCACATTATTTTTCCATCATGAAAATATCTTTAGTTCTGTTTTAAGAATAATTTAAAATTCTGGAGTACTTAGAATTTTTCAAATGTAGTTTAAATATAGACAATTGATATCTTTCAACATATTTTATACAAATCATATATTGGAATGTAAACTTTCTTTTCAATTCTAGCTTTATATTCTATTAAAGGATTAAACACATTTTCAATTCAAAAACACTGTTTTGAGAAGAGTTTTCAAGTTAAAAGTCTGTGTATAGTATCCCTGAAACTTCTTGAAGTTTCCCTTTGGGTGCGCAATTTTGAATCACCTGCTAATAAATGTGGTCGCTTACGGCCTTAGCCCCAGAATTCACTTTTTTGAGAAAGTGCAAAGAAACGTTGAATCTTTTTGCATCATCTCATAAGAGGAGTTAATGATGTTTATAAAATAGAGAGAATTACCCTAAGTTATTGCCGCCTAAAATCACTTTCTATGCATGCCCTGTAGGCGGGTATTGTGTTTCAACTCAAATAGCATTTCACAGACCTAAGAATCTGAGCGTAGCTTTTTGTATACATCTAAGCGTCAGGACAGAGATAGTCCTTTTTGTGCCTTCCCCTTGAGCCTTTGCCCGGTTTCTCTGAAGCTGTGCTCTTTATTTGCAGTTTTAGAGAAGGCCCTTTCAACGCAACAGGCCGGTGGAGGAGGGGGAGAGAGGACTGTCTGGGCAGTGTCCTCACTTTGTTGGCCAGGAGGAAAAGTGAGAGCGTGGAAGTGTGGTGTTGAGGCTGCCTCACCTCTCTGGGAGGCATTTTCACTGGGAAAGAACAGCAGCAACAGGCACAGTGGGGCAAAGAACACGAAAGGGAAAAAGATCAGCTGGCTCCTTCTAGGAGCCAGGCTGGAGAAGAGATTGCTACACTGCGGATGGCTCCTGCTTATGAAGGCAGCCTGTGCCAGGGCTGATCGCCCTAGGCCTGCTTGACAGCCCCGCCCGCTTCCTTCCTGCCTTCTCCACGTGGCCGCAGCCCTGGCTCCTGGGAGTGCACAGTTCAGCCCCGCTTGCATCAGGGCGCTTCTTGCCCCTATGCACAGAGCGCTCCTGTGCCCAAGTTCGCCGGCTGTCTGGCTCTTTGTAACTCTTGATTTAGGAGTGTGTGTGTGTGTTTGTGTGTGTGTGTGTGTGTGTGTGTGTGTTGGTTTGTTTTGTTTTTTGTTGTTGTTGTTTTGAGACAGGGTCTCACTCTGGGGCCCAGGCCTGGGTGCAGTGGCTCGATCACAGCTCACTGGAGCCTTGAACTCCTGGGCTCAAGCGTTGTTTTAGTTCTTTGCAAGGCGCTGTGGAGTCTTCCCCCAGCGTATTTCCTATGGGTCTTGACAGCCGCCACCAAAACCCCAGAAGAAACTACCCCAGGCGGTGCAGGGTCTGGAGTTTGGGTTTGGCTGTTTGAGTGGTGGCTTTCTCCCACTTCCTCGCGTGGGAATGCGATGTCCCTTGCGCCCCACTCGGTGGCACATCCTCTCCATTTCTCCTCGCCTGCGACTGTGACAAGCCTGCGGCCGCACATTGTCAGCGATTGTGGGAAAGGGCCGCGAGCCTTTCCGCCGCTCCCGGCCGCCCTAATGAGGGAACAATCGGGCTACGCGGCGCTGGCGGCGGGGTCAGGCGCGGCGTCCCGCACAATGGGCGCGGCGCCCGAGCCCCTGACAGCGCCATAAATTGGCCGTGCAAAGCCGAGCGCTAGGTGGTCCCCCCTGGAGAAAAGAGCCGCCGCCGAGGGCGCGAAAAGGCGAGTCCGGAAGCCCGCCAGGGAGCCAGTGGCGCGTTTTCCAGATCACCCTGTTGGAACTTAGCGTAGCAGAGGTCAGACGACAGGGACAATAGCAGGGTCCCTGGGTGAATTCCAGGAGGGAAGCTGAGCCCGGCTCCCAGGTCGAGCTGAATGAATGGGGTGGGAGCTGAAGTCGGGGAACCCAGGGGCGCCCCAGAGTCAGAAGGTCGCGGGGTCTCAGAGCTGGAGCCCCAGGAAGCCCAGGTCGAGGCCTCCACCCCTGCCCCGGAGAGAAAGGAAAGGCCCCCGGCCTGAGGGAGAGATTTCTGCTGCTCCCAGTCAGCTTTTCCCCCACTTTGTTTCTTTCTTCTTTATCTTTTTTTTTCTTTTTTAATATATTTTAGTACAGATCTTGTCAGACGGGGACAAGATGAGAAAATCACTAGATGTGGGTGTTGTTTCTCATGGAAGACATACATATAATGCAAAGTACCTTTTGAAGTGTTTTTATTTTAAACCAGAACAGTTTTCTAAGAGGAAAAATGATTTTTTTTTCAATTTCAGAGAAATAAATGACATAAGGTTGCTCTTTCTGGTTTTTATTTAGCGTCAATATGCTCTTTTTTTTTTTTAATTTCTCCAGGGAACAGACAGAGAAATAGAGGGAGAGGGAGGGCTGGAGAGAGAGGGATTCTTATATGAGGATTTCAGTGAGCTTTTAACTGGAAAAAATGTATGTTAAAAAGAGTTAGACAAAATAATATTGATAAACGTAGCCAGATATCTGGTTTTCATAGGGTGATTCAGGAGTTTCTGTTTATTGCAGGCTTGGAGCTGCCAAACTCCTTAGCCAGTCATGTTCTCCCCAAACTCATGAATTTCAATCAAATGAGCCCAAAGAGTTGATTGCTAGACATGGTAACTATTTACCTCTGAAATTGTGTTTGCACATGCTGAGGTTGAAGGAAGTTCTCTTTTTCTTAATTATTTTGGAAGTCAGAATATGACCATGTAGAGGACAAAGAGTTGAACACAGGACAGGTGATGAGAGTGTGGGTGATTTACTACTACCCTAAGCAAGAACACATTCTGCTGGGTGCTGAGCCTTTGAGGGCACCCCAAGCCCCATATCCTCTTTAAGATTTCCAAATCACATCACACAGGGACTCGCACAAGGCCCAAGCTATGCTATTAAAAGTGAGAAGAGCCGGGCGCGGTGGCTCACGCCTGTAATCCCGGCACTTTGGGAGGCCGAGGCGGGTGCAACATGAGGTCAGGAGTTCGAGACCATCCTGGTCAGCATGGTGAAACCCTGTCTCTACTAAAAATACAAAAATTAGCCAGGCATGGTGGCGCACGCCTATAGTACCAGCTACTCAGGAGGCTGAGGCAGGAGAATCACTTGAACCGAGGAGGCAGAGGTTGCAGTGAGCCGAGATTGCGCCACTGCACTCTAGCCTAGGCGATAGACGGAGACTCCATCTCAAAAAAAAAAAAAAAAAAAGAGAGAGAGAGAGAGAGAGAGAGAAGAAAGACAGTGTTTATAAAGCCTGCCTTCCTGGTCTACCCCACTGGGGCTGGATAGTTCGATTTCCACAGCTCCAAGGTACAAGGTGCAAGAGTTAAGGTGGTTGATTGGTCCCCAGCCTCAGCGACAAGAAGTGAGCAGAGGGGATGCTCTGTGATGTTGCTTGTTCAACCTGATTCCCTCCACCCTCCCAGAGGCAGGGGAACCCCCGTCCCCCGCCAACCCACAGTGATAACATCTCTCAGGCTTCCTCCTTTGTTGGGTACAGAGGAGGTAGCCACACACAAAAAAAGGGGTGGTGGGTAGGTAGGGAAGGGGGAACTATAAATAATCCAAAGAGGTGGCTAGAAAGGCAGAGAGGACATGATGCGAGAGAGAAAGTTTATGCTTTCATATAAAAGGCATGAGCCACTTGACTTAGGGTAATCTGAAGGATCTTTCGTTTGTTTGATTGATTTTCCTTTTTGATTATTCTCTGAAATCTGAAGTCTAGGGTTGCCTAAAAGATGGTGAGTTCTTCTTATCTCCAATTTTTCCTGAGGTAGGAAGAACACCATGGAATAAGGAGAAAGGAGATACAAGTAGCCTCTCCAGGAAGAATGTGACTGAATACTTTTTATACAAAACCACAAAATTAGATAAATATGTATTTAAGTGTTATTCCTGAAAGCTGGAGAAAGAAATCTTACTTCTAAGGTAAGTCGGATTAAGTTTCTCTGTTAATCTGATTATGTTTGAATACATGTGACTTGCTTCCTGAGGGTGGGTAAGAATTGATAACTTCTTGGAGCAGAGGGTTACTAAAAAACCATTCGGAGGCAAAAAGAACATGGTGTATGTTCTAAATTAGGGTCCTAAATTAAGTTGAACAACAATTCTGTTCATATCCTTCATGTTCTTTCCAAAGATCCCTATTAAAATTACATTTTTAAATAATTTACATAAAAGAGAAGCTAAAACTATATCTTTTAAAATGTAGGGAAACTATCCACAAACAGTATTCTAAATAGGACAAACACAAAATTTCTTTAAAATGGAAAATGGGGGCATGAGAGAAGGAGGAGATAGGAATTTCTAAGTTATAGCATGTTATTCTTTCTGAATACAGTATTGATTTTGACATCCACAAAATCAATATGGAAACATACACACATGCAAAGTTCCCAAACTCCCCCCAAAATCTTATCTTGAAAACAATACTAGTCTACACTTTAAGAAAACGTTGCAAAGGATAATTCATTCTGTTCTTTGATTACTTAAAGCTGGAAAATCCTTTTCCACTAATAACCTGTTATTTCAACAGTTGAATTAGTATAGTGCTATACTATTTAACAGTTTTGTAGTACCTGGGGTTGTTAAAAAAATTGTAGTGCCAAAATAAATTTGAAGGATCACCTGGAATTAATATCCCTACAGACTTTGCACTGTATACTGTTTAGTCACTCTCAACAATTACAAAGACTTTGAAATCACAGCACTTATTTGTGATACTACTACTATTTCTTCTTCACCTCTTATTATGTAAATATAAGTGAGTGTACAGAAGTACATAGTTTTCCTTTTCACTTGAGTGCATTTCCCATCCCTTAAGGGAAAAGACAAGATACACTTTTGGATTCTTCAATTGCCATTCAATTGTTTTCCATGTAAAAAGCTTGAGTGATTTCTCTGTTTCCCGGCTATTTCCAAGTTGTTGGAATAATACATTTAAGTAAGAGAAGGAAAAAATAGAAGAAAAGATATTATTATTCTAACCTTGTATTATAAGCATGTCACATGTTCTTAAAGAATTGTTTAGCGAAGGAATAAGAAAATGTGATGCTTGGAAGAAAAAACACACTGCCGAGAGGCCTTGCGCTGAGTGTGCTGAACAATAGACAACCTCTAAGGATGCTCGCCTGCAATTCCGGCTCTGCCATCAATTCACTGTATGCCTTTGGGTAAGTCACTTAACCTTTCTGAGTCTCAGTTTCCCCATGGGCAAAATGGTGGTTATTATAATAACCCTCTTACCTGTATTTTGCAAAGAACAATGATTACAAATGAATGCAAATCATCTTGTGTGTGTTAAGAATGACATACAAGTGCTAAGAAATAGCATAAGCTTGTAGTTCACAATACACTTTTCAAGAAACAACAGGCAGATGTTGCAAGCATAGAATGATAACAAGAATTAGGGACCACCAAGCCAATTACAACCAAGGGAATCCTTTAGAAAAAATTCTTGAGTCACTGGACCAAAATGGCCAAGTGGGAAGGGAGAATTAACTCTCATTTTTTAATTTAAATTATTATCAGAAATAATGTTGGGGTAACAAACCATAACATATACTTAGTTTGAGTTAGTCTAAAATTCTTCTAGAAATATTGATTGAGCGTTACATGTTTTCTATGTGGAAAGCAAATACACAACTAAGAGAAGGTATTTCATGTAAAAAAAAAAAACAGGATGTCTTGTTTAGGATTTATAATGCGTATCTTGTTCTGTAATGCAGGAAGATTTCACAGGTAGCTTTTTAAAAGAATGAAAGAACATGTAATGATTAACTAAAAGTATTCAGTAATGCTTTACTTTAGTTTGGACCTAAGTGGAACATTCTTTATTTGTACTGTATTTTTTAATAAAATTGAATACTTGACATGCAATAACCTATGCTTTTGCATCCACATTTACTTCTGAAGAATCAAAATTTTCAGGTTTAAAAACAAGTTATATCTAAAAGCACACTTAAAGTCGTATACAGTCATATATTCTCTTTAATTGAATCTCAAAGATGAAAAAATGACAAATGAAGAGCATATAATATGACAGCAAAAGTTTAATAACCTACACACAGACAGAATTATTACAAATCAATAAGACAAACAAGTCAGTAGGAAAAGACAGTTGGAATGAACAAGCAATTAGAAAAAATAATAAATACAATGTCTAACTCACATGAAAAAGTATTTAATCTAAATAATAAACTAACATAAATACTCTGTGCTATACATCAGGTAGTAGATGAATGAATACATTGATACTTTCTGAAGAAACAACCAGAAGTAACTATCATACACTATAAAAAGTGCTGTGCCTTTATCTCAACCACTTCATTTCTTGGAATTTGTGGTTAAAAAAAAATCATCATTATTATTATTATTGTACCCTAAGATTTAACTATGGGGATAAATATTACAGCATCATTAAATTGAGTAAATGGGAACAATTCTAAGTGTGCGACACTGGAGCAGTTGGTTAAATACACTATGATATGTGTATACCATGCAATATTATAAAGCTGATAGAAAAGACGCTGTGATGGAGAGGAATGAAATGTCAGGCAGGATAGGGTAGAGTATGCTGTAACATAACAAAAACACAAAAATGTTAGAGGCTTATAACAACCAAGGTTTAGTGCTCATCATATTCCAGGTCCCTCTTGGCAGCAGGGAGCTCTGCTCCGCATCCCCTCACTGTGTGACCCAAGAATACAACAGCCACCATCTCAAACAAGGCTGCACTGCAGCAGAGTCAAAGAGCGCTCCAAGCTGGCCTCCCCAACCAAGTAGCCACTTGGCGCATGTTGCTATTGAGTACTTGGAATGGGGCTTGGGTGAATTGAGATTGCTGTAAGTGCTAAATACATATCTCATTGCCAAGACTTTGTCCAAATAACAATAGTAATTATAAAAGGATATAAAATAACCTCAATAATTTTATATTGATTTCATGTTGAAATTGTATTTTAAATATCTTATGTTAAAGAAGATACATTGTTAAAATTAATTTCACCTGTTTCTTTTACATTTTTAATGTGTTACTAGAAACTTGAAAATTACACATCTGACTTAAGTCTGTGGGAGCCACAGTGCTCTAGAGGGTCTTGCACTGGCAATTGAATGCTGCACCTCATTGGCTAGAATCAGTCACATGACCACACCCAATCTCAGGAAGGCCAGAAAATGCAATCCCACAATGCAGCTGGAAGACAGCTAACTGGAAATCAATGCTGAGAAGTCCTAAGAAATGCCACAGGAAGAGAAAGAGGCAGGGGGCCGGCAGAGGCCAGAACAAATTTTGGAAAGTATATTTAAGATCATCTGGGTTAAATACGTGTTACCCGACATCCAAAAATTACTTGGAAAGCCCTTGAGAATACCTCCAGGATCTAAGCAGTCAACCTCTAAAGCAACCATTAATAAAATGGAGTCATGAGACTGCCCTATAACAGCTTGTGGAGAAAGAAATGTCTCGCATATCACAATAGTGTGGACAAAGAAGATCAGCAACAATTTGGGCAAAATACATACACACACGCACATACACACACACACACACACACAAAGACAGACATTCGCTAACTTTGGTTTGCTATTGAGCTGCTTCTTATCTGGGCAATTCTACATAGTACACTCTAGGATACCAAGCAACTATTTGGGCAAAATACACACATACACATACAAATACACACATACACATACAAACACACACACACACATACACAGGCAGACATTCGCACACTTTGATTTGCTATTGAGCTGCTTCTTATCTGGGCTACTCTGTGTAGTACACTCCGTGGTGAGAAGCAACAGGGATTTATTGATTGATCAGTCAATGAGTATTGTTCTCCTGAGAAAAGCTGAGAGGTCGGCAAGTGCACGCAAATGTGCAGGTATGTCCGTAAGTATTGAAAACCCTGAAATACACACTCCAAAAACTACACCATCATTGTCACTGGATACCGGAATCCCATGTGATTTTAAATTCTTTTTCCTTATCTTTATTTTCAGATCATCTACAAGACATGAATGATGTTCAGAATTACTTGTCATGCCCTTTGCTTGGGGCTGAAAACAAGATGCAGTCACACAGATTTCAATGGAGTGTGTACTCTAGAGGCAGACTGCCTGGGATCAAAATGCTTGCAGTATAACCATTGACAGCTTCCATAACTTATCTCTTCCCAGGTTAATCAACCTGTAAAATGGGGTAATATCTGCTCCTCCCTCATAGGGTTGTGCATAAAAATCTCATGAGATTATAGGTGTAGAGAGGTGAGAACCCACAGAAACCTTTCCATAAATGCTACCTATTATTATTAAATTCTAGCTTTCTTTCAGTTTTCAAATTTAAAGTAAAGACTAAAATCAGCTGAGATATACTGCAATCTCCAGCTAATGTTTGGAGAAGCATTAGTAGTATTCCCTTCATCTTTCCTCATCCCCTCCTTTTAAAGAACTCTAACTGGGAACATGCATTTATTTCCCTCATATCTGTACAAGCCATTGATTTGCCAGGAGAGAAATACAAAGACTTTCACATTTTTGCTGCTCTCTCTCCTGAATTAATACTCCACTTCTGAATTTAAGGCAGCAAAACTCCATTCAGTGTTTTAAGAGTGGGTAAAATATATAGAAATGAGAATAGCTTTGACAAGTTAACATCCATGTGAATGAGACTAGAGAAATAACATTCTGTATATGAGTGCTTTTCTTCTAAATCATCTTACCAACTTTCAAGTGATTAGACAATTTTGTTTCATTCCCTTCAAACTTACAAATTAATATTTTTAAGAGATGGAGTTAATAACCAGTTAAAAACTATAAAGGCTTCCTCAATTGAAGGTCGGAGCTTTGCTATCTAAAACTGACTTAGAGTTACAATAAAAATAGCAATATCATGAAATGCTATATTTGTATTTCTCAGTTCAATTGCTTTTTATTTTCAAACAGTATGCAACTAAGACATGCCTGAGTGAAGTTTCCTAGGAGCCAGATAATTAATCCAACATTTATCTGAAATGCTGAACTAACTTGCATAATTCTTCAAATGAATATCACACCTTCGATGGGGACATACAAATTGTTTCAACCTGAGGCTTGAAAATATGTGTCATAAAGCATTCTGATTTATCAAGAACACGTTGTAATTTGTTGCATTTGGAATGTAGCTACCTAACTTCCTGAATATTTTAATAAAATACCTGTAAAATTACACAATCAAAACTATACCTCCACCAAGCAAAGTGACAGAGATGGTACTAACATCAACAAAAAGGTAAGAGAATGGTAAATTTCAAAAGGTTCTAGCTGTTTCCGTACTCTCTGTACTCTTACCGTGAAATCAAGCGCTGAAAAAGATTCTAGGCTTAAAATTCAATTAAAGCAAACACTTTTGACAATTATTTTACTATTTGATGTAAAAAAATAGATTTTTTTGTCTAGTGCTTTAGTTCTTTGCCTCTTTTTAATTTTTTCTTATGTATGGTTTTATTTTAAAGTTCCACTGAGGCAATATACATATGCCAGGCAGAAAATGCAGATATTAAGGGATTTTATTCATAACAGGCTAAATTTGTCTCTTGTGAAAGATAAAAACACTTTAAAGTTGATGAGTCTATGATTTTAAGTAAAATCCTCATTCAAATGTGATTGCTTTATAGGTTTAACTCTGGTCAGAGCAATTTGTGTTCTTTCTATATATTACTCCAACTATAATAAAGCTGTTTATGCAAATGTGAAATTGTTGCTATTGCAGAATCTTTCCAACCATGTAAGGTTGTAATGTTAAATTCCCATTCACGATCAAAATTCCACATATTTACAACCTGCAAACATCCCAAATTCACACTTCAACATCTGTGTGGCTGCCAACTTCTACTGAAATCTGTAGCATGCTTTTTTAGAAGTGGAGGAAAAAAGAATAAAAAACCTGAGGTAAGTGCAAATCAATAATGATGCTAAATATTTACCAAATGTTTGTTATGAAATATATTTTATTAATTGATAACACTTAGAAACTGATTAGGGATGCAAAAGCCTTAAAAAGTTTGCAGAATTTTTATAGCAGACTGTGGTTCATGAATTTAAAGCATGCCAAAAACACACGACATGCACAATTCTTGAACACAAGCCTTAAAAGTTTTTTCATTTACAATATTCAATTTCTCCAAATTCCTTTTATTATACAAACTTTGAAATTGTTCTGATAATGAGTATTGCTGCACTCTTAATAAAACCTTTGTCTTCTCATATTCTGTCTCATTGAAAAAGTCAAAAGTTCTGTCATATCTAGTATGCTAAATACCTTCAAAGTAAATAACTTAAAATAATGTATAATATTTTCCCAGATCTTTTAAAAATAGTTTAAGTAATGTTTCATGTTTCTGCACATGTTAACTGGATTATGAATTAGTATTTTAATGGGATTATGAATTATTAAAACTCAGACCATAGTATCCATAGACAACTCAATTTCTTTTCAGACTGTTTGTTTATCACATCTGTTATTCCTTCAACTGTATTCTGGTCCCTCTGAATTTGGAGGTATTTGAGGAAGTCGATAGGTTTTGCAGGGAAAGTGAGTAAAATGGTAGGCTGCTCCAACACAAGAGCCAGTTGCTGCCTTTTGGAGGAAAAGGAATTACAAGTTACACACAAAAAATGACTGTGTGCTACTCTGCTGCACATCTGGTCACTCTGGAGGGTCTTACTCTGCTTCGATGCTTGCACCATGATGTCCTCAAGTGACTATGGCTCTCTACCCTGGAATCTTTCTATTCTCTAGTCCGTTCCCTACAAGACTCAGTTAGAGATACCTCCTCCATCGGGGCTGCCTTGTCTATTATCCCATACTTAACCACTGTATTTCAAGGACAGCTATCATTTCCCCTGAATAACATGTTGTAGTCTTATTTCTGCCAGTAAATCTGTGTTGCCCTTCATCATGTGGTCTTTCTGAGCCTCAGTTTGCTCATTTGTAAAACATGAATACCTTATAATAATAAGTAACATCTTCCTTGTTATTTGGCCATTATTACTTTTGTAAATTCCACTGCACCTCCTTCACTCACGAGTAATTTTTGCATAAATGACTAAATGCACATGGAATATTCAGACAAGGAAGCTATATCACTGCATTCTGCTGATGCACAGTTTTGTTATGTTTTGTTTTGATTTTTTTTTGGTTGTATCTTACAACCAAGTAAAAATAAACACTACTGGGATGTTGAGGCCCAAATGCAGTAGAAATAAATAGGAGGCGATGCATTTTAGTTTGAAAATCAGTTCCAGAGTACAGTATTTATACATCTGAGAGGCATTTGTATTAAGCACCCACAAGGTCCAGGCTGGGCTCTGATGACACAAAGATTTTTTTTAAAAGTCCCAATACCTAATAAGCTCACAGGCTTACAGTATTGGCAAGAGGGAAGTGAGAGATGATGGACGTTTAAAAAATACAGTACACATTTCAATCAATACTGTGAGAGACTTGAGTACGTATTCTATGAGAGCACAAGAAATGGAGAAACTAATTTTACCCCTGGGAGGGTGGGTGCAAGTTGGGGAAGCCTGAGAGGATTCTGAAAGCGGAAAAAGCGGTCAGGCATTTGACTAGTAGTGGCTGCTAGCCTTGATTCACCCAGCTTCTTGCTAAGATAATTATGAAGACGGGGAAGATAAGAATTTATACTATCACCAGCTAATAAGTAACAGATAGTAAGTTGCAGAGCCCATCAAGCCAGGATCATCCTACGTTTTTTTGGTGGGGGAAGGGGGGAACGGAGTCTCGCTCTGTCGCCCAGGCTGGAGTGCAGTGGTGCGATCTCGGCTTACTGCAAGCTCCGCTTTCCGGGTTCACGCCATTCTCCTGCCTCAGCCTCCTGAGTAGCTGGGACTACAGGCGCCCGCCACCACGTCTGGCTAATTTTTTTGTATTTTTAGTAGAGAATAGGTTTCACCGAGTTAGCCAGGATGGTCTCGATCTCCTGACCTCATGATCCGCCCGCCTCGGCCTCCCAAAGTGCTGGGATTACAGGCATGAGCCACCGCGCCCAGCCGGGGCATCCTACTTTTAACCAGGAAACTAAGCTGCTTCAGTCTAATAAATGACAGCATCCTGTTCCAGCTAAGCTTATTACACAATTGAGACACTAAGAGAACTATTAAATTAAAAAAGCATTTTTTCTTCCAAGAAGTATGTAAATAAAATAATATGATATTTTTGGCATTATGGCATTTTTATTGCCAAAAACGTGGCTAATGTTTTACTGCATCTTTAGAGGAATGATCTAAACCATTTAGGATTGTTTTCTTTTAATCAATAAAGACTACTAAGGCACCCAGCAGCAGCTGTTATCTACTGCTAAACTCCCCCTTTACATGCTCTTCCATGTAGAAGCTGTGACTATTCTTGTACCAGGTATTCCCAAAAATCATGCCGAAAGTATGCCCTTTAGATGAGCTTGGAAAAAAATGTCCTAAGGAAGTACATTGAAATGTAGGGTGAAGCTCTAGGAAATGTTTTCCTTTGGACCTTTCTATATATTTTAAATATTCTACCAAGAAAGTACTTTTAAAATCAATCAAAGAAATATCATGTGCAGTTGGGGATTTTTAAAAATTCTGTAGGATTATGGCCGGGTGTGGTGGCTCACGCCTGTAATCCCACCACTTTGGGAGGCCAAGGCAGGTGGATCACGGGGTGAGGAGTTCAAGATCAGCCTGGCCAAGATGGTGAAACCCCATCGCTACTAAAAATGCAAAAAAATTAGCTGGGCATGGTGGCACATGCCTGTAATCCCAGCTACTCAGGAGGCTGAGGCAGAGAATTATTTGAACTCAGGAGGTGGAGATTGCAGTGAGCCGAGATCGCACCACTGCACTCCAGCCTGGGCGACAGAGCAAGAGTCCATCTAACAAAAAAAAAAAAAAAAAAAACTATAGGATTACAATTTTGCTTTTTAAAAACCTGGGTGGGGGGAGGGAAAGTAGCCTAAGATACATTGGGAACTATAGTGATTTCTGCTTTATTGCATGATTTGTTTTCTCGTATTTTCTTTCCTTTCTTTTTTTTTTTTTTTTTTTTTTTTTTTGAGATGGAGTCTCACTCTGTGTCCCAGGCTGGGGTACAGTAGTACAGTGGCACCATCTCAGTTCACTGCAACCTCTGCCTCCCTGAATCAAGAGATTCTCTTGCCTCAGCTGGGATTACAGGCACGCGCCACCACGCCCGGCTAATGTTTTGTATTTTTAGTAGAGACGGGGTCTCACCATGTTGGCCAGGCTGGTCTCCTGACTTCAGGTGATCCTCCCACCTCGGCCTCCCAAAGAGCTGGGATTACAGGCATAAGCCACCGTGCCGGGCCTATTTTCTTGTATTTTCTAAAAGGAGCTTTTACCACTCCTAAAATTGACTATATGTACATTAACATATTAACAGCAAATGTCAATGAATGACAATAGACACACAAAAGAAGAGGGAAGCCCCAGCAGAGCTGTCCAGGCAGAGGATGGAGGCTGGAGCAGCCTTGGCACAGCACAGGGTACAGCCTGCCCAGAGAATGGCTCAGTCCCAGCGTCACAAGGGATGGAAAGATCCATCACCTTTGAGGGCTGGAAGAGGATGGGATTGAGAGCCTAGCTGAAGGTATCTCTCCGATAAAGGAATAGTGATGGCCTTCCCAGAGAGAGAGAGGACAGATGAGTGAAGATGCTCTGGCTAGAGGTGCAGAGTGGGGAAGCTGAATAAATATGCACCTGAGCCAGGAGACAGAGAAGGGCAGAGTGGAAACTTGAGTGGTGCCACAGTTATAAATGAAAAATTGAACCAGGAGAGAGCATGAGTTTAATATTCGGGGCCAGGATGTAACGTGATGGAGCTGGTTGTGCCTTGGGCCAGCATGGTTGGCGAATGGATGCAGAATTGGAAAGCAGCATCCGGATTCTAGTCCTAACAGGCCATTCACCAACTGTGCAAATGTGATCAAGACAGTCCTCCCTGCCTACAGCCTCTTCAGAGCCACAGCCAGTAGCTCTCTAATAAATGAGAGAGGCTGCCTTGTTCTCACTCACTTTTTACTCACTTCTTGCCCTTGTTCAAATTTGTCCGGTCATCCCTTGAACAATTGTAATTGAATGAATCAGGATCCCCCCTCACTGTCCTAGAGGTGCTCACATAACAGCTGACTCTTGAAAGCAGTATGGATGGAATAAGAGATGTTGCATTCCAGAATTCCACGAATGAGTGACAATCCACGTGTGTCGTTGAACTCTGTCCAACTCAGAGTTGACATACCCAGTGTCTCCTCCAGAAGATGGACAGAATCTTACCATTCTGTGTCATTCTCACAGGACATTCATCCTCTCCCTTTTCAGGAAGATGGTTTCATATTTTCATCTGCAAATGTATTTATTTATTGAATCAAAGAAACAGCTCACTTCATTTTTTTTTTAGGTAAACTGCTTATTCTTAATTTACCTGAATTTTCAAAAGTCTGTAACTGAAAACCGCACTGTAGCCTGGTAGGAAGGGGACTTCCTGAGCATTTTGCCAGGAGCACTTGGCCTCCGATGGACCAGGAATTCTATAGTGCCCTTCATTACTAGGTTTCAGTATTTCCATTTCAAGCCCTGGTAAATACAGGGCTATAAGGGGAAAAAAAATTAATGGGAATATTTTCAAACCTTTGGAAAACTTAGGATTCGGTATTTGGCAGGAGGGCTAAGAGGGCGGTTAAAGAAAAAAAGTGCAAATGCTCAAAACGTTCTTTAAGGTTGCGTTTGAGTCCAATTTATGCTGTTCTTTTTTCACACTGGAGCTAGCAAGGTTGCATTTTTTTTCCCTCACTAACAACTCTTTCCTTATTCTATGGAATGTTTAATTTGCCCTTTGAAAGAAAGTATGATTTGTTCCATTTTTCCATGTGTAATTTCTATGCTATTTACAGACTAAGATAAGAATCAAGAAGGATTCATGTGCCAAAAGCACACATTCAAGCCTGGGAGAGGAAATCAGAGTCCTAAGCCCCAACTTGGAATGACTTACTAGATGATTGTAGTGACAGAGCCATCTCCACACCGGGCTCTCATCTGAGTCAGTGATATACTCTGTGCTAACAGAGACGATTATCCCAAGCAGCCAGTGAATCAAAGCACAGTCTAAACCAAAATCAAAGACTGTGTCTGGCAAAGCATCACAACTTCCAGAGGATTTGCTGAACAAAGCTACCAAAAACTTTAAAAACTGCAGTCTTAATCTAGTCACCCCTTACACCTAAATGATGACAGTGTGATATGAAAACACCAGTTATTATGCTTTACAAGTCAGCATGCTCATCAGCAAAGGATCTAAGTTAAAATTAATCCCTGTCGATATAGAAGACAATATCAAACTGGAGCCTTTTTTTAAGAAAAAAAAAAAGAAATATGTAGACTGAACAAACTCAAACTTCTAACCAAAAACAAAGTGATAAACCAGTTAATCAAGCTATGAGGAGAACCAGTTAAATCTGATATGAAACCACCATTTTACTAGAGCAAACTGTTACTAAGCTCTGTTTACATCAGCTCTGCCTTTTTCTCTTTCTCGGTAGTTCAGCTATGGATTGTCTTGTGGACTCTCACCATCCGGAATGATTTGCTTTCTATTCCAGTCTATTCTCAGCTGTCTGGCCCTGCACAAGTGCTCGCAGAACTCACTAATACCGACCACCTCCCTACCCCCCTCACCCCATCTGCTTTTTACTCTGAGCATGCAGGGCTCTAATCAGTTCTCCATAGCGCAGAGACTACTTCTTGTTTTTACAGACAAACATGTTAATTGCCATCACACTCACAGGCAGAATGAAGGACTGTCTTTTTACCCTCCTCAGTCCACCCGCCTGGATGCAACACAAACTACAATCTCCATCTCACCCAAGGACAAGCCCCCTCTTCTCTAAACAGCACACATTCTTTCAAACAAAAAATCCCCACAGCTTAAACATGCACATACACAATTAACATACATACATAGGAAGCGCATCATTGCAATGATGGATATAACTTATTACATTGACCTTACTAGCTAAAGAGTAAGTGGTAAAAGGGATTCAAAAATATGAGTTAGAGCATCAGGGTAAGTCCAGCACTTCAGATGGGGGTCAGCATTCCTGAACTCTGTTTTCTCATCTGATCCTATAACCAACCTTTTTCTCTGCCACTGACTGTTGGGAAGCAGTGCATTTTAAACAAAAAAGGCCTCCCTTTGATACCTCTTTAAATGTCAAGAGTAAGCCCTTATAAGAACCCAGTAGTCGGTACCCAGAGTTGGTGCCCAAACATGAAAGAGATTAGAAGAAGGTCTTGGTGTGGAAAAAGCCGTGGACCCCTTTCACTTCCAGGTGACACACTGTCATCACCCACATTACAGGAAAGGTGAGGCTGCTAAACGATTACTGGGTGGCGGAGGACTCCAGATTAGCTTAAATAAATGGCATTATTTTTATAAATATTTTCAAGGAAGTATAATATTTGTCTATAAAAAGATGGTTGAGAGCTGCATTTCACCTTTCATGTTTGTATCTTGAAGTTTCAAGTTCATTTCCGTACTCTGGGGTAGCTGCCCAAGGGAAATCTGCTCTTCAGGTTTACTCTCCTAACATCGCCCACAAATCACTCATGCAACCAAAACCTGCCAATGAAAAGCGCGTAAGGTCTCCTTCATCTAAGAAACCAGCAGTTTCCAAAACAAGCTCTTGTACATTATCCACCAGTGGCCAAGGTCTGGTGAAACACAAACTCTCTCCCATATTGAAGCAGAGAATATAAATGAGGGCAAACTTTCTGGAGAGCAGATTGACCACATAGATCAAGATTCTTACAAATGTTCTTATCCTTTGACCTAATAATTACAGTTCTTGGAATTTATCCCAAGGAAATTATCAGAGAAGCAAACAAAGAATTATGTACAAGGATGTTCATTGCAATGCTATTTATAATAGCAAAAAATTGCCACTGCCTAATTAAGCAACAATAGGAATTTAGTTAAGTAAATTATAGTAAATCCATAGAACAGAATGCTATTCAGGCATTAAAAACCATGTGTTCAAAGAATGCAAAATGGCTCAGGGAAATGCTGACAAGATAATGTTAAGTTAAAAAAGTAGGCTACAGTATGTTAAATGCAACGTGACCCCAGTTTTATAAATATTACATATGCATATGACATGTAATATGTGTATATAAAATTTGGAAGAAAGAAAAACTACATTGAAGTTTACTAAGTGCCAAGGAATGCAATAAAACCTTTACATAATTATTTTATTCACTCATCAAAATAATTCACAGAATGAACTATTTTGATCTCTATTTTGACAGTGAGAAAACGAGAGCAAAGAGAGATTAAGTTGTCAAAGATCACTCAGGTAATACATTGGGTAGCTAGTGTTTGATCCTAGATGATCTATGTCCTACATAACACTATCCATTGTGTTGTTCTATGGGTTATTTTCTCCCTTGCGTTATTTGTGTATTTTTCCAATTTTTTTCAATAAACATATTACTTTTATAACCAGTTTTTAAAAGGTTCTTAATAGTGTGCAAAGTGAGAGTGATTAGCATAAGTACTGAAATTAAATTCATATTCTTACTGAAATGAACAGGGTATTTTTGATTTGTTAAAAGCAGAATACAGTTTTGTTTTTTTTTAACTCTATTCATTAATTATTTAGATTCTGAAAATGTACCACTTGCTTTGCCTTTTATAAGTTTTGGCACTTTTATGCTTAATATGGCATTTTGTGAAGCAGAAGGGGAGAACTGAAGTGGGGATTTCTTAAAAGATAAGTAAAAATACAGACAGGGATTTTCTAGGTGTCTTCAATCTTCCTAATAGAAGGTAAGGTAAACTTCTAGGAGTGAGTCGAGCAGGGGTGGAAATTAAAATTACGGAGAGTAAAAGATCTGAAATAACTGCCATGATGTGAACAATAAGAAGTAAATAAAGAATGGAATATTATGGTTTTTAATAATGATGACAAAGGACACATGAACAGGGAGAAGCCTCCAGGTTTGCGAGCACTTGCATGGTGGGTGGAAGTTGGGATGTCTGGCTGAAGATGGATAAGTTTCTTCATAGAGCATCACCTGGGCAGCAGCGTGGTTTTGGCCATGAAGCCTGTGATGGGCAGAGGAGCAGCGCCCATCCAGGAAGGGCCCGTGCCAAAGGCCTCCAAAGGCAGATGGAGGGCAGAGATGATGGTGGGCGAGGAGAACATGGTACCTGAGACCCCACAGACACAGTTAGATCTGTTAAGTCGACTGGCAGTGTAGCAGAAGTGAAAGGAGACATCTAGGAGTGGACACTGGAAATGCAGGAGCAGGGGAAGGAGCGCCCATAGGTGGATCTGACACACTGGAGGAAGCTGGCTGTGGTCCAAGAGGGATCGGGGGCCCTGCTGCCATGAGTTTTCATCAGATGGCATGGATTTCCAGTAAGGAAAAGGAGTAAATTGGGGTATAATTGTGATGTATTATGAAAACAAGTGTTAGGCAATGCATAATACAATCCCTTTTAAAAGTTTAATGCTGAATGGCAATACTACATCAACAGGCCACCCTAAAACAGGGGAAAATATATGTGAATTCTGGGGTATTATAGAGCCATTAAAATTATGCTGATTAAATTGTAAGAACATACTCAAGGAAATTTATACAAAGCTATACATATGCAAATTTGTATATAAATTTATAACATACAAATTTATAATAAAGAAAATATTCAGAACATGTATATAATATCTTATTAGTTTTTCTTAAATTCATAAAGCAGAAATTAGCAGGAAACACCTCTGAAGATCGGTGGCAATTTCTATCAAGGTCGAAGGGTGTCTTAGTCTGGGCTGCTTTAACACAGCATCATAGACCAGGTGGCTTATAAACAACAGAAATTTGTTGGCCGGGTGCAGTGGCTCACACCTGTAATCCCAGCACTTTGGGAGGCCGAGGCGGGCAGATCACCTGAGGTCAGGAGTTCGAGACCAGCCTGGCCAACATGGTGAAACCCCATCTCTACTAAAAATACAAAAAATAGCTGGGCATGGTGGTGCACACTTGTAATCCTGGCTACTTGGAAGGCTGAGGCAGGAGAATTGCTTGAACATGGGAGATGGAGGTTGCAGTGAGCAGATATCATGCCACTGTACCCCAAACAGAGTGAGACTCCATCTCAAAAAAAAAAAAAAAAAAGAGAAAGAAAATAAATTTGTGTCTTACTATTCTGGAGGCTGGGAAGGGAAGTCTAAGACCAAGCCACCAGCAAATCTACTGTCTGGTGAGGGCCTCCTTACTGGTTCATAAATGGTGCCTTCTCATTGTGTCCTCACAGCGTAGAAGGGGCTCATTTAATAGCACTAATCCTATTCATCAGGGCTCCACCCTCAGGACCTAATCACCTTCCAAAGGCCCCACCTCCAAATACCATCACCTTGAGGGTTAAGATCTCAACATATGAATTGGGGGCAGGTGCGGGAAAACAAGCATTCAGAACACAGAGGAAGGTTACAAGGGATATTTTTCTTCTCAATGCCTCTAAGTTGTTTCTGAATTTTCTCAGAAAATAAAATATTTGGAAAATCCTTTGACGGCTCTGATTGAAATCATAACCACCATCTTGGTCCACCACAATGAACTGCCACGACACCCATCACCTCTCTCACAGCCCTTCTTCTCTCCCCGCTGGTACACACACCCCCTCTCACATATGCATGTATGCACACACGTAGTCAGTGCCTGGGTCACCACTCCATGCTTAGCATTTATCATCCTACCTGTTTCTGATTCCTGGTCTTTATGGCCTTAGTGATCTTCCCCTGACACCCAAACTCTGATCTCTAATAACTGAATCCCAACCACATTTCGAGGCCCATCAGAAGTGCTACCACCCCCCTGAAGTTTTCCTCCATCCTTTCATGGAGAATAATTTAGCTGCCTATTCTGTAGCTCTGCAGCACTTCAAATCTCTTTTCTATTACCACATTGTATCCTATACAGTGATTTGTGTGCATATAGCTTTCCTCCATCCAAGCCTAGCCTTCTCCATGGCTGGAACTCTCATCTTTGTATATCCACATCTACTTCCTTCCATCAGTCTCTAGCATCTAGTATCTGCAATATAGTAAGCATGCAACAAGTATTTACTGAATTGATTTGAAAATCTCCCCCCAAAGAACAATGAGAGGTGTGATTTCCTTCTTTCAGTTTGACCACTGGAGCTCTTGAATGTGGAAGCTGTAACCTCCCTAGGAAAATGAACAGAAACTAAAGTATCTTTGGAGAAAGACAAAGGCCAGTCCTGTTAAGAATTTAAAAGAAGAGATGAAAAATGTGTTTCTGATCTCTAGGCTCTGCCCGCCGCGAGGCAGCGAGATTCTGGAAGACAGATCAGAGTCTGGGGAAGGGGATGACAGCAGGAATACAACTTCACCTGCGGACAGCAGGGCTTAAGAGACGTGCATTTAACAAAGTGGTGCTGAAGGCCAAGAAGGAAGCTCCTTCCTCCCCTCGAGATGAAGCCAAAGCAGAAGCTCTGAAGGCCAAGAAGGCACTGCTGAAAGGCATCCACAGCCACACACGCACACACACACACAAAACATCCACATGTCACTCACCTTCCAGCAGCCCAAGATACCAAAACTCCGAAGGCAGCCCCAGGAGGAAGTAGCTTAACCATGCTTCCATCAAGTTCCCCCAGCCACTGAGTCTGCCATGAGGAAGCTAGATGAAAGAAAACACTTGTGCTCATTGGGGATGTTAAAGCCAACAAGCACCAAATCAAACAGGTTGTGAAGAAGCTCTCTGACATTGATGTGGCCAAGTCCACATCCTGATCAGCCCTGATGGAGAGAAGAAGGCATATGTTCCACTGGCTCCTGATTAAGATGCTTCGGATGTTGCCAACAAAATCGAGATCATCTAAACCAAGTCCAGCTGGCTAATTCTAAATATGTATCTTTACACCATAAAAAAAATGAAACGTGCACTCAAGGCTTCTTCTCCACCACGGGATGACGTGCTAAGTGGAATGAAAATGAATGAGAGAAGAGGAGAGGCACCTGTAGTGTTTTAGGAGATAATTAAGTCACTGAGAAGAAGGAGAAGGAATCACTGTGCGTACTGGGTCCTGCATCAACACACGCAGGTAACCACAGTCCGCTAAGCGGACCCCAGGAAATAGAATGGAATGTATCCTTGGATCCAGAAGCTTCCTCTCCTAACCAATATAATTTTAATCTGAATTTTTGGCAAATTATTTAAATCCAAATACTTAGTTTTATTTTCCTACAATCATTTCCTAATCTGGTTCTTCATAATCATATCTTAAGCAACCTGTAGTCAATGCATTCACTAAAATTCTAAGCAGGAAAATGATATCCAGCTTTTTTGTTTACCTATTTAAGATATACAGGGACTAAATGCTAACAATAGTATTGTCTGTTGTCCTGCAGCTGGTACTAGAGAGTCTATTTAACCACACTAACATCTTCCTAGGAAGCTACAGTTTTAATATGGAATAATTCAACATATTCATTATCACCTATTTACACTCATGTAAACCAATGCTCCCTGAGTAACCAAACTTTAAAATGTTAATATAAACATTATGCCTCTTTTAATTGCAATAGACACATTCCTAAGTAACTTGATTCCAACAAGACCCTTTACCAATAAACAAAAAACACATTTTGGGCAGCTTTCCTGTACAGTACATAGTAAGGAAGAAAGTGAACGATTTCCACAGCAAGGACCAGCAAGACGACTTGCACTCTCTAAGTTCTGAGGCCAACGTTGTAGATTCAAACTCTCCCCAATCACCAGTTTGGTTCTCAGAACGTCTAGAACGTAAGGGGAGGTTTGAACTTGGCTGGAACTTATGGGTCAGATCTGGAAAGTTATAAAAAGGTGCAAACCATCAGGGTTTATCTAAATGTTGGCCTTTCCAGAAATTATTTCCATCATGTTGGAGAAGGAAGGGCCCAGGCCATTTTCATGAAAGCCAGTTACTGAACTGACCAGCTCGGCTGGGACCACACAGCCTGGCCCAGTCATCCCTGGGAGTCACCAAGCACAGGTTGAGGTGACTGGCGTTTATTTGGATCACTGAAATAATAAGCAATTCCAGAGGAATTTGTTTTTACTAACTACTTGGATAATATGATGTGACAGGATTGCATTCCCACATGAAAAACTGAGAAGAATTCTTGGTGTCAACTGAAGAGACTGCTTGACTTCTTATTACAATGGATTTTCTTTCTCCGAAGCCCAAAGTCTTTTAAGTGTATGTGTGTGTGTTCCAATTTAGGCTTTAGTTCACTAATTAGCCGACAGTTACCATAAAATTGCTTTCTTCCTTTCCAACCTTGATGAAGTTTTTACTAAGTCCATCATTACTCAAACCCCATTAAAACTGCTGAGTTTACAGAGGAAAGAGATCTCGAAAAAGATAAGACTTTGTTAATATTTTAATCAGCATTTCTGGTACAGTATTTATTCCCGAACACCAGCATTTATTCTCACAATACCAGTGTAGTTTAAGTGTTTGGTTTTGAAGGTTTTTGCTTTGGGCATGAAAGCTACCACCATACTTGCTTTTGCTTTTGTTTTTGTTTTTCAGAAAGTGTGTATGAAAAATACTAGACAGGTCTTTCACTTGGAGACTTGTGTACTACAGCACACATTTGATTTACTTGGGCAGAACCACTTAATCACTGGGTATTGGCTTTGGTAAGTTTGTGTGGCCCAGCTGTCTTTTTAAATTTATCTTGGGAATAGTTTCCTCTTCCCCTGCAATGGAAAGAAATTGAATCCTTGTCAATATGACATTCATGTCATTGCATTGAGGAACACAAAATAGATGAGGGTTGATCATGTTTCTTTAAACTTTGGAGAAAAAAAAACAGTAAGAACTGTAAACATTGACTCTACAGGTACTTTGGTGTTCTCCTAAGTGGTCTTCAATTAACACTCTGACAGTTGGTGAAGTCTGTTCAAACATAATTTTTAAGATTGTGTTAACTACATAAGTGGAAATTTTAAATATTTATAAAGTGGCTTATATATAGACTGTAAACATTGTTAGGCTAAAAATCCTATTATTTATGGAATTAATGAAATAAAGAACAAAGTAGCATTTATTCTCTTACCAAGGTACTAACCTTATAAAGGCAAATAGAGACATAGTTAATGTTAGGGCTGGGATTTAACTAAGAAGTTCTAGGGGGGCAAACAAGGCTTCATTTTGAATTTGTGACAGTACATCATCCTTACGATTCCTTCATTTTTCTGTGGTTGCCATAAGGTATGTGGTGTTTGCCAGTAAGTAATTTTATGACAAGGCCAAAACTAAAAATCCAAGCCCCAAGTGACTCTTAGTCCAAAGGCTGTGGAAGTTAATGTGGAACAGTGTCAAAAACCTCCAAATTGGAATTCAGAGAACTCAGATCAGGTGCCTATTTAGTCCCAGTTTTTCACATGGCTAATTTGATATGGATTTAGTAGTTACTAATTCATGCTTAGTCATAGATAGTAATCGTGAGGAAGCCAGATCCTCTCTGGGTCTGTTTCCTTAGCAGAGCACCCAAAGCTCCACGGCCCCTGAGTTCCTTTCAACAATGACATCTTTGCAGCAGTCCCGATCTACAAGCAGAGTGTGGTCCAAATGCTGCGTGTATCTTTAGAAGGTTTTTAAGACAAAGGGAATGGCCCTAAAGGAACTGAAAAGCATGAGGAGACCACTCTAGACCTCAAAGGAGATGCAAGGTTGATGGAAGATTAAAGCTGCTGAAAACAAAGAGAAAGGATTCTTTCAAGGTACAGAACCTCAGAATGTCATGAAGTAACCACATGAATGAGAAAAATAACCAACAAGATAGACAGAACCATTGCCTTCCATCTGCTGTTGTCTGCTGAATGTCTGTATTTAACGATCATTTGCCATTGATAATGATTAATTCATGTCACATTATTTTCTCCATAGGCAAATGCCCTCCTATATTCAAGAAAAACTGTCCTTGTGAAATTGAATTGGACTACATTCATTAAGATTTAAATGTATCTCTATCTTTTGATATAACTATAAGCCTTTACTGAGCACTCACTGTGTCCCAAGAATTGCTTTAAATGTTTTCACTGCACTAATCTTCACAACAGTTCTATGAGTGAGCTTCATTATCGACCACATCCTGCAGAAGCACAGAGAGGGTCAGTAAGTCACCAAGCGCTGCCCAGCTGGTGAATGATGGAGCCAGAATGCAAACACAGGCAGCTGGACTCTCCAGCTTGAACTTTTTCACAGCTACATGTTTATCACACGTATCTGCTCATATTTTATTTCTAACTGAAGTCTGGGAGTATGGGACATTTGGGCATAATGCAGTTACTTTTCAAGAACACAAGAATTAAAAATATAAAATGTCACCTGTGAATCAATGAAGAAAAATAATTGAGGAAGTGATGTTATTTTTTTAATGTGCTATCTGCTAAATTTGAAAATCAAAGACAAAATTTTCAAGAATCTTTGCCTTGCCACGGATGAAACCATAGAGTGTTGTTAAGCTAGCAAGATTAGTTACTTCTATATTTGAAGTAGGTCGATTCTGTACCTCTGGACTTGATTCAGTAATAAATGGACTGTATGTCTGGATAGCAAATTGTGTGCTATTGTTAGGTATAAGGAACAGAGACTAAGAGGCTGAGCTGTCGCCTTTCACCCATGGCAGTGGCTCAGTGCCTTCATTCACACGCTCCGGGAACTTTCCCTTCCAGACAATGTCCTATAAAAAACCTACTAGTGCTCTCCAGAGAATCATTTCTACAAGTCCAGTGTTTAATGTTTTTAAATGACAATAGGTGAATGTCAGTAGCAAGCCAAATACCATTTCCTGGAATGGTGTGGCAAAGTATTACACTTGGATACATTTTTTTTTGTTACATACCACATAGTAGGCTCTCTATAAATACTGGATAAATTAAATAGATTTGATAAGCAAAAACAAAGAAGCATTTTCTATAGGAATCATCCTCAGACTTCAAGACACATTTTTTGAATATCTTTCTAATAGTTTAATTGATTTTCTTTCATTTTCCAAAATTGATATCTATTATTGCTCACCTATTGGTATAGATCTATAGATAGATCAAATTATTGCGATTTGGAGAGGAGCATTGACAATACAAGCCCAGATTTTTATCCTGTGAGAAAACATCCAATAAGTAATGATGTATTTTTTAAAAGGCCAATTTAATAACAAATCAAAATTCTGTTTTGTTTCAGAAAGAAGAGGCAGAATGATAATTCTCTTAAGGTACATAAGAATTTTACTAATGAAAAGATTCATTCATAGTATCTGGATAAAAGAAGAAAGGGAAGGAGAGAAGGGAGGTAAAATGAAAATGAAAACAAAAAGGAGAGGGGCAAACAGAAATTTTCTTCCCAAGCAGCAACTGTGGAGGAAGGCCAGTGTTCTGAGAATGTCGATTGTGTGGATGTGTGCTAAACTTTATTTTTATTTTTCACTTGTCTTGTTCAACATAATGGAAAATCTATGGCAAAACTTTAACCAGTGTTAATTCACGTCCACCAAAAGAATTGCACACCTCTATATCCATGTAAGATGGACCACATAATACTAAAATGCTCAATCATACCTCATTAAAATGCTTTGGGTTTTTTTCTTTCTTTTTTTGAGACAGAGTCTCACTCTGTCACCCCAGCTGGAGTGCAGTGGCACGTTCTTGGCTCACTGCAACCTCCAACTCCTGGCCTCAAGCAATCCTCCCATCTCAGCATCCTGAGTAGCTGGGACTACAGGCGCACACCACCACGCCCGGCTAATTTTTGTATTTCTTTGTAGAGATGGAGTCTCACCATGTTTCCCAGGCTGGTCTTGAACTCCTGGACTGAAGTGATCTGCCCACCCTGGCCTCCCAAAGTGCTGGGATTACAGGTGTGAGCCTCTGCTCACAAAAAAACACATAAAAATTTTTTTGTTTGTTTTATTTCATTTTTTTTTTAAGAAAAGAAGAGCTACCATTAGCTGTAGAGTAGTATTTTCGTTAAAGAATGTGCAAGAAAAAATTAAAATAAGACCCAAGGTAAGCCTGAAAAAGTCACATTCAAGGCTAGGGACTAGCAGAGAGAAAGCACATCAGGACCCCAATAGAAACCTCTGAACTAAAGAAGCAGCACACTACATTGTTTCCATTGATGGATTTCTGACAAACTATTTTTCCTAACTCATCTTTGTGTTCTAATAAAATTTGTACCTTGACGTACCTAATACCCCAGGTTTGGGCCAGGCCTGTTATGTCGCCCTCTCACCCAGTTCTACAGGTTTCTTATCACCTTCCCCATCTTCAAGCTCACAAAAATCCTGTAAAGAGGACCGACCAAGGAAATAGGCCTATTAAATAGGTGACTTTTTAAAATGGGAGAATTTGGTACCGATTCAGAAAAAGACTTGATGACAATGTTACTTGTTGAACAAAGGTTATCCCAAACTAAGCAGATCAAACTGGAATGCAGAAAGGAGCAGGCTCCCCCTCTAGGAATTTCTGTTGGTTAGAATGTTCCTGAGCTTAGCATCTCTATGTATGGTCTCCAGAGTTAATGTACCATATTTTCCATGGTTTGATGAAGACTCCAGAGCCCTTAAGATATGAATTGCTATAATTCCTAAATCAAACAGCATTCAATTCAGTTCCAGACCATTTCAGGGTAATAAGACCGGTATTTCTTATTTTAATTAGTCATTTTATACTTCTAACAACTTCTTTGACAATCTTGGATTACTTGTTTGTTTATATGTGATAAAAGCCATGTTTCGCTAAAAATACGAATGCTACATTTGAATGTCCATTTACATTTTAGTAGTTATGGAAATAAACTATCGAGGCCTTTAGATTATGGCTTTTTATAGACACTGAATACAATCACCTAATCTATTTTAATATTATCCCTTTCAGCTGTCTCGTGAGCATCCCCTAACACAGCAGAGATATCAAGTTGATAATATAAATTCAAGACAAAATGTCTGAACACTCATCAGAAACTGTCTTTTAGTTTGCAGAGAAATTTGTGCCTGACATTTGAAATTTTCAAGATAAATAAAAAAATCGTGGCCACATAGAAGTATTATGTTCTATTTCTAGATTTTAAATTCCTTCAGTGTGAAGACTGTTTCTTATCCTTGTCTCCTGAATACAGTCTCTTTATACATGATGCTTACCCAAGAAAATTTTTATTGCATTAATAAATGTGAAAATGAGTGGTGTTCATATCATGATTAAAAACTATTTTTTCTCCAAGTCTATATGCTAGTTAGTGAAAGCATCCCCTAAGCACAAAAAAAACTAAAATAATATGAAAAAGTATATAAACATATATATGTGTGTATAGATATATAGATACAATGATATATATTCATCCTTTGATCACAGACAGTTATATATTTCCTATTGATTATATATCTACTATGTTTAATGTTCCGCATCACATATTTTTTAATAAATTAATTCCAGCTGGGCACGGTGGCTCATGGCTGTAATCCAGGCACTTTGGGAAGTCATAGCAGAGGATTGTTTGTGCCCAGGAGTTCGGGACCAGCTTGGGAAACATGGTGAGACCCAATCTCTACAAAAAGTTGGGAAAAAAAAATTAACCTGGCATGGTGGTGTTTCTGTAATCCTAGCTGCTAGGGAAGTTGAGGCGGGAGAATTGCTTGAGCCTGGGAGGTTGAGGCTGCAGTGAACTGTGACGGCACCACGGCACTGCAGCCTGGGTGACAGAGTGAGCCCCTGTCTCAAAAATTTTATTTTTATATAAAATAAAAATACATTAATTCTTAGCATAGGCATACAAAGGGAATTACATTCTCCATGTCACAAAGAAGTGAAATAATGCTTCTTTGTGCATTATTTTGCATAGCTGAAATGCACCAGAGTCACGATTCAGTCTAAACTGTACCTGCCTATCTTCAGGTAGCACAGTCACTCATTTCACCCCTTGCTCCCACGGCTGGCAGAATTCTGGAATGACTCATCCTGAGTGCAAATTGAGCAGCCCCAGATGCCATGCCCGTGAAAGAGAGCTGAGACACTGATCCAGTCTCTCCAAGTCTTTCGGTGTTTGCTCAAAGGTTATTACCAAACTTTAAAACCAAAACAGCTCTAAATATACATGTTCCTCAAAATTAGATATGCTGACAAGAGAAATGGAGACCAAGTTTTTAAAGCTCAAAATGAATTTCAGCGTTACAGAGTTCTTTATACATAGGGACCATTTGGAAGCCCCAAGGAAGCGACCTGCGATGGGAAACAAAGCTCTTGTCCCCACTCCTCCAGCGCCCGGTGTGTAACTTTAACAAGTCACTTATGTGCCTTAGAATGCAGTGTCCTTCCTTCTAATGAAATTGTATATAAAATTAAAACGTTGAGAACAAATACAAGAGGAACTGCTGGCTGCCACCCAGGCAGCCTCCCTCCTGATGCCTTGGTAACAGCTTCTGGGCCTCTCAGTGAAACTCTGGGATCCTGAGTACTCAGGTACCTATTAATCTAAGCCATATGATCATGACACTCCTAACTATAGCCTCAACTAATATAATTTTTTAGAATTCCTATGGGAACCAGTTTACAAAAAGAGAACCCGTGAGTCATGATCATGATCATATGGGTAACCAAGAAACATAACTTCCAGAATTTATTCTTGGTTTCTGTAACTGCAAGTTGCAAATGCCCTGAAAAGGTCTGATTTTGTTCCTGATACAAAGAATGGATGTCACTGTTTTACAAGCTTGAGAACCACAGATGCAAGCCCAACCTTGCTAGAATCGGCTAATGAAATGCTGGATGTGGAGGCGACCCCACAAGACATTGCAGGCCCAGAGAGGTGAATGTGGGGGCCATGGTCATGAAATGGTGTCAGTCCCATAAGCTGAAGGATCGTCTAGGGAGTGCAGGCCAGTGAGAAGAGAGGAGCCCAGGATAGACCCCAGGGACCCCAGGGAGCCCCCTGCTCATTCAGGAGCAGCCAGCCTGAGTGAGGCCAGCAGGAGAGGGTGCTGTGTCCAAGGCCAGGAGTTTCAGAAGGAGGGAGCTTCCCGAGCTTCCAGAGTTGCTGAACGTGCTGAATGAAGGCTAAGTAAGGGGCGACAAAGCAGCCCAACCTGTGGCAGCCTTGACAAGAACACAGGGAGTGCAGCGAGGGGCAGAAGCCTGGCCCCCCTGGGCCCAGGAGGAGCCCGCATGGAAAAAACGGGTCCAGTATGGTCAGTGCCACCCGCAGGGCTGCCTGCTCTGATACCCTGTGCTAGGAAGTCAGTGCCCCATGCCAGCCTGGACATTCTTAAGACTTTTGTCTTTCAGTTTGTTTTGTAAGTGAAGTCTGATGGGACAATGGGCAGAAAAGCATGCACTGGGGCCCTGGGTCCTCATGTCTGCATAGTTCCACCTCCTCCTTCGGCCTCCAGGGGTTGGGGTCTCCCCACTGCCACCACTGCCACCCTCCACCACATGTTGACTGAGAGAGACCACCGTTCTGCCCCCTGATCCCCAGTGGGGACCTGGGCCAGGATGTGTGAAGGTCGGGCTTTGCCGTGGGCCTCGTGACATCTCGGGCAGGGGCCCATGGCCATCTCCATCCCTCAGTGCATTTGGGGGCAGGTCTGTGGTGTCTTCCTGCCTACCCATGATCCAGGTCCAGAGCGCATCTGGTGCAGAGGCTGCAATCCCTGGAGGAGTGTCTTCCACCGGCGTTGCACAGCCACCTGGGAAGGGAACATTAACTTCCTACCTGAGTGGGCCCTACATTATCGTTTTGCATGGGGCCCAGCAAATTATGTAGCTAGTGAAGGTGGTAACTTCATGAGGTTCAACTTTGAAAAGGAGCAGAGAGGTGGCACAGAACCTGGCAGGAGATGTAAGATCAAACAAAATTTCTCATTTTTTAGGGTGGGCAGTGCTGTGTATGTCTATGGTTTTGGGGATAAACGCATAGGAGGGAAAGACTGAGGCAGCAAGAGAGGGATGGGAGGAGAGCTACAGGTGGGAAGTCCTTTCAAAGCAACAAGAGCTAGCGGTGAGCCAGATGGCCTTCGCCTAGCAACGCAGGAAGGAAAAAGGCAGAGGTTTGGTGATGGCAGGATGAGGAAGGGCGAGGCTGCCCCCTTCCATTTAGTGCATCATATCTAAGCAATTGCCCTGGCTGAGTGTGAAGGTGGAGGAGGCATGTGGAAGTCAGTGGAGAGATGCCAGTCCCGGCAAGGGGAGAGCAGGAGAACCAGAGGGTCTAGTGGGATGGACGGCTTCCTCTGCGCCACTTTTTGCAATGTTTAGTTGTTTTGTCTATTTATCTGTGTTATTTGCATTTTGTCTCTCTCCCTGATGAGAATGTGAACTCTGTGAGAAGCCCTACCCCCAGGCCCAGGGCCTGGCTCATGGTGGAACTCAGCAAAGTTGTTAGTAGAAAAAAGGGACCAAGGATGGCAGGTAAGGAGGAGATGTCAGGTCTCGTAGCCTAATGTAATCATTATTCAGGTTTAGCCTATGTCTCCTAGAAAAAGGTGTGAATTTGACATAATTAACACCTCAGGGGCCAAATAATCTGGAAATGATTTGCAGCTTGTGAATTGATGGGACCGTGCTGTGGCCTCATAACTGGATGTGCTGAATGAGGACTCTATCCCCGGCACACCCTACCTGCCTCCATACTCAGTACTCAGTACACTTGTTTTCTCACCCTTTGGGAATATGGGTAGTATCCCCTTGGCCTGTTACCCCTTCGGTGTGCAGTGCTGACTTCACTGAAGGTGGAGATGGTTGTGAAGCCATTCGTCTTCTCCTGGGGTAGCTGAGCCCTCACAAACAGCAGGTACCTTTCCTTCTGGGTTATTCTGCAGCACGTCAAAGGCTGGCCCAGAAGAGAACGTAATTACTGTGACTAAGTTCAGGCTCTTCCCCAAATCGTACCTGACTGGCGAGTGAGGGAGGGAGTATTTAATGAGGAAGGGCTCATGGGGTAAAGGCTAATGGGCAGGGCTTTGGCAGGGTGGAAGCGGAGATACACCAGAATAGTGGCAACAGAGGTCAGCTGCTGCTGAGATGCCTTTGTGTCTCTGCTGCGGGGAGTGTCAAATCTGCTTCTGATGGGCTAAATGCAAGCATTCAGCTATTGAGTAGGTCTTTCAGATCCAACATACAACATTTCTGGGGAGACCCGACTAGAGTCCACGTTCTGTATCATGATATGGGAGTCCTGTGGTCTGCACGGCCACACTGAATGTCTGCAGTGAGCTTTCTCTCTCCAGCCAGTCCTAGCCATGTGAAGCTCCTCTGAGGTGAACTGCAGGCCAGCATCATTTTCTCCCCATTTTACTGTAAAGAAACTGAGGCATAGTATGTGAAATAGATAACAGATTTATTTATTTATTGAGACGGAGTTTTGCTCTTGTCGCCCAGGCTGGAGTGCAATGGCAAGATCTTGGCTCACTGCAACCTCCGTCTCCTGGGTTCAAGCAATTCTTCTGCCTCAGCCTCCCAGGTACCTGGGACTATGGGCATGTGCCACTATGCCAGGCTATTTTTTTTTTTTTTTAGTAGAAATGGGGTTTCACCATTTTGGCCAGGCTGGTCTCGAACTCCTGACCTCAGGTGATCTGCCCGCCTTGGCCTCCCAAAGTGCTGGGATTACAGGCGTGAGCCACTGTGCCCTGCTCAGATCTTTACATTGTAGAAAACTTTCCAAATGTACAAAATACATTCACATGTATTATTTTATTTGGCTTCCATAACAACTACAGCAGGTGACCTAGACAGGTATGACTATTCCCATTTCGTAGAAGTCAGAGGGACTAACGTTGCACGGTTGATACGTGGTAGATTTAGAACCCAGGTCATTGGGTTTCTAGTTTCGTGCACTTTTGACCTCACTGCCCTCCTTTATAACCAGATACTGGCCAGAGATAGTCACGGTTCTGCAGTCAGCTGCTCCAGACCCCTGAGGGAATTAACTGGGGTTAATTCCCAGTTCCCTGGGGACTAAGGATCTCTTACTCTTCTCTCCAGAACTGGGAGCTGCTTCCTTCAACTCTAGCCTAAAATGCTGGCTGGAAAGTAGGATACTAGCCTCAAAAGGGGAGGAAACTCAAATAAGCTCATGATAACTGAGTATCAAAGGGAAATGGCCACAATCCAAATCCTTCTTGCTCCATGTACATCTCCTAGATGGAATCAGTGAATTCGAAGAGATATATGGCCGAGGGAGATTGCCCAATTCCCCAGGGCTGCTTCCAAGACCCAGATGTCAGTAGCGGTGCTGGAGAGGGACGACTTATAACCATATGCCAATAACTTCAAACAGAACTTCAGATGGCTTTCATGGACCCCAGACACTTTTGCCTGCATAAGTCCCTTCCTCCATAAAAATAAGATTAAAAATAATATTTTCCAACTGTGTTGGTATAAAACAAATATATTAATATTTTATATTAAATTTTTTTCTAACCTTAAACTTTATTTTTTTTTCTGAATTTATAAGAAATGAAAACATTTTTGTGCTCTACTAAAAGTATTGCCGACCTTAGGCACTGCGCCCCTAGGCCTAATATGTAGGCCAGAGGTGGCTTAAAAATTCCAGGCCCTCCCTGAGCCACATGCTCTGCCTTCTCTCCCTATTGTTTTTTGCTGTTGTGTTTTAGTTTTCAAAAATGATGACTAATCCCAACCATGTCATAATAGAAGAGCAAAGAAGGAAAACTTTTATTTCTTCTCTATGATGTCAGAGAATTCTCAAATCTCTGGCTACGGTTTTAATCCTCTGCTTTTGTTAAACTTCCAAGTGTTGCATTGTCACCAAATACATTAGTGCTACAAAATATCATTAAGTCAGCTGAGCTCACCCTTCCAGCTGTTACAATAAATGGGCAAAATAAAGGAAAACCAAAACCCCAAGCGGTTTTAACAACGTGATGATTGATGATTGAGTTCTATTTCTCTTTCCTCCTCCCCTGTATTTGGCTGCAAACTACTTAAGCCACCTCCCCAGCGTTTTTGGCCCTTGAGTAGGAGTGTGCCCTTGCCAATGCAGAGAAATCGAGCTAGGCTTTCAGGCTTGGAATCCACTATGTACTCAACTCCCAAGCCTTTTGAGCTTCAGCCATAATTAGTTGTAATGTGTTTATGGGGCCAAGAGAATTTAAAACATGCAAGACATGAGTCAGGACAGGATGATATCAAAATCCTTATTTATTCTGGGTTTTAGTCTAATCTCATTGGGTTCCACACGCATCGTTGTTTTTCTTGAATATTAGCAAGGTAGGGAAAGATGGGAAATCCCTGCAGGATTTAGACATTCAGGCCCGTACCCAACCAATCCTTGTGGAAGGGTTTATGTTTCTTAAACTCATATCCTACACAATGGGCTCGGCCCTGGAAGGTCATGTTTTGTTTTCCTTTCATTTGGCTAATAACCCAGTAAATATTTGCTCTCATGACCAAAAATCATCCTGAAATACATGCAAGCATATTGAATGTCAAGAAAAACATGGGCATATGGCGAAAAGCCGTGGAAGAGGAAGAGAGTATGACATTGCAAAGCTGCCTTCACTTTCTGCAGCCACCGAGCAGTTCTAAAGGAACTCCTAATACAGTGATGCAAAATCTATGCAGTTTCAAGGACTCCTTGTAAATTCTTTCCATTTCCACGGCCCGTGCCTTCTATAAACATTGTTTTCTGAAGACATAGCCTGGACTGGCTTCTGAGAGCAGCCAAGTAGGCAACAAATTCCACAGTACTACTTGAAAACCTTTAAGAAAGTACACTTCCCCCAGAGAGATCCCAACCTACACCCATCTCCAGCCCCACTCCTCAGACCTACCATCGTGCTGAGTCCACCATTCTGAATATTACTCAGTCTTCAAAAAGAATGAAATTCTTACACACGTTATAGTGTGGATGAACCTTGAAGACATTATACTAAGTGAAATAAGCCAGATGCAAAAGCCTATGTATTGCACGATTTCACTTAGATGTTGTGGACTGAATGTCTGTGTCTCCCCAGAATTCAAATGTTGAAATCCAAACATCCAATGTGAAGCTATTAGGAGGTGGGGGCTTTGAGAGGTGATTAGGTCCTGACAGTGGAGTCCTCATGATGGGATTAGTGCCAGTATAAGAAGAGACACAGGAACTTGCTTCCTCTGCCATATGAGGACACAGCAAGAAGACAGCCATTTGCAAACCGGGAAGAAAACCATCATCAGAGCCTAGTGCATGGTATTTTTGTTACAGTAGCCAGAAATGACTAACACATATGAGATACCTAGAATAATCAAACTCATAGAGACAGAAAGGTAGTTGCCAGGAGCTGGAGGGGAGAGGAGAATGAGGAGTCAATGTTAATGGATTTTCGGTTTGAGAAGAGGAATGAATTAAACACATTCATGTTGTTGTGCGACCATCACCACTATTCATCTCCATTTCTGGAGATGTATATTTTACTATAATTTTTTTTTAAAAAAAGATTTCACCATTCATGTCATTTCCTTGTGTAATGGCCTCTCTCCAACAAGCCTCCATTATAGTGCAATTACCCCAAGGCAGCCCCTACCTTCATCAACAGTCACTAATGTGGGAAGAGCAAGGTAGGAACCTAATCTGGGGTCCATGGGTTCTGGCTCCCGCTGGGGAGTGGGGGATCTATAAGAGGATGTGAAATGGTTGTGGAGGGCAGGAATGAGAGACACAGAAAATGAGACAGAGAACCAGAGAGAGAGAGAGAGAGAGAGAGAGAGAGAGAGAGAGAGAGAGAGAGAGAGACAGACAGCAAGCACCAAAATTGTTTCTAGGACAGGGGTCATGGTTTTCATTAGATTCTCTAGTGAATCTGAGCCCTCTTCCAGACCCGCTGTCCCCAAAAAAGCCCCAACCTTACAAGGCATTAGTTGATGGGGTTAATCCTTGTCTTTGGGGTGGAAGGAAAGTGACAGTAAGGAACATCCTGAGGCTACTAGCTGTCCTTTATGGAACGCTGGTTATGTGCAAGGCACTCCTCTGCACATCTCTACAGGGTTACTTCAAATGATTCATCTAGCATCTACACAGGAGCTACTAGATACTTTTCCAGCTTTAATTCTTTTTTAATGGGGGTAAAATATACTTAACATAAAATTTACCATTTTAACTATTTTAATGCAGTTCAGTGGAATTAAGTACATTCACATTGCTGTGCAACCCATCTCTAGAAATTTTTTATCTTGCAAAACTGAAACTCTGTACCTGTTAAACTCCTCATTCTCTCCTCCCTCCAGCCATTGGCAACCACCCTTCTACTTTCTATCTGTATGTATTTGACTACTCTAGGCACCTCATGTAAGTGGAATCATGTACTTTTATGTCGGGTTTATTCCACTTAGCATTATGTTCTTAAGGTTCATTCGTGTTGCAGCATGTGTCAGAATTTCCTTCCTTTTTCAGCTAAGCAATATTTCATCGTGTGGATAGACCACCTGTTATTTACCCATTCATTCATAAATGGACTCTTGTGTTATTCCCGCCTTTTGGCTATTGTGAATAATGCTGCCATGAACATGGTGTACAAATAGGAGCTGTTAGTATTATCTTCATCTTGTAAAGGAGGACATGGATACAGAGAAGGAAGTCACTGTTAAAAGTCACACAACTGATGATAGTGGAGCCAGGATTTGAACCCGGAGCAGTGGACCCCAAAGCCCATACCAAGGACATTTGTGTCTTGATCCATTTATTAAAAGCAAGCAGAGTAAGAGGGTCAAGAACTATCATATTTACGTTAAATTTCCTTCTTCATAGCCCATCGATGCCCAAAAAGTACTTCCAACTTACTAAAATAATTAAATAGATAACACATAACATTGAAAACCATTACAACAAGAATGAGCCAGAAGCAAGTAATAGGAGAATGTTGGGGGACGGATATAAGAATCCCTGGCTGCTTAGCTTAATGTAAGTGGTGGCAGGTCTTTCTGGAACATCAGTTTTACTCCAATATTTGGGGGAAGACACTAGTTTGTTTCATTGGTAATGTAAAGTCATACTTTTATATTAGAAGAGGTATTGACATGACTTAAAAAAAGAAGTTTACATAAATTTTCATATTTTGTAATTTTTTTTGAGACAATGTCTTGCTTTGTTGCCCAGGCTGAAGGGCAGTGGCATGGTTATGTCTCATTGCAGCCTCAAACTCCTGGGCTCGAGTGATCCTCCCACCTCAGCCTCCCGAGTAGCTGGGACGGCAGTCACACACCACCACCCACCACTCCTGGCCAATTTTTTTGTAATTTTTGTAGTGATGGGGTTTCACCATGTTGCCCAAGCTGGTTTCAAACTCCTGGGCTCAAGCTACCTCTGCCTCCCACCTCTGCCTCCCAAAGTGTCGCGGGATTATAGGCGTGAGGCACCAGGCCTGGACAGTACATTTTTATTTTGCAAATTTTATGATAAAAACTTTCAACTATAAGCAAAAGTATAGAAATTTTAATATAGTGAGTCCCTGTATTGCCTCTCTAAACTTAACTGTTAGTGAGATTTTTTGTATCATTTATTCATATTTCTCTTTCTGCCTTCCTTCTCCCTTTCTTCTTTTCTTTTTAATTGGTAAAGAAATTTAAAATAAATTCCAACCTTCATGTCATTTCACACCTATGTACTTAGCATATGTATCTTTTAAAAAAAGACAGATATTTTGTTACATAACTAACATGCCATTATCACATCTTAAAAATTAAAAACTAATTTCTTGGTGAAATGTTACCCTCCTTCCATATTCAAACTTCCCTGAGTGTATCAGTTTGTCTATTGCCATTTGGCCTGTCTGAATCAGGATCCCAACAAGATTCATATATTTTGTGGCTGATAGCCTCTTAAGACTCTTTTAATCCACAGCTGGTTCCACCCTGTTTTTGTGTCACTGGTTCTTGGAAGGTCAGCCAGGTCAGTTGTCCCATAGAAGTCTCTCTCCCTGGGTGCTTCTGCTCGCTTCTTCTCGATGTCATTTAACTGATATTTCTCTCTCTGTATTTTCTGTAAATTGAAGGTTAGCACTACAGAATCCGTTAAATTGTTCCAATTCAACTCTAAATCTTTTGTGTTTTGCTTTTTCTACAAGAATATTTCTTTTTTTTTTTTTTTTTTTTGAGATGGAGTTGTGCTTGTCACCCAGGCTGGAATGCAATGGTGCGATCTTGGCTCACTGCAACATCTGCCTCCTGGGTTCAAGCGATTCTCCTGCCTCAGCCTCCTGAGTAGCTGGGATTACAAGCGTGCACTACCACGTCCAGCTAATTTTTGTATTTTTTGAAGAGACAGGATTTTACCACGTTGGCCAGCCTAGTCTCGAACTCCTGACCTCAGGTGACCCACCCACCTTGGCCTCCCAAAGCGCTACAAGAATATTTCATAAGTGAAGCTGGGCACTCCTTATTACATCCTATCAAAAGACCCCTACTGTCAGGCTGTCCCTGTCTTGGTAAGGTTCAGATGGTGACAGCCACTTTTTCCAATATTAAAATCGCCACCAAACTTGCATTTACTGGTTTCCTTGTTGATCATTTGTGCCCCCCTGAATCAGATACTACTTGATTGTTCCAAAACAGTGACTTTTAAATTATGCAGTAGCTCTGCATAACAAACTATCCCAAAACTTGATGGCCTAAAACAATTATTTGTGCACAATTCCATAGGTCACAATTTGGGTATAGCTTTGCTGAGCAGTTTTTTCTGATCGAGCCATGTGGCATTAGCTGAATTCTTTCATTCTCCTGCACCCAGCTGGTGGCTGGGCTGGCAAGTCCAACAAGGTCTTGCTCATGGGCCTGGCTCCTCAGTGGTCATCCTCTCTTTCCAAATGGCTAGCTTGGGCTTCCTTATAGCTTGATGGTCTCTGGGTTGCTTTTGTGACTGGCTTTGAAGAGGGTGTTCTAGTGATAAAGGCAGAAGCTATGGGTCTCTTAAGGCCCAGCCTTGAGAGTTACAGAGCATCACATCCATCTCATTCTATTGGCCAGAGCAAGTCATGGGACCATTGTAGATCGAAAGGATTTGAAATAGACTCTACCTCTTGCTGGGGAGTCACAAGGTCACAGTGCAAAAGAGGATGG
This sequence comes from Homo sapiens, assembly GCF_000001405.40. Classification (NCBI taxonomy): domain Eukaryota; kingdom Metazoa; phylum Chordata; class Mammalia; order Primates; family Hominidae; genus Homo; species Homo sapiens. The sequence continues at coordinate 104,695,886 of NC_000002.12, forward strand.
GAAGTACCATTGTGGCCATCTTTGGGAGCACAGTCGTAATCATGTGAGGGCAGGTGACGTGGTGACAGCCTAATCCCTCCACCATAAAGTTCCCATCACACTTTCATCTCACAGTGTCCTCCACTGGTGTACTTTGCAGAGTCAGATCATCCATTACATGTCATAAAGGGTGAGCTTCTAATTTGGTTTATTTTTCCACCTTTTTTGTAAATAATTTTCTTTCATCAGCTAAGGCTATCACACTAGTCCTCAAAAGGCATGATAAATGCTTTGTTCCTTTCCTTCCATTGCCAACATTCAAAGGATTTGAAGTCCTAATTACCTACAATGGTCACCAGTGAATTGTTTTGTTTTGTGTGTGCACTTTGTTTTGTTTTGTTGTTGTTTCTAAACTCCCCCTCTCAGTATCACGGAGAGTTCATGTTTTTACACATTTAGTGTATTTCAATAATTAATCATCATTTTTTGATGCTCAACTTGCTCTGTCTTTGGCCAGTGGTCCCCTTGCATATTGTCTAGTGTGTCATTTTGACATGCGCCCACTAGTCCTCGATAGCTTCCGTTTTTTTCTGACATACCAAAATGTCCAGCTTCATTTACGTATTTTCTGTCCGAAAACTGATTTCTTTCATTGGGAAATAGTATTTACAGACCACCCTTCAGGCACTAGGAGTAGTTAGTGCTGCAATGTTGCCTTTGCTTTTAGGTGGGGCTACTAAAAAAACATAATAAACAAATCATGAGTTAATCTTGCTATTTTCAATTATATTGCAGGAATTTTTCTTATCGTTTGGCTTTACACTTGTACTTTTTTTCTCTTATGTTAAAAATATTGGCTTCAAATTATTTGCTGTATCATACAAACTATGTAGAATTATCACAAAGTATGATTACTAACATTACTACTAAAAGTAAGATTGCAGAATGGAGTTGAACACTGTGTGGCAGCATTATTTGTTCCTATAAAATATTTCATCGTGGATGCACAGGTTAAATAACATCTTCTAAAGTCACTTGAAATCATTATTTCTTCTGTGTGATTATGTCACCAAATTGATGTAGAGTTGGCTCATTCAACTCTACATCAATTTCAGTATATTTTGAAATTTAAACTGTATGTTTCTTGAATCTACAAAACATAGACATGATTCAGAGGCATCTCCTTTCGTTCTGTCCCCTGTGCCTTCTTCTACAGATAATGATTTATATTTATTTTTCATTTATGTCTTCAGGGTTGCTTTTTGAAAATATAAGCAAATCAGTAAATATATTTATATCGCCTCTCTTTCTTACACAAAAGGTTTGTGTTCCACATTTCTCACTTTTTTTTTTTTGTATAGACTTTCTTTGTGTGGATCCTCTATTGTTTATTCCCACAGTCCCCTATTAATGGAGACACCTGGGTTGATTCCAGTCCTCTGCTAATACAAATATGCTGCAATTAATAGTTTTGTGCATATGCCTTATAGTATTTTTGGCAGTGTGTCTACAGGATAGATTCCTAGAAGTGAGAGCTCTGTTTCAAAGGGTCAAATCCTATGTAAGTTTTCTGGATGTTGCCTAATTTCCCTCCATAAGGGGTCGTACCCTTTTACACCTTTCCTAGCAATATAGAATAGGGCCTATTACCTCACAGGCTCACCCACCAATGATGCTGACATACATGAGTTTTTGCCAATCTGGTGTCTAAACGTACTCTTAATTTGCATTTCTTTCACTCTAGCATCTTTTCCTGTATTTGAGGGCCTTTTCTTTTCTCCTGGGAACTGCCTGCTGATGTCCTTTACACATTTTTCCATCAGATTCTTCATCTTTTCTTCATAAATTTTAGGAGCTCTTTAAGACGAACGGCATTAGCCTTTATCATACAAGTCTGCCAAGGTTTGCCTTTGGAATCTCTTTATGGTGTTTTTTGCCCACACAGGTTTTGAGACAACACCTGACATCTTGAAGCACACCAAGGTTCTGTGGAAACATCTGAGAAGTTGCTTCTCCGACTCAGTTAAGCTACTGCAATTTGTAATCAGACTCAACTCTAAGCCTCCTGGATCCCACTTCACAAGCCAATCTGATCGGAAGTATCTTAACACAAAGGAAGGCTGAGGTTTGTCCCTTTGCTTAGAAGCAATGGAAATGTCAGGGCACCCGTAGAGAGGGCAGCTGCTTCAGAGACCTTCAGGAGGTGCCCTCACTCCTGGAGCTACTCAGCTTAGATGGGAGCAGTGGTTGTGGTTTTCGAGCATTGTCCCTGCCTGAGTCTGAGGTGAGAATCATGTCCTTCTGACACAATGCTCAACTGGAGTGCATTATATTTATGCTATGAGGACTCAGAGAAATGGTTCGTGGGAACGTCACCATTTTATATGTCCAGGCATCCCATCAATTCAGTATGACACCTTCTCAGTGACCGACTCACTCTTGGGTTCCATGACTAGAGAAAGCAGGGACCCACAACAAGGGATAGAATACAGTGGTGGTTTTAGTGACAGAGAAGAACAAGATGGTCTATTCGTGTGACCTGATGCCCAATGAGGCTGAGAGGAGTATCAAGTCACTTCACTCTAAGTCAAGAGAAAGAAAAGTGAAGCCAACATTGGATTGATGATGTCATGATCTTGTCTGTTCCCGATCCTAATCATGACCCAACAATTTAAAAGTAATAATGAAATAATGATATCCCAACGCGTGATTTTACATCATGCTTCAGAATTTACAAAACACTTTTGCATTTTATGCTTACAAGAGCCATACCAGTGTGTGGTAAAGTGTGCTTGAAAGCCACAGAAAACCCAAGCTACATGAGGTTAAGTTGCTAGGATCACACAGCTAAGAAAGGGGGAGCCTCAGCTGGACTCCAAACCAAGGCTGGCTGTGGGCGTGTGTTGTGCCTCCAGTCACACAGGACCCTGTGCCCAGGAGGGCCCATGCTTGGTTTAATGCTCTGCTGAGATTCACTTTTACCACTTTTGTACATGGGGAATACATTTTGTATTTTCATTTTGCACAGAGCTCCTCAAATTGGGTAGCCAGTCCTGCCCAGACTGCATGTGATTTTTCTCCTAAGAATTAAAGTAGCAAATCTAAACTTTTTGAAATACAATTTCTTGAATATCCTCTGTTTCAAACGGAATTGATACTTAGGTTTTGTGTAAAGACAAGGACCACGTTATTGAAAACCTTATCACCCACCAGATGAAGCTCTGGGGGCTTCACGTGTTAGCCCCTAGCCTAGGGCCACAAGACCACTTCAGATAACATTTTTTGGTGCCTAAGACATATAGGAAATAGCTGCTTTATTATTCAAATCAGGCCAAATTCCCCTGCAAAACAAATAAATGGAGTAGAAGGATTTGTTTTAAAAAAGAGAGAGAGAAGAGAAATGTTTATTTTACTGGAATTTTATTATACCAAATATTGTTCCAATATGTAGGCCGTGATGTGGCACTCTAAAATCTAGTTCTTGTAAAGAGATATATAAGAAAGCCATGTTTGTGTTGGTAAGATTTAATAATCAATCCCCTAGTGAGCTGGGAGAATTCTTGCCACTTTCAAAGACACCTGCCTTAACCGTAAGACCTATGGAAATCTCATTTGTGGTGTCATTCTGGGATCACAAAAGGATTCCATTTAAAATGCATCGTTAATTTTTCTACAGAAATGGATATAGATTGCTATCTAACATTTGGAAATTCATAGATTAATTAATTTAAAAGAAGTTCAATGAAAGGAAAGAAGAGAAAATGAGCAGTGATAGCTAAAGATAAAGAAAGCCTGATCAATGTATATTTGCTTTTTCAAAAAGCATTTAATAGGAAACCCCTCATACTCTGGGCCCCTTACTGACCACTGCAGTTCTGGGAGAAATGATGTAAACATAAAACATTTTAGTAAATATAATTATAATGAGTTCTAATCACTTAAGAGTATATATTTTTTCTTTGCACCATGGGTCATATGTGAAATTGTTTTATTAATTTTAAAAGAGAGAGAAATGCTTCCTAACACACATTAGTTGGAATAGCGTAATGGCCAGTATAACCAGTTTCTTAAACAAGTCAATTAGAGGAGACGATCTTTCAGGTATCCCATTTGATTTATTATTCACTTGGGAATTAACAGAGAATGGATCATGATATAAATTCCTCTGTAGGTTTTATTATATTGGCATTTTGGTGGATAGATAATATATAGAACCCCTGGGCCTATCACTATCAAGGATGCTATTGATTGTATCAGCAGCATTATCCTGCAATTTTCCCTCATAACTATTTATGCATCTCTCTGTGATTTGTAATTCAGCAGTAATCATTTTCTGTGGCTGCTGCAATTTTCTTTCCATGTGGTACCTAGGCTATGTACTGAAACAAGGCTTGATTTTAAGCCCAAAGATTTGGGGTTTCGTTTTAGAATAATAGAGAGGAGATCAAAGAAGTTTTAGAATTAGAATTAATTGTTAAGGATGAGGAGGAAACATTAGTCCTTTATTTTATTAGTTCCATGGGTGGATGAGAGATAAGCAGTGGCAAAGTGGGAGAACACAGATAAAATCAGAGGTGATTTCATCAGGGTAGCAGGAGAGGAAATTAGCAGGAACTTGATGCTTGGACAAAGTTGAGTCTACTTTTCCCTGCTGGCTCCTTTGGGGGCTGCTTCTGAGCACTTCGTGGGCTTGGAAAGGGAGTAGAATCTTTTTAAAGCCCTGCTTATCCCCTCAGGGAGAAAAAAAAATCTCTGAGGGCCCTGGACTTGGACTGAAACAGAGTTTCAACAGGGTTGAAACCTTGCTCTGGGAACAGAGGCACCAAGCAAGTTTGGGGAGGAAGGGCTAGCTTTTACTTGCCTAACTGAAGAGTGGCAACATGAAGGTGATGCACAAAACACACTTGTTTACTTTTCTCCATCCATAGTGAGGAAGAAACACACAGAAGAGAACGGTTGTAGCACCCAGGTTGCAGGTGCATCAGAAATAGAGAAATGTATTCACACCTTGAAGTTGATGCCGAGGGCTTCTTAAGGAAACTCTAGAGGATGGGAAAGGAGTACTTCGATTAGGTCTCCGTGACTCAGGATAGCTAACATCCCAGAACTTTCACTCGTAATTTTGCTCAGACTTCGTCTCCAAGATCACATGTTCTCAGTCACAGAACCATGAGTCGTTATATTTCATCCAAAGATGACCTGCAATCCTGCCATGTTTTGCAGCTGCCACACCCACAGCAGTGCACCTGATTTTCTGTTGATTAAAATGGTCCAACAGCGGGCGCCCCTCCCCACTACCTCGGAAGAGCAACTATTTATCCTTTAGAATCTACCTTGTCCAGGGCTTTTATATGCCTGGCCTTTGAATCGGTCATCTCCTGTTTGTATCGTGACTAAGGGAGAGGCTTTCTGGCAAAATCTTGTCAGTGATGGTGATTTCTCCTCCACATTGCTGCTGAAACTGGGATGCAGACTTCCTTCACATTGGCTTTCTTCTTCAGGAAATGCACAGGAGCCTCTTGCCTTGTAATACACAGTCTGTCTCATTCATAAAGTCTTGTCCTGGAAAATGCCTCATTCATCCCTGCAGAAGACCCGCCGTTGGGAGGGCAGGGGCGTTCGAAACCTTGGGAGACAGAAGACAATAGTGGAGTGCTTGGCAGCAGTGCCTGGGCTGCTTTAGCAACATGCACCCACGCCAGGGAGAGGATAAAACGCTGCAGTTGTTTACTTGCCTCTCTGGAGCAAAAGAGTCTCTTCGCCTACAATATAGATGCCAAATCCTCAGGTCCTGAGTGAGGAAATGATGAGCTTCGCCGGGGATTGGCATGAAGTCCTGTGCTCCAAGATAGCACGGCATTTTACTTGAAAGCATTCGTTGTTTAAAGAGAAAACGAGAATTGTGGGATTTTTTGTCAATCGAGAGTCAGCCAACTTCCTCTCCCACTGGCCGCTCACACAGAATGCCCACCGTGCCCTGCGGTGCCCTGCCACGGAGCCAGGCTGGCCTGCTCTCTGGCCACCGAAGGCACTTGCTTCTCTTTCGGAATCTGATCACAGGCAACTTAAATTTGCCAACGTTACCCATATTAGTAATTGCAAAATAATAAACATGGCAAATTTCCTATTAATAAGGCATCCAGTGTAACTCCTTTTGCAGAAAGAGCTCTCTGGAATCCTAAGCCTAATAGGTCTGTGTTTATTTCTCCACCAGCAGCATAATGTGACTGATTTACAAGAGTTTAACTCAAGTGTTAATCTGACAGTGACGAAGAGCTCCTCACTGGTGCAGTCACTTACACTATCATATTAGTTGCCTCCTCTATTAAAGCAGTGTGGTCGATAATTGGAATGCTTTTATGTCTAGTGGTTCTGACAAGCCTCTTCTTCAGGTCACATATGGGCGGTCTAGCTCTCCGCTCAGCCCAACAGTGGCAAATAATTTAAACTGAGAAAGTATTGTTCTCCTCGTATTGTGGAGCAAGGGCAGTTCAAGGGAAGTGAGACTGTGCACTGGCTACCTGCTGCTGTGCAGTAAAATAAGGTGGACATGATACAGGGTTGGGAGTACAATTAAATCTATTTTGCACCAATGTGTTGCTGGACAGATGAGTTTCCACATGGCAGAGCTTTATGATCTTTAAGGTAGACTGAACTAATAGATTGGTGTGGAGCGCACTGAAGTTACCAAGGATGAGAAAGCAGGCAGTAGTACATTTGAACTACAGGTTTCTCATATGCTCCACGTCATGCTGAGTTTTTATAGCTCCTGGCTTTCAAAAAGCCTGTTTCAAAGAGGTTTGCGCTAGACTGGGCATGCAGTTTTGCTCTGCAGATATTGTCGCTACCGATTTAGTGGAATGCAATTAGGAAGCCTAAATTAAGTGGTAATGGAGAACCAGCTCTTGAAACTGGGGTTTCCACGGCAACCACTGCTTACAATACAGCCTTCAGTTAGTTTTCCCACTTTATCTGCAAAATGCACAATTGAGCTTTAAAACAGCTCGGTGCTGAAAAACGCACTGTAAACAACTGTTTGCAATGAGAGTTTTACACTGTCTTTAAATACAACAAACTATCACATAAAATTTACTTGCCCTCCCTAATAAAGCAAAATCTGGGTTGGCAATCAGTTAGCGATTTTAAAATTTATTATTCCTTTCCCCTGTTTGGATTTATTTTTAAGGGAAGATGCCACGAGTCATTAGGTCTCTTAACTTTGGTCATTCTTGCTGCATTTTCAGCTCCCCTGACAATCTGCCTATCCCACCAGTCCCTTGCTAAAATGTGTTTCATCTTAGCAAATAATTGTTTCAAATAAACATACAATGTGCTCCTTTTCTAGGTTCTTTTCGTATTTTGGTAACATTTTACAGATTCTGCTCGTGTTTTCCCTTTGTAACATGTCATAGATTTGCAAGACTTTCCTATTTACTAATTTGTTATTAATCTTCTTTCCAGCTTACTACTCTTTTAAAAGTCCACGTTTCATTTCTCTGTACATTCGGCAATTAACCATCGAGGCTGTCTTTTGCCAGCCTAACTAGCAAGAGGAGACAGTTAAAAGATAATATCAAAGCAGGTGTATTGCTAAACACAGTTGTTTAAAACAGCTATGAAGAACTTGTACTTTTGTAAAACTCATTTTCTTTCATGGTAGGAATTCCTATTGTTTTATTGTAGAGTTGTCATTTTTGCTTAGGTGCATCAGAAATGCTTACACTCATGCACACGTACACAGCTACACTTACGCATGCATTTTTTTAGTGGGGAAAAAAATCAAATTGGGTTCTGCAAAGAGGAGAGGAGGATGGAATCAAATTTGGGGTCTCCTAGCTGTAATACTCTGTTTAATTGCCAGTCTTAACAGGATGAGCACTGGAACATGTCCGGACAGATCCAGGCAGCTGGTGAAAACTCATGAATTCTCTGCAGCACAGAAGGTAATGTTTCCCAGCAGTTTGTGCTCTCTCAAGGTTGTCGTATTATACGTGTGTTATTTTCACTGCGAGAACATGCAGAGAGGGAGGCAGAGAGCATGTGTGTGTGTGTGTCATTACAGTCCCTCCCATTTATGTGGCATTCAGTGAGAAAACTCGATTCTGGTGTCAGCGGTCATGTCTGAGTCTCTGTCTGATAGGTTCTCTGTAGACGTGGAATATGTCAGGTGGGGAGTGTGCCCTTCACAGTAAGCGTGTACCTTCAGCAGTGCGGCCTGGCTGTTTGAATTCTGATTTGTTTCAGAGTCGTCGGTTTTGACCTAAAGCTGATTTAGGTGGTACCAAAGCTTTATGGAAAACCCCGTTTTTCTTACTACTCAGTCATACTCTCGAGTGGTTCCTACAGTTTTCACATTTTGAGAATATAAATGTTGAAGAAAACCAAAGAGCCACATTAAAAAAAATTGGTTGCTGTTTTAATTTTCGGCTCATGGTGTTTTTAAAAGTGTCTTTATTACATATCTGGACATTGTTTTAAACACCACGTATGCTTTATTGTAGATCTTTGCTATAAAAATATGTCTGTCATCTTAAATCTTTAAGAATTTAATCTTGGAGAAGTTATATACATCTTTTTGTTTAGTAATTGATAAACTTGAGAGATATTCTCCAATCCCATTTCAACTATTGATAAGGCACATTTCATATCTTTCCCATGCCTTAAAATAAAATGTGAATTCAGGGAGTTCTAAATTTAAATCTTCTATGGGAAGAAACCTGGAGTAGTAATGTGCTCACAACTTTTGTAAGGCATCTTGTTTCAACATGGCTGGCATTTTCTGCAAAATACACAAGGACACACTGAAATGATCCTAGTCTGGCAACAATGTGCAGATTGATGTGTGTGCATTCAATTCCATTTGACAAATCTTTGGGGCAAAGAGAAGGTTCCACTGTAAGGAAATATCTTAGCACATTCCAAAAGTGCATTTTTTGCAAGCTATATTTTTAGACTAAACATATGTTCAATGATTTGCCCTCTCCAGGGAGCAGGTTTGCATTCAGGCCACTGAGACGACGGAGGCTGCATCACAGAAGAGGCCGTGGGAGGTCACAGGTACGGCCTCTCCTTCTGACTGTACAATGAACTCTGCAAGCTGTGTGGTCAGAGTGCCAGGGACAGCCAGGAACTGCTGTCATCGTTCCAGGTGGAGCTGACAGACTGTCTCCGAAGCGCCCACCTGCGCGTGCGCCCCCTCTTCCCGGCACAGGCTAGAGATGCGCAGAATCCTAACTACGGCCACCGTTTCCTGCCTCAACGAGCCATGCCCTAAAAGAAACAAATGCATCGCCCCAGAATTCTTAGAAAGTTACAATCATCTGCTTAACTCTTTTAATTTCCTTTTCCTTCAACTTAAACTTTAATTTCAGGTATCTTCTATACAACACAGAAGTCACGCTCTGGATAGAATTAAAAGGAAATTAACTTGGGGTTTAGGGTGGACGTTTTTTGCCTTATTTTGCTTCTTAGTAAATGAAAGTGAAGCCTGAATAATGAGAATATTATTAATCCATCTCCATTTTTCTACTTTAAAGGCACAGCATAGATTTTGGTTCCAGTTGTTACTACTTTAATGAGAGTAATGAATATTCCATGTGAGGGCAGTGTGCATGAAAGTGTGCTGGGAAAGTTCTATGGATCTTTGTGTTTTGTTTCAGTTTTGAGGATTAAATGCAAGTTTAATCCTTTAATGAATATATAAGTCGGTTGATGCCCTTTCTTGAGAAAGTTATGGTTAAATTGTTGTGTCAAATCATTGTATTTCATTCTGTCTCCAGTGTGGGGGTAGCATAGAGAGGTGGTGGGTAGGGCTGGGGGTGAATATGTGTGTTTTTCTTAAGCGACGCTAGTTTTGGAAAATGTAAGGATTCCAAAGGTTAATGTGGATTAAAATGCTGTCTGCCATGAACTTTAGAAATTGAAATAAATGTGGTTGGTAAAAGAAGAACTGTGTTTTGATTACACGGAAATGCTTTTGTAGGCCTTTTCTTTCAGGTGAAGTAAACATCTTAAAAATAAGCACAATAAATATGTTTCTAAGCACGGTGCATTGTAATTGTAATTAGCTCTTCCTCCTTTATGAGGTTGCATGCATCAGATTACGTCTAATTACTCCCAAGCAGTTTGCTGGTTTCCTATTTTTGTGAAAAGTCTCACAATACATCTTTACAACCACAAAGACACTGATTTGCTTATACTGAGGCCTTGATGGGCAACTCGCTTTCTTTTTATGTGAGGGGAAAAATTAAAGGTGAGCATCATTAGGAATCTCTCTTTAAACCCAGTAATCTATGCACACTGCAAAGAATCAATGCCCAGTAGGCGGGCTGGAGTTCTACAATACATTCTTGCACTTATAGGCTTTTCCTTGACCAGGTAGCTCGTAATGCCATAGAAATTGATTATTTGTGATGTTCTTATCATTGTTTAAAACATCTCATTGCTTTTCCTCCACAGATTTGGATTTAGCTTGCCGGACACAGGGTGACTAATGAAGGAAGTCCCTTAATTAGACAGATGTGTCCCAGAGTGCAAGGTGGTGTTGATAGGAAATCTGACCTGAATTGTGTCAAATTCTATTTCAATAGAATTTAAGGTCTCATTTTAGTAGAAATTAAGATGGAACTGAGTTTTCTCTGACTCAAAAGCTTCTTTTGATTAACTCTTTCAACCCTACAAAAAGTACTCAGAGTTTATAGCTTTACCTAGAACACTTAGACATTTTCAAATCCATTTTCCATAGATATATCTTAGCACTTTTATTTTAGTTAACATATGGAGACATGTGACTTCAAATTCAGTGGATGATCTTAAATGCTAATATACAGGTTAACACAAGTTAAAACTAAATTAAAATAAAAAGCAAAATTTTAGATACAAAGGACGAATTATCCAGAAAAAAAAAAAACATAATCTTAGAGCAATAATCTAATAGCAGCTGTACTTAACCTCATGCATGTTTTTATCTAATTTAATAATTCTGGATATTACTTGGTCTCCTGATGGGAGATATATCAATTCAGAACCAAATATTGTTTCATATCCTTTAATGCCTTTAGACAAGCCTTTTTGTTAGAGCAGCATACAGTTAAAAAAAAAAAAGGCACAGCAATATGCTAAATTGGTGTCCAGATAATAGTTACTTTGAGTTCACCTTGTGATAACACTCTGGCAATTTTGGTTGAGCCAAACAAATTGTGCTTTCTGTCCTAATTGAAAATAGCTCCGTTGATCTCTCAACCTCAGCACACCCTGGGGGAAGACACTTAAGCCCTTGGTGAGCGCAAGTGAAAATTTTGTTCTTGCTGAAAACTACATGGACGAATCCTTAGGTAAGTTTTCCTAAAACATCCTGTCAGGCAAAGCCAGTTTTGTGTTTGTGAAAATGCCAAGTCTGCAAGCATCAATATGTCTCTCCTCGTTGCACTGTTTCCTATGTAGTATGCTGCTTTTTCAGAGCTTGGTTATTTCTGCAACTCCAGTTCCTTTGCACACTGTCTGTCGGCACTTAATAAGTATTTTCTTCATTTAATTGAAAAAAACTAAATTAAAAGAGTTTCATAATAATCACATTGGCATATCTTAGCATCTCATAAAATTATTTGCTAAAGTAACTGTCTCCTGTCCAATTATACTGTAAGCCCTTTGAGAGTAGGGATTCTGTCTTATTTATTTTTATATCACCAATGTCTAACAGAGTGCCTGACATAAAGGTGCTGAGTTAGACTGGGGAATGAATGCATGAGCGCATGAAGAATGTGAGGCCTGGTAGCTAGTTCAGTCCCTACCTGAAGCAGAATAGGAAAGTTTTCATGAGGATAGATGGTTGCATTGAGAATATAAAACTACGATAAATTGAGAATGAATCATTTTCAGAGCCAAATATAATTTTTGGAGCCCATGGGATTGCATGTTATTTGTTAAAGATTTGTTAAAGACATGTATAGGATCTGCAACCAAATAGGGTAAGTTCATGCCCTCTCTCCAGCATATTCCAACTGGGGTTACCCAGTTGGAATACAATTGGAGGAAGTTACCACCTCCTCCAATTCTCTGTTTTCTTCCATTAAGTGAAGAAGATAAAATCCTCCTCAGAATTGAGAGTGAAGATTAAATAAGATTGAATATGGACAACGCATGGATTATAAGCACTATACACATTAGGGTTTTTTTTCCTCTTCTGATTTTCAATGAATTGTAATCCCTGTTTTTTATACTGAGAAATCGGGGACCCTGGACTTCATTAAAATGGTTTATTCGTATTTGTAACAAATTTTAAGTCTTTTATATTTTTCAATTATTTTGCTTAATTATTGCCTGGGCAATCTTCCAGGATTATTTTTTGTCTTATTTTCACAGCCCTCATTTTCTGTGTGTTTATTTCCACAATGGTAGACCCTGAATCTCAGCATCTGATAACGACCTATACATCTGGGTAACATTTATGACACAAAATGCAACATAAAGATTTGGTTTTGTTCATCCCACATCTACATATCATTTGCGAGAAGGGAACTTTGCATCATATCTTGTAAAATACGTTCTCCCCCAGAATTTTTTTTTTTTTTTTTTGAGACGGAGTCTCCCTCTGTTCCCCAGGCTAGAGTGCAGTGGCACGATCTCGCCTCACTGCAACCTCCACCTCCCAGGTTCAAGCAATTCTCCTGCCTTAGCATCCCAAGTAGCTGGGATTACAGACATGCACCACCATGCCCAGCTAATTTTTTAGTATTTTTAGTATTCTAATATTTTTAGTAGAAAGGGGGTTTTGCCATGTTGGCCAGGCTGGTCTTGAACTCCTGACCTCAAGTGATCTGCCCACCTTGGCCTCCCAAAGTGCTGGGATTACAGACATGAGTCACTGCATCCAGCCCCCCCAGAATTTTTTGAGCCCCAATATCTGGCAAATTGTTTATAAAAAAATAAGCTACCAAGTTTTTCTTTAGGTTTTCAGAACTTTTAGGAGGGCAGGAATTTCTGTCTCTCAAGCATCTAGAACAGTGCCTGGCACACAGGAGGCACTCAATAGACACTTGTTGAATGAGAGTTGAAGGAACATATAAAAAAAAATCTAAGATATCTTTTCGATATTCAAATAAAATTAAATGAATAAAAACATATGTTACTTCCTTCCTTATGAAATTTATATTTCAACATTTAAACACTAGCAAAACTTAGACCCTATCATACCGAATTTCACAAAAAGTTAAAAGTAAGGGCCCAGTGTCAGCGCTTCTGAATGTGTAAAAAGTTCTTATGTAATCACAACCCTACACTGGAACAGAGCACAAAATTAATGGTGAGTATGATGCATCATCTATTTATCTCCCCATTACATAATAAGAGTAAAAATAATAATAGAGGTTATATGGGCTCAGTGCTTTACAAATGTTAGTTCATTTCATCCTTGTTACAGCCCGGATTTTACAGTTCCATTGCACCCATAAGAAAACAGACTGAAAGGTTTAGTAATTTGTCCCAGGAAGAGGTGGGGCCAGAATTTGAAACCTGGCAGTAGACTCCACAGCTATGCAATACACCATGGAGTCTCACAGCCAAATGACAATGATAATAATAAAATAATATTAATAAAAACATATGTGCTTATTTCCCTGTCTTCATTGTGAGAGACTACAGATGTGTCAACCCCACTGTGTGTGCTGTGGCGTTATGAGCCCCGTCTTGCCACTAGAAGCTGAGGACCCTCACTTGTCCATGTGCCTCATCTGCCTCTCTTGGAGCCCTCCAGCCCAACACGGTCACCTTGACTATTCTGCCAACCTAAGAGCCTCCTAGGTCCCTCTAAGCGATCTTCTGTTCTAAAACTGCCATCAATCACTGTCCCTTCCAAATACCTAACCCCAAACATTTCCTCTGTTCTAATTTACCCCAATGTCCTCAGCTTCCAGTTGGAGGAACACTGTTGCACTCTTTCTGCTATGTCTCTAAAATAACCTATTATTGACAGCTGGGTTTTTTTTTTCTATTGACTTGCTTAAATAATGTATTCACCTCTATTGGGGGAAAAGCTTTTAAAATTAATAAAATAATGTTAGATTGTCTTGTTCGCTAAAACCTTGTCCTGAAAACTGAAGTTATATTTAATGAGTTATCTAACCTGCACTGATGCATTTCAGGAAATGGAATGCCATCCCCATTTTCATAACTTTATTTGAAAGGAGATTCTATATGATGCATCACAATGCTTATCCTCTGATTCCATTATCTGAAAGTGACAAAGCAGATGACCAAATAAGCTCTTCAGTGCTGTGCATGGTTTTTTGTTCCTCCACCCACCCTCTTCTCTTAAGGAATTTCATCCTTTGTATAGTTAGTCCATATTCTTCCAATATAGAAATTGCTTTCTTCGGCCAGGTGCGGTGGCTCACGCCTGTAATCCCAGCACTTTGGGAGGCCGAGGTGGGTGGATCACGAGGTCAGGAGTTCAAGACCAGCCTGACCAATGCGGTGAAACACATGTCTACTAAAAATACAAAAATTAGCCATGCGTGGTGGCAGGCTCCTGTAATCCCAGCTACTCGGGAGGCTGAGGCAGGAGAATTGCTTGAACCCAGTAGGCAGAAGTTGCAGTGAGCTGAGATTGTGCCACTGCACTCCAGCCACAGAGAGAGACTCTGTGTCAAAAAAAAAAAAAATTGCTTTCTTCACATTTAAATCATGCCTAAAAGCATTCAGTTTGCAACTTATACTTTTTTTGAATTTTTAAAATTTTTAAATTTTAATTTTGTGGGTACATAGTAGGTGTATATATTTATGGGGTACATTAGATGTTTTGATACAGGCATGCAAGGAGTAATAATCACATTATGTAAAGTGGGGTATCCATCCCCTCAAGCATTTATCCTTTGTGTTACAAACAATCCAGTTATATTCTTTCAGTTATTTAAAAATGTACAATGAAATTATTATTGACTATAGGCACACTATTGTGCCATCAAATACTAGGCCCTATTTAGTCTTTTTATTTTTTGTACCCATTAAGCACCCCCAACTCCCCCACAATCCCCTACTCTTTTCCCAGGCTCTGGTAACTATCCTTCTACTCTATGTCCATGAGTTTGTTTTGATTTTTAGGTCCCACAAATAGTTGAGAATATGTGATGTTTGCTTTCTGTGCCTGGCTTATTTCACTTAGCATAGTGATCTCCAGTTCCATCCATGTTGTTGCAAATGACAGGATCTCATTCTTTTTAATGGCTGAATTGTACTCCATTGTGTGTAACTGCTACATTTCTTTATTCATTCACCTTTCGATGGACACTTAGGTTGCTTCCAAATCTTAGCTATTGTGAACAGTGCTGCAACAAACATGGGAAATATCTCTTCCAATACTGATTTCCTTTCTTTTGGGTATATATCCAGCAGTGGGATTGCTGGATCATATGGTAGCTCTATTTTTAGTTTTTTGAGGAACCTCCCAACTGTTCTCCATAGTGGTTGTACTAATTTACATTCCCACGAACGGTGTAGTGGCAGGGGGTTCCCTTTTCTCCACCTCCTCTCCAGCATTTGTTATTGCCTGCATTTTGGATATAAGCCATTTTAACTGGAAAGAGATGAGATCTCATTGGAGTTTCGATTTGCATTTCTCTGATGATCAATGATGTTGAGCACGTTTTCATATACCTGTTTGCCATTTGCATACCTTCTTTTGAGCAATGTCTATTTAAATCTTTTGCCAAGTTTTAAATAAATTTATCAGATTATTTTCTTATAGGATTGTTTGAGCTCCTTGTATATTCTGGTTATGAATCCCTCGTGAGACGGTTAGTTTGCAAGTATTTTCTCCAATTCTGTGGGTTCTCTCTTAACTTTGCTAATTGTTTCCTTTGCTGTGCAGAAGCTTTTTAATTTGATGTGACCCCATGTGTCCATTTTTGCTTTGGTTGCCTGTGCTTGCGAGGTATTACTCAAGAAATTTTTGCCCAGACCAATGTCCTGGAGAGTTTCCTCAATGCTTACCTGCAGAAGTTTCATAGTTTGAGGTCTTAGATTTATGTCTTTAATTCATTTTGATTAGATTTTTGTAGATGGTGAGAGATAGGAGTCTAGTTTCATTCTACTGCATATGGATATTCAGTTTTCCCAGCACCATTTATTGAAGACAGTGTTTCCCATTATATGTTCTTGGCACGTTTGTCAAAAATGAGTTCACTTTAGGTGTGTGGATTTGTTTCTGGGTTCTCTATTCTGTTCCATTGGTTTCTGTGTCTGGTTTTATGCAAGCACCATGCTGCTTTGGTTACTGTAGCTGTGTAATATAATTTGAAGTCAGCTAATGTGATTCCTTCAGTTTTGTTCTTTTTGCTTAGGACAGCTCTCGCTATTTTGTGTCTTTTGTGGTTCCACATAAATTTTAGGATTTTTTTTTTCTATTTCTTCAAGAATGTCATTGGTATTTTGATAGGGATTGCACTGAATCTGTAGATTGCTTTGGGTATATGGACATTTTAACGACATGGATTCTTCCAAACCATGAACATAAAATATCTTTACATTTTTGATGTCTTCTTCAATTTCTTTCATTAGTGTTTTACAGTTTTTATTATAGAGATTGTTCACTTCTTTGGTTAAGTTAATTCCTAATTCTATTTGTGGCCATTATTAATGGGATTACGTTTTTTGTTGTTGTTTTTATTTTTTGAGATGGAGTCTCGCACTGTCACCCAGGCTGGAGTGCAGTGGCACGATCTTGACTCACTGCAACTTCTGCCTCCTGGGTTCAAGTGGTTCTCCTGCCTCAGCCTCCCGAGTAGCTGGGATTACAGGTGCCCACCACCACGCCCGGCTAATTTTTTGTATCTTTAGTAGAGATGGGGTTTCACTATGTTCGGCAGGCTGGTCTCAAACTCCTGACCTCGTGATCCACCTGCCTCGGCCTCCCAACATGCTGGGATTACAGGCGTGAGCCACCACACCTGGCTGGGATTACTTTTATTTCTTTTTCAGATTGTTCCTTGTTGGCATGTAGAAATGCTATTGATTTTTGTATGTTGATTTTGTATCCGGCAACTTCATTGAATGTGTTTATCAGTCCTAATAGATTTCTTATGGTGTCCTTAGGTTTTTTCAAATATAAGATCATATCATCTACAAACAAGGATAGTTTGACTTCTTTCTTTCTAATTTGGATGCCCTTTATTTCTTTCTCTTGTCTGATTGCTCCAGCTTGGACTTCCAGGACTATGTTGAATAACAGTGGACATCCTTGTTATGTTCCAGATCTTAGAGGAAAGGATTTCAGTTTTTCCCCATTCTTGTTACTTGTTATTGGTCTGTTCAGATTTTGTATATCTTCATGGCTCAATCTTAGTAGGTTGCATGTCTCTAGGAATTTGTCCATTTCTTCTAGACTTCCCAGTTTATTGACATATAGTTGCTCATAATAGCCACTGATGATCCTTTGAATTTCTGCGGTATCAGTTGTGATGTCTCCCTTTTCATCTCTGATTTTATTTGTTTGGATCTTCTTGCTTTTTCTTAGTCTGGCTAAAGGTTTGTCAGTTTTGTTGAACTTTTCAACAAAACCAACTTTTGGTTTCATTGATCGTTTGCATTGTTTTCTTTATTTCAATTTCATGTATTTCTGCTCTGATCTTTATTATTTCTTATCCTCTACTAATTACAGGTTTGGTTTGCTCTTGCTTTTCTAGTTCTTTAAGATGCATCGTTGGGTTGTTTATTTAAAGTTTTTCTGTTTTTTGATGTAGGCACTTATAGCTATAAACTTCTCTCCTAGTATTGCTTTTGCTGTAGCCCATAGGTTTTGGTATGTTGTGTTTCCATTATCTTTTGTTTCAAAACATTTTTCAATTTCCTTCTTAATTTCTTCATTGACCCACTGGTCATTCAGGAGCATATTGTTTGGTTTCCATGTATTTGTATAGTTTCCAAAATTTTTGTTGTTATTGATCTCTAGTTTTATTCCACTGTGGTCAGAGAAGATGCCTGATACTATTTCAGGTTTTTTTGAATGTTTTAAGACTTACTTTATGACCAAACATATGCTCTATCCTTGAGAATGATCCATGTGCTGAGGAAATGAATGTGTAGTCTATAGCTGTTGGATGAAATGTTCTGTAAATATCTATGAGGTCCATTTGGTCTATAGTGCAGAACAAGTCCAGTGTTTCTTTGTTGATTTTCTATCTAGAAGATCTGTCCAATGCTGCGAGTAGGGTGTTGAAGTCTCCAGCTATTATTGTATTGGGGCCTACCTCTCCCTTTAGCTCAAATATTTGCTTTTTATGTCTGGGTGTTCCAGTGCCGGGTGCATATATATTTGTAATTATTATGTCCTCTTGCTGAATTGACTGCTTTATCATTATATAGTGACCTTCTTGCTTTCTTCTTATAGTTTTTATCTCAAAATCTATTTTGTCTGATATAAATATAGCTACTTTTGATTTTCATTGGTTTCCATTGGCATAGAATATATTTTTCCATCCCTTTATTTTCAAGCTGTATGTATCTTTGCAGGTGAAGTGTGTTTCCTATAAGCAACTGATAATTGGTTCTTCTTCTTGTTGTTGTTTATCCATTCAGCCACTCCATCTTTTTGTTGTTGTTATTGAGATGGAGTTTCACCTTGTCGCCCAGGCTGGAGTGCAATGGCACGATCTCAGCTCACTGCAACCTCCACCACCTGGGTTCAAGCAATTCTCCTGCCTCAGCCGCCCGAGTAGCTGGGATTACAGGCACCTGCCACCATGCCCGGCTAATTTTTGTATTTTTCAGTAGAGACAGGGTTTCATCATGTTGGCCATGCTAGTCTTGAACTCCTGACCTCAGGTGATCCAGCCGCCTCGGCCTCCCAAAGTGCTGGGATTATAGACATGAGCCATCATGTCCGGCCCACTCTGTCTTTTGATTGGAGAGTTTTAGTCCTTTCACATTCAGTGTTATTACTGATAAGTAATGACTTACTCCTGCCATTTTGTTATGTGTTTTCTGGTTGTTTCGTGTCATTTCTTCCTTCTTTCTTTCTTTCCTTTTTTTCTTTTAGTGAAGGGGATTTTCTCAGGTTATATGATTTAGTTTCTTGCTTTTTATTTTTTGTGTACCTGTTATATGTTTTTTGGTGTTAATTACCATGAGGTTTGCCAATACTATCTTGTAACCCATTATTTTAAGCTGATAACAACCAAACACTGTTTGCATAAACAAACATACAAGCAAAAAGAAAAGTATTAATGAAGATTCTATGCCTTAGGTTCGTACCCCTGCTTTTTAACTTTTTGTTGTTTCTATTTATATCTTACTGTACTATGTCTTGAAAAGTTGTTGTAGTTATAATTTTTGATTGGTTCTTTTTTTGTCTTTCTACTTAAGAGTACTTTACACACTATAGTTACAGTGTTATAATATTCAGTGTTTTTCTGTGTGCTTACTATTACCAGTGAGTTTTGCCCCTTCAGATGATTTCTTATTGCTCATTAATGTCTTTTTCTTTCTGACTGAAATACTCCCTTTAGCATTTCTTGTAGGACAGGTCTGGTGTTGATGAAATTCTTCAGCTTTTGTTTGTCTGGGAAAGTCTTCATTTCTTCTTCATGTTTGAAGGATATTTTCACCAGATGTACAATTCTAGGATAAAAAATGTTTCTCTTCAGCACTTTAGATATGTAATGCCACTTTCTCCTGGCCTAAAACAGTTCCACTGAAATGTCTGCTGCCGGATGTATTGGAGTGCCTCTATAGGTTATTTATTTATTTTTTCTTATTGCTTTTAGGATCCTTTCTGCATACTTGACCTTTGGGAGTTTGATTTTTAAATGCCTTTGGGTTAAATCTGCTTGGTGTTCTATAACCGTCTTGCACTGGGACACTGATATCTTTCTCTAAGTTTGGGAAGATTTTCTGTTATTATTCCTTTGAAGAACACCTATCTTTTTCTCTACCTCCCCTTTAAAGCCAAAAGTCTTAGATTTGCCCTTTTCAAGCTTTCTAGGTCCTGTAGACATGCTTTATTTTTTTAACATTCTTTTTCTTTGTCTTTTCTGACTGTGTATTTTCAAATAACCCATCTTCAAGCTCATTTATTTTTTCTTCTGCTTGATCAAGTCTGCTACTAAAAAACTCTGATGCATTCTTCAGTATGCACATTGCATTTTTCAGCTTGAAAATTTCTGCTTGATTCTTTTTAATTATTTCAATCTCTTTGTTAAATTTATCTGATAGAAATCTGAATTCCTTCCCTGTGATACCTTGAATTTAATTGAGTTTTCTCAAAACAGCTATTTTGAATTATCTGTCTGAAAGGTTACTTATTTCAGAGCCCCAGGGCCTTGCGCGAACATAGGCCATAGCCTGGGAGTGGTTACAGCAGGCTCTGGGCGAGACTCAGGGCTGTGCTGGCTTCAAGTGTGACCCAGCATAGTTCTAATGGGGTGGCCACAGGGTGTTTGTGTCCCTCCACCCGCAGCTTCAGGTGACTCAGCACAGAGAGTGAGAGAGAGACTCCATTTGTTTCAGAGAAAGTAAGGGAAGAAAACAAGAGTTTCTTCCTGGTAATCCAGAGAATTCCTTCAGATCTTGTCCAAGATTGGTCTCTGGTGTCTTGTTTAGTTCATTTGGTGAGGTCATGTTTTCCTGGATGGTCTTGATACATGTAGATATTCATCTGGGAATTTGATGAGTTTGGCATTAATTGTAGTCTTCACAGTCTAGGCTTGTTTGAATCTGTCCTTCTTGGAAAGACTTTCCAGATATTCAAAAAGACATGGGTGTTGTGATCTAAGCTATATCTGATTTAGGGGCACCCTAAGCCCAGTAATGCTGTGGTTCTTGCAGACTCGTAGAAGTACCACCTTGATTGTCTTGGACAAGATCTGAAAGAATTCTCTGTATTACCAGGCTGACTCTTCTTCCCTTACTTTCTCCCAACAAATGGAGTCTCTCACTCTCTGTGCTGAGCCACCTGAAGCTGGGGGTGGAGTGAGACCAGCACCTGTGGCCACCACCACTAGAACTATGCTGGGTCACACTTGAAGCCGACACAGCACTGAGTCTTGTCCAGGGCCTGCTATAACCATTCCCAAGCTCAAGGCCCTGGGGCTCTATAATCAACAGGTGGTAAAACCATCCAGGCTTGTGTCTTTCCCTTCAGGCTGGTGAGATCTCGTAGGCCCAGGTGGGTCCAGAGGTGCCACCAGGGAGTCAGGGACTAGAATCAAAACCTTTAGAAATCTATCTGGTGTTCTATTGTACTGCAGTGGAGCTGGCACTGAAACCAGAAGATGCAGTCTTTCTCATTCTTTTCTCCTTCTTCCAAAAGCAAAGGAGTCTCACCCCATAGCCACTGTCATCACAGGCCCACAGGGATACTGCCAGACTACCACAGATGTTCCCTTACGACCCAGAAGCCCTTCAATCAGCTTGTGGTGAATGCTGCCTGGCCTGGAACTCACCCTTCAGGGCAGTGGGCTCCCCTCTGGCCCAGGGCAGGTCCAGAAATGCTGTCCGAGAGTTAAGACCTGGAATCAGAGAACACAAGAGCCTGCTTGGTGCTCCACACCCCTGTGACTGAGTTGGTACCTAAGGTGCAAGACAAGGTCACCTTTACTTTTTCTTCTGCTTTTCTTAAGTTGAAGGAGTCTCGCCCCGTAGCCACCACAGCTGGGAATGTGCTGAGTCTCACCAGAAGCCAGCAAGTCTCTGAGGTTCACCCAAGGCCCTTGACGTAGTACCTGAGTGTCACTGCTGGTTATTCAGGGCCCAAGGGCTCTTCAGTTAACAGGTGATGAATGCTGCCAAGACTAGGTCCTTCCCTTCAAGGCAGTAGGATCTTTTCTGGCCTAGGATGTGTCTACGTGTCTAGAATGTCATCCAGGAGCTAGGGCCTGGAAGGAGGCCTCATGACTCTAACCAGTGCCCTATCTTGCTGTGGCTGAGCTGGTACCCAAGATGCAAGATGAAGTCCTCCTCAATCTTCCCTCTCCTCTCCTCAAGCAAAGGGAAGTGGTATCTTTTGGAGCTATGAGCTGTGCAGCCTGGGGTTAGGGGAACGGTGATGCCAGCATCCCTTAGCTGCCCCAGCTGGTGTCTCAGTAGGTCATGTGCCCCCTAGTCCACTGTCTCTGGACCCAGTTCAGCATGAGAACACTCCTAGATGTTGCAGTCCTTGTGGCCTAGACTGTCTTTCGAGTTTATTTACAGCCACAGAGCCCTTTAGCCCACAGTAGCAAGGCTTGTGGGAACTCAAGTTCAGACCACTGGAATTGGTGATTCCCCTCTGTGTAGGGCTGGTTTCAATGCTTCCTCCATGGGCGGGCATCAGCTGAGTTTGGCCGAGTTTTGTCTTCTGTTATAATAAGGCAGCACTGAGTTTAAGGCCTCACAATTGCTGTGCTCTCCCTCTTCCCAGCACACAGAAACACTCTGCAACATGCTGCTACTGTCAAGAGATGGGGAAAGGGTAGCACTGGTGAATCAAGACTCTTTTCTACCTCTTCAGTGCCTCTTTCAGTAATGGAAAGTTAAAACCAGATACTGTGAGTGTTCACCTGATTTTTGATTCTTATAAAGGAGCTTTATTTTGTAGATAGTTGCTAAGTTGGTGTAATTGCCAGGGAGATGATCAGTGGAGCCTTCTATTCTGCCATCTTGCTCCAACCATTAGCAACTTGAGCTTTTTAACAAAATAATATGATCACTGGAATACAGGAGGCATTCTTCCTTCCCATTGCCACCTTGTAGGATTGCCTATTGCAGAGTTTTAACTGTAAGAAAGTGTTCTGTGGAGACCATAAAAGAGTAGTATTGGAAATGTTTGCTCCCCTCTGAACCAGACAAATGTATCACCATTCTTATTCCTCGATCAAAGGGCAGAATTGAGCTTCATGCATTTATTCTATACCTGTATGCCAGGAACTGTGCTGGGCAGAATCTACATGGGAAGGCAGATATGGGCACACATAAATAAGGTTCAGAATCACCAAGAAGGCAAGTGCAAAATGTTATCAGCATAAGTGAGGGAGTGACTCACACTGCTAGTGACCCCTCTGGAAAGGTTTCTTGTGGGAAGTCGTTTGAGGACAGTCTTCCAGTTGACAGAGAGGTACAAAGATCTGACACCAAGAAGAAATAGCATGTGAAAAGGCACAGAGGAATAAGTATCTTGGAGTATTCAGGAAAGAGCAAGAAGCTTGATGTAGCTGGAAGTCTGTAAAGGTGGGGAAAAAAGAGGCAAATTAGATGCTTTTGAAGAGATATCCAGGTGAAGCCATTTATTTGTTCATGCAAATATGTATCGAACACACACTAGACCCAGGCCCATAGGAGATACATGGCAGTGGAAGAGGTCACACCAGCCCAGGGAACTTGCAGTCCAGTGAAGAAGTAAGGCTTTAAAGAGACAACTAAGCATTGACCAGAATATGGAGTTCTGAATAGTATTATGTTCTATTACTTTCAGGCTTCATAATGTAAGATAGATTAAAACTAGGATTTTCTAAACCAAAAACAGAGACATAATATAATTTATCGAACTTAATCTTATACATCTTTCAAAGTGTGGTGCTTTCTCTGCTATTTAGCACACAACAACAATAACAAAATACCAAGAAGTAAATGTAATGAAGAATGTTCATCACCTGAATGAATGAAGATACAACATTCTACTGTGCGCCTTTGATATAGTTTGGCTCTGTGTCCCCACCCAAATCTCACCTTGAATTGTAATAATCCTTACCTGTTGTGGGAGGGACCTGGTGGGAGGTGATGGAATTATGGGGGCAGGTTTTTCTCATGCTGTTGTCATGATAGCAAATAAGTCTCATGAGTTCTGATGGTTTTATACAGGGGAGTTCCCCTGCACATCCCTCTCTTGCCTGCCACCATGTAAGGCATGACTTTGCTTCTCATTTACCTCCAGCCATGATTGTGAGGCCTCCCCAACCATGTGGAACTGTCAGTTAATTAAGCCTCTTTCTTTTATAAATGACCGAGTCTCAGGTAATTTATTAGCAGTGTGAGAACTAACTAATACAGTAAATTGGTACCTGTAGAATGGGGTGCTACTGTAAAGACACCCAAAAATGTGAAAGTGACTTTGGAACTGGGTAAAGGGCAGAGGATGGAACAGTTTGGAGAGCTCAGAAGAAAGCAGGAAAATGTGGGAAAGTTTGGAACTTCCTAGAGACTTGTTGAATGGCTCTGACCAACATCCTGATAGTGATATGGACAATGAGGTCAAGGCTAAGGAGGTTTCAGATGGAGATGAGGGACTTTTTGGGAACTGGAGTATGTCTTTATTAGCAGCATGAGAACAGACTAATACAGCCTTAAAAAGTAGTATCATCGTCTTCACCAAGAATGTTGGCAGGACATGCTGGTACTACATTTTCAGCCTAAACTTTGCTACAGGTACTCCTCTGAGAGTTTTACAAGTGCCCGTTCATTAATCCTCACCACATCTTTTTAGTAGCTGCAATATTTCTTCCCATGTTACAGATGAAAAAACTAACAATTAAAAAGATGCTGGAAACCATCGTTCTCAGCAAACTGTCGCAAGGACAGAAAACCAAACACCGCATGTTCTTACTCATAGGTGGGAATTGAACAATGAGAACACTTGGACACAGGAAGGGGAACACCACACACCAGGGCCTGTCGTGGGGTGGGTGAGGGGGGAGGGATAGCATTAGGAGATATACCTAATGCAAATGACGAGTTGATGCGTGCAGCACACCAACATGGCACATGTATACATATGTAACAAACCTGCACGTTGTGCACATGAACCCTAGAACTTAAAGTATATATAAAAAAAAAGTGCAGTACTTGCAGGAGACCTCACAGTATAAATCCTGGCAGAGCGGGGGCCCAAACTGATGAGTTTCTCATACAGCTCATACCCTTAATAATCAAGCATTACCACCTCCCATATTCCTAGGAAAGAAGGCATCAAATATGTATGGGTTGATCTACATTCTTTGTTAATTTCCAAATCAAAATACCTATGGAATTTTATAATTCTTGACAAAAATTTCCTAAATTTTATTGACATGAGTTAATGTATTAGTATAACCACAACACATTTTAAAAATAAGAATGCTAAAGTGTGATACGGATCCAGAAACAGAAAGATCAATGGAAGAGAATAGGCAATTTAGACTCAGGTGCATATAGGAATTCAGTATATGATAAAGTAACACCTTCAGTCAGTGATAAGGAATAGATGATCCAAATAGTGTGAGGATGACTGGATTACTATCTGGAAAACACAAAGTTGGACTCTGAATCCATATTATATTCCAAAACACATTACAGATGAATTAATTACTTAATGTAAAAATAAAGCCAAAAACTGCACCCAAAAAATGGTTGAATATTTCCATAATCATGAAGTAGAAAAGAACCTTTAAAATTAAACTCCAAAAGCAGTAGACATGACAGAAAAAAAGGAAAATGTTTGAATATGTAAAAAAAGTTAAACTTTGCCACGACCATCTTTCAAAAAGATAAAATATGTAAAAAGCTTTTATAAATCAATATAGTAGAAATAGACACACCTAACTAGAGAAAATGAACAGAGATTTTTTTCAAGAAAAAATAAGAAACACCAGAATTGGATAAAGCATTCAACTAATAAAGTGCAAGTCAAAATAACAAGAAAATAGCTTCATTAACTAAACTGACCAAAATTAAAAGGATGCTAATATCTAATAAGGTGAAAGTTTGAGGAAACCCTAACTTCCAAACCCATGGTAAAGACTGTTGTTTGTCTCATTCAGTATCCGTGTCAACTCCCTCCTAGTGTTCCTTCCTCTACTGCAGAGGCTGCGAAGCTCAAAGTTGTGTCACCCCTATTCCTTAGAGCTAAGATATGAATGTGATTTAGGATCCACCAATCATATACACTCACCAGGTAAAGACATTAACCTGTGTGGCACCAAGACCTGGCTGTTGAAATAGACATTTCCTGCAACGGCAAAAAAAATTACTTTCTCAATCACAGTGGGAAAATGGTGATCCTAGACCTTACAAATTATTCCTGGGAGCTTAGCTAGAACATCATCCACCACCATTATAATGATTTTGAAAGACTCTTAACACAGTGATAAATATAATACCCTTCTGATTAATTTACTGAGATGGCCTCTTTTGTCTGCAACTAAATGCTAATCTGTTGAGTAACTGGTCCCAACCAAGTACTGAGTAACACTCTGAAAGTGGGAATCTGGGATTAGATCCTGTTAATATCAAAGGACAAGACACTGTAGTTCACAGTATGCAATGACAAAACATTCACATAAATTGTCATCTGTGGTCACCTGGGAAGGCGAAGCCCTGGACAACTGAGTGCCTATTTACACAACCCAGTGCCATCAGAAATAGGAATGCAGGGGCTGTGGGATGATGGACTAGAGCCTTCTAATCAGCTAGAGAGCTTAAAGAAAGACATGCTGCATTCAGGGCATGGTCAGAGGACCCTAAAATAATCTCTTTTCTTGTAGCAGGCCTAGAATAACCCAAAATTGGAGCAGAATCTGGGCCTGATGGTTGTTAAATTATAGTAATTGACAGTCTCACAATGTCTCTTATATAAATGTTAGAGAATTGACTGCAAATGGAGGAATCCCAAGAATCAGCATAGGGAATTTTGGGTGGACTTGAATGACTCCAAGTTACCTCAATCCCGAGAACCCTTGCCAAGAGGTGTAGGTCCTCCTTCACTGTGGAGGGAAGTGGTTCCTGCCTTGATTGAGGACCCTGTAATGACCTCTCCTGGGGTTGTTATTTTGTAAGAAGATGCCAATTCTCCTCATGTCCCTGCCTACTCTCTGTATTCCTTCCAAAGCTGTACGTAGATAATGGAGAAGAGTGGAGATGAGACGGGGAGCATCATCCCACCAAGGAGATGGAAGCTTACATGCCAAATAAATGGAAAAGAGTTAAAGGGTTGCAAGGTTTTCTAACTGAGATGATCAGAAACTTGGGGAAATGTGTGGAAATGAACTGTGAGAGGGCCAGACCATGGAGGGAGAGATATCATTTGATATTGGGCCAGATTTACTAATATAAGTGCACTTGCCAAAGATCCATTGTGCTGTCTCAAGCAGCTGGGCTGGTTGGTTCAGTGGTATACTAGGCAAAAAAAAAAAAAAAAAAAAAAAAAACGATTTTTGGTATACTGTGGAAAGAAATAGAAAGACATAAAAATATGGTAATCATGGAGTGGATTTATTTTGTGAGAATCACCCAGCTCCCCTTTCACTACATTTCCAGAGAAGCCCAGCAGAGTTCCCACGCACAAAGGCATTCAGACACGTATTGCCGAGGGACCTTTCCAAAGCCTTAGAAAATGCCATATTGTAGTGACTGTATCTGTATGCAAGAAAGAAAAGTGAGGGATGCTGCCAATGAAATGGGGTAGCTGATTTCACCAGTCATCTTGAGATCTCAGATTTATAGAGGCCAAGCAACAGCCCTTAACCAATTAAGTAAGGGGCATGGCCACCATGATAACCAAATACAGCCAAGATGACAATCAAATTACTGTGACATGAAGGGTTCTTTGGCAGGAGCTCATAAAGAAGGGGCCCCTCGGGCTGAAATGGATTGGGAGCCCACTATGATCTTACTTAAACTGTATATCACTCACCCCAAGCTCCAATAAAACCCTCTAAATTTGGTTAACAGATGTCCGACTGCAGCAGCAAGATGTGGAGTCACATCAGCTTATTCCACTTCCAGACCTAAATTAGTTCACAAATCAAGAACCCTTGTATGCAGGGAATCTGGATACTCTGTATGCAAGAACCCTTGTATGCAGGGAATCAGGATGAGGAAAGAGCCTATCATTAATACACAAACATATGCTGTATACATTATTCTTGTATCCTTTTGAAGAGCCTATAACTCCTGACTTGGTTGGCTGTGCATCGAGGAAAGAAATATACTCAGGCGGGGTATGGTGGCTCACGCCTGTAATCCCAGCACTTTGGGAGGCTGAAGCAGGCAGATCACCTGAGGTCAGGAGTTTGAGACCAGCCTGGCCGACATGGTGAAACCCCGTCTCTAGTAAAAATACAAAACTTAGCCGGGTGTGGTGGTGCATGCCTGTAATCCCAGCTACTTGGAAGGCTGAGA
The DNA here is from genome assembly GCF_000001405.40 of Homo sapiens. NCBI lineage: Eukaryota > Metazoa > Chordata > Mammalia > Primates > Hominidae > Homo > Homo sapiens. The sequence goes on from NC_000002.12 coordinate 104,723,981, forward strand.
CAGAAGAATCGCTTGAACCTGGCATGCAGAGGTTGCAGTGAACTGAGATTGCACCACTGCACTCTAGCCTGGGTGACAAGGTGAGACTCTGTCTTTAAAAAAGAAAAGAAAAGAAAAGAAAAATACATCTTTCAAGGATTATGAGATACTGGATCTGAGCTAAGATCAATTCCTGGAGATCCAGAACGCCATTGTGGTCCACCAATCAATTGAAGTGTAATGAAGATGAAGTGAAAGTAGATCTTTAAGTCCATCCTGTGGTTAGGATCTCCATTCGCAAGTGTATAGCTGGAATAGATATTCTGGGAAACTGAACCACAGCATAAAGAAGGGCCAGGTGGGAAACTTTGGAACTGTATTCTCAAGCCATGTCTTCATGCAAAATAGCAAACCAAAAGTAATGCTACCACATATGTCAGGTGGAATGATGGAGATAGGACCCACCATTAAAACCCAAAAGATTCAAGAGGGTTTATTCTTATCTCATCCTTATTGAATTCACCTATTTATTCTATGCAAAAGGAAGATAGGCCTTGAAAAATGATGTTGGCTTATTGCAAACTAGATCAGATGGTAATGTCAAATGCTCTTTCTGTTCCTAAAGTAATCTTATTACTGAAGCAAACCAACAGATCCTGGTACCTAGTATACATCTGTCAATCTGACAAACTTTTTCTTTCTCAATAACCATAACTAACCAGAAGCAATTTGCTTTCACCTGGAAGAAGTACACCATCACCATCTGATCTCAGGGTTATGTCTGTTCTCTGACTTTTTCATAATGTATCCCACAGAGACCTTGATCATTTCACCGTGGCATAAGACCAAATGTTGATAGTAGTTGACAGTAGTTACCCTAGATCCCTTGGTAAGACACAGGAGTACCAGAGAATAGGAGATAAAAATCCGAAGACTTGCTCCCATATCCAAAGTTCATCAGCTCTAGTTTTCTGGGACATATCAGGGAAACCTCCCAAGTGCAAGAAAATGTGCTGCATCATGAACCCATTGCCCCGAAGAATGTGACTTCTTTGAACTTTAGAGGCAATAGATACCATATTCATTTGTGCTGCTTCGATCCATTCACCATGTAACTCATAAGGGCACCACCTCTTAGGGAGGGCCAGGATGAGAGAAGGCTCTCGAGATGGCCCAGCAGCTGCAAACATTTGGACCTTCAGATACAGTAGATTCCCATTGTGCTTGAAGTATCTAGGGCAGAGTAGAATATTGGACAGAGCCCATGGCAAACCCTGGTAGGGAAATAAACAGTCAAGGCTCATAGGACTTTGAAGCCAAGTTACATTCCCAAGAACATAATTACTATTCTTTTGAGAAACAGATCTTGGCTTCCTTCTGGATCTTGGTAGACAAAAAACCTGATTATGGGGCAACAAGTAACCATGTGCCCTGAGTTGACCATCCAGAACCAAGTGTTGTCTGAGTCATCACAACATGAAGTTGCATGTGCCCAGCCCTCAGGCATGTCAGGCTCAAGCCTCATGGGGAGTTCAGTATGGACAGTTGGCTAAAAAGAAAATAACAAAAAAGTAACCTGGTTTACGGTCCATTCTATGTGATAATGTAAGTAACAATCCTGAGTCAGCTTTTCAGATCACAACAGCACCCGCCAAAAAATGATGGAAAAGGGAGCCCTCCATTAGGCAGAACTTCAAGTAGCGTTTCTCATTTGGTTTGGTTGGGTTTTGCTTTGTACCTTGTCTAGAAAGAGAAATAACCAAGGGTACAGATCTATACTGATTCATGGGAGATGGTTAATGGTTCGGCCATATGGTCAAAAGTTTGGAAAAACCAAGAGTGATGAATTAGTGACAAGGGAGTTCGGAGAACAGGTATAGGAACGCATACATTACAACAGACTCAGAGTGTGAGAAGTGAATCCTCTTCAAAAGGTCATCTTGAGAAGGACGTTCTCAATAATCTGGAGAATAAGATGAGTATCCTGTGGGTGTCCATCTTGCCTTTCACCAACTACCCTAATGCTTTGCCATGGGTTCATAAATTAAGTAGCCATAGTAGCATGAATGAAGATAACACATGGATTGCCTTTCCCAAGGCTAATCTAGCTGGCCTCATAGCTCAAAGGAGGGGTCCAGCCAGCCACTAGGTAGCAGATCAGTTAGAATTGGATCCCTTCCAAAATGGCAGGAGCAGCAATGACTTCCCTGGCATGGAGACATATGGATCTGAATGTTTACTTTGCTGCCCACTTTGCTTTTGCCAACAACTCTCCATGACTTAATGAATGCAATAGTCACAAACACAGTGTCCAACACAATGCTTCTGATTAAGGACCTGATTTTATAGTAAAGCAAGTGAGACAATGGGATGCCACTTAACAAATACCAGAATGTCCTATTGAAACCTCAGTTGTGGCATTAACTGATAAACAACAACCTTGCATAGTTAAGGTGCTATCCTACCATTGCATTGTGTGCTCTGAACCACCAACCAATATAGGGCGTTCTTTCTTGTTGAAAACATTGCTCCAGAATCCAACGGCAGGAGGTAGAGCTGACATTCTCACTTTTCCACTGAAAAATGCCCCCAGCAAAATCTATCTGCTTCCTGTGCCTGCAGCTTTGTGCTTTACTTTTCCAAAGCCTCTCATATCCAGGAATGAATGCTGCGAGAGGGTAATTTAGCAATTGAATAATGCTGTGGAACTTGAAACTGCTACCTCACTACAACTCCAGGGGCCTCTCTGGACCATCCTCAGTGACCATGACAAGGTATCTGTTTGGTGGTGTCGATTCTAGTGGAAGAAGTTAGGGTTTACTACCAGCAGCCTCCTGATATGGCAGAACTGGCTGCTTGCTTAATCATGGCACAGGTAATGAAATTCCAGGGACTAGTTGTTTCCATAGAAGCTTAGCCTAAAGACAGGTCTTCCAGCCCTCCAACAATTGTAAACGCCAAAGAATTAGTAATAAATTCCTTTCCGTTTAAACTGGCCATGTTGGTTTTGGTTATTTGCAACTGATCAATAACCAAAGGGTGGAAGCACATGTTGGTAATATGTATCAAAAAACCCTTAAAATATGTATGCTCTTTATTGCAGAATTCTCTTCTAGAAATTTATCCAAAGAAAATAAATGGACAAGCACACAAAATTCATAAGCCCAAATGTATCTTTTTCTAATTCCAAAAAAAAGCTGGTCACTAACAAATGGTAATTGATAAATAAACAAGGGTAATCAATATGATCAAAATCATCCCAGAAATGTCAGAATATTTTACCTTTCAATAAAGAAGAAAAATCTCATGGAATGTAGGGTGAATATATGTTTCTCAAAGAAGATGCAATCCATGAAGACATGTAGCTTAGCATTTAACTTTCCATAAATGGTTATTCTTTTGTCTTATATTTGGAGAACAGGAGAAGAAATAGTGAATAGCAAGCAAGACTCTAAAATGCTTTGAATACAGCTTGCCAGATTCCCAATTAGAAAGTGAAATATGCATTTTTTTGCCATTTAAATTAGGAACTAAAATTATAGCACGCATTTTGGTCATTATCTATTTCAAAACCTTTTATTGAGTGCTGGGAAGACCAAGATGGAAAAGACATGGGCCTGTTTTATGGAGAGTAGGAGGGACTGAACTTAATGGTTAAATTTCAAAAGTTGGTCCTAAATACACTGGTGCTCTCCTGCCTCTCATCCTCTCTGCCCAGTGGGCATGTTATAAGGAAGCTGCAGGTGATGTCAGATGTGGTCACAGTTCACCTGTAGCACATGACAAATGTCTTCAATTATTTTCCTCCTGCTACATTTTAGATCTAGAGATGTTGCCACATAAGAACTTGAAATATTTTCCTGGTTTTTATTTATTCATTATTTTTATAGCTCAGGACTTTATTCACATGTTCATAGCCCCAGACCCCCATCTTGTCTCACTCTGGAAGCTGGTTGCCTTGGCACAGAGTAAATGCTAGTGCAATTTGGGCCATGTCCCCAGTTGTGAGCCCTTGGTCCAAGCAAGTTAGTTTCAGCTGCTTGAAGCCTCCAATGCTGTATTCCATGGCATACATCCTCAACTTCCAGGCATGCCTGAAGCTGAGCTGAGAGACATTGAAATCTACCTGTGCATTTGAAGGTGTAGAGGACCACTATAAACAAGGATTTCTTTAACCATTTTTAGGTATTAAAATCTTCCTGGGTCAGATTTCCTCAGTCATTGATTCACAACCAAAGTTTCATGAGATGAAGAAAAGAACTATGTCGTCACTCTGCATTTGAATTTTTTTAAATCAACACTAAACAGTTGGAATGTGATATGGTCTGACTCTTTCATCACCCCAATCTCATCTTGAATTATAGCTCCTCTAATCCCCAGGTGTCATGGGAGGGACCTGGTGGGAGGTAATTGAATCATGGGGGTGGGTTTTTCCCACGCTGTTCTCATGATAGTGAATAAGTCTCCTGAGATCTGATGGTTTTATTAAGAGGAGTTCCTCCGCACACACTCTCTTGCCTGCTGCCATGTTATACGTGCCTTTGCTCCTCGTTCACTTTCCACCATGATTGTGAGGCCTCCCCAGCCATGTGGAACTGTGAGTCTATTAAACCTCTTTTTCCTTTATAAATTATGCAGTCTCAATATGTCTTTATTAGCAGCATGAGAACAGACTAATACAGGATGTATCAGGGAAGAGGCTGGTGCAACCGTCCATATTCTCCTCATAAGAATTTGGGTGCTTCCAGAAATAAAAGTATTTCCTCTACATTCATAGCTCTATTTTTTTTAAAGACAACCAATTAGTATTTATTTTTCACATGGCCTGAACCCTGTCCCATCCAAGACATTATTCCTATGCTCGAAGACATTCTAGCAGCATGAAGAGGATCGAGACACAGATTCTAACATTGCATACAATTATTAAATTCCAGGCTAAGAAGGCTCAATCTAGATGAATCACGGAGATAGAGATGGAGAGATGGGGAGAGAGATCAAGAAATCAATAGGGAATAGAGATAAATGGGCTTGAGGGATAGACAAGGTATAGATAGGCAAAGAGAGGAAAAATGTCCCAGGCAGAGGGAGGCAGCAACCTCAAAGACCCTGAACTGAATGTGATGCAGGGAGCAGGGAAACACATTGAGGAGAGTCTTCATGACTTCCCTCATCCAAGTCCATTATTCAGAAATAGCCAGTATGCTGTAATTATGCCAGTCCCTGTGTTCTGTGCTTTACCCTTTTCCTAATTAATCCTCATAATAACACTCGGAAGTTGGCATTAGTACAAAAGAAAGAAACTGAGGCTCGGAGATGTGAAGCAGTTTAGCCAGAAGAACTGAAATCCAGATGGGTCCCACTTCAAATCCTGGGCTATTTTCCCCTCTCTTCACTGCCTCTCCAGTGGCACCCTAACTTTCCATGCCATAAAACCCAGGTGTGAGAGGAATCTTTCTTGGCTGTCATGGCTGAAATCGGAACCATTCTACTTTCACAGAAAGGTCCGGGTCTGCCCACATGATGAGAGTCTGCCCACTGCCCAGGTTGTCCAAGGGCAGACCTTGCAGGAAACACACATGCTGATAATGGTTTCTAGGGCTAAGCCTTTCTCTCAGAGCTCACTGTGGAAGTTGGAGATGCCTTCCGAGACACCTGCTTCAGTCTCTAAGCTACAAGAGAAGAACCACTTTCACTGCATCTCCCTCAGCACTTCGGGGAGCAAAGGAACCCATTAATGTTCATGGCTATGGTTGATACAGTTGTGGCAGTGCTAGGCACCCAGCTACCACTCTGGGCTCTAATGCTGATGTTTGCTTAGGAACTCCGTGGGCCAAGGGAGCCTTGTCTCTCTCCACACAGACATCAGGAAGGAAAATATTACCACATAGAGGAGATGTAGACAAGTTTAGTTATCTTATCACTCACTTTCAAAAATGGACTCTAGTCCTCACCCTAAAAATCTGCAAAATGAGACAACCTAAAATAAATTGATAGGATTTTTACTTTTAGCTAGGATGGCCATAAGACTTTTCCAAAGCTGGACACTTCTAAGAGTGAAAGAGGGTGGCACTAATAAAACAACAGGTGCAAAATAGTCTTCCTTCTACTTCTCAGGTTCTCTAGGAAAATTACCTGTAAAAAATGTACTCACACCTGTAATCCCAGCAATTTGGGAGGCCGAGGCAGGCAGATCACGAGGTCAGGAGATCGAGACCATCCTGGCTAACACAGCGAAACCCCGTCTCTACTAAAAATACAAAAAATTAGCCAGGCATGGTGGCGGGCACCTGTAGTCCCAGCTACTCAGGAGGCTGAGGCAGGAGAATGGCATGAACCTGGGAGGCGGAACTTGCAGTGAGCTGAGATCGTGCCACTGCACTCCAACCTGGGTGACAGAGCAAGACTCCGTCTCAAAAAAAAAAAAAGTATTAGTTGGCTATCTGGTAACTGCTATTAAATGCATTATAATGTGGCTTAAAAGAAGGAATAGGATTTGGATAAAGGAAATGGAGATAAGAGGATAGTTCAGCCAAGAGAAGCAGCCACACTGAAGTTATAGTTCATGCATAAGTGTGTGCTATGTCTAAACAGTAGTAACATTGACAAGTGCAAGGAACAGAATGCACAGAATAATTGATGGCACAAACAAGTATAATTTTGTCCAGATTCTTTTGCCAAGAGAATTTATTTTCACACGGGATGGTGGTTGCTACACTTCTGGGTCTTCATTATTTGCATGTAATACAGCAGTCAGGTTGCCAACTCTATCAGCAATCTATCGCTGCATAACAAACTGCACCAAACCTTAGTGGCTTAAAACATAAACATCTATTATCACACAGGTCAGGAATTCAGGAGTGGCCCAGCCAGATGGATCTGGCTCAGGGTGTCTCATAAAGTTGCAGCTGAGACATTGGCTGAGGCTGTATCATCTGAAGGTTTGACTGGGGCTGGAGAGATGGTTTCCCATGCCCACTCACACAGCTGTTGACAATGGGCCTTGTTTCTTCCCTACCTGTTCTTCACTATGTGAACTTCATTATAGGACTGCACACAAAATGGCAGCTGATTTCTCCCAGACCCAGTAATCCAAGAGAGAGTGACCTCAATAGGAAATAATGCCTTTCAGAAACCAGTCTCAGAATTGACTACCATCACCTCTGCTATATTCTGTTGTTCACACAGACCAGCCCTTGTACCAATCCTACATCCTCGTGCAAATACCACCATGTAGGGGTCACTGCAGACAATCTTGGAGCCCAACTACCACACCAACTTTTAATTGTGCTAAATTTTTAATCATCATCTGATATAACAATTATAAATAAATATAAATAAAATGTTGATTCTAAAATACTAAGAAAGATATAATGTTGGCATAATGGCAATTTTTTACATTAAAACTCCTATGACTATATAGAAAATATAATACGTTTTCCTTATTTTAAAAATTTCACCGATAATAATTATGTATCTATTTGTTTTATTTACCATTGCTTATCTCCACCAACTAGAACTGACATTTTATCTGTCTCATTGATACCTCCAGTGACAATAGCAGTAACTGACATGAAGTAGGAGACATGTAAATATTTGTAGAATAAATGAATGATGAACACTTCACTTTGGATTGGTAATTAGTAGCAGACTAAGGCTTGGACATAAAGATCTTGGGACCCAATCCTGAAGACATGCTTTTTGTTCAAAATGGCAGAACTGGTCCAGTTGAATGTAAACACTGAGGGCAAAATCATGGCACATAGCCTCTATTTAGAGCAACAAACTGCAGCAGAGGCAGAAAGAAAAGCCACGCATGAGGTAACAAGAAGCAGAAACTTTTCTATGACTTCAAAAGGTCAACCCCCTTAGGAATAACGTTCATGAGATTAGTCTTTAGAAGCAACCAGGGTCAATGACAGGTGGAGATATTGATAATGACAGTTTCTTGTCATTGGCTGAATTTCCATGCCTGATGGTACAATTAAGGCTAGAATGGGTTTCAATCCTTACCCATGGTCACAGAGCTGGATTCCAATGAGGTCAATGGTTTCTCCCCCTCAATGTTCTTTGATAGTCTTCCCCACTGGAATCATTCCCATCCCCACCCCACTCTACTCCCACCTTCATTACTCCCACTCCAAGACAGAAAGGCTCAGCCCAGGACAGCCATGGGCTCCACAGTACATTCAATATCCCCTCGGCCCCACTCCCCAGTGGAAACCCAAGGAAACTCATACCACCAGGACTTCCCTGGCGGCCCTACCTCTTATTCCAGACAGGAAATGGAGCCAGTGCAAACATGAGCTCAGCATTTTTTACTGACTAATTCTTCCTCCCATAAAAAGGCTTGGTAAATATGAGTTCCAGTGTAACCTAAAGACTCGCTTAACCAAGGGGAAAACCCACCAGCATTTCTTAATTCTAACACACCTTGTGTTATGCAACAGGTATGTTTCTTTTTTAAAAAAAATGAACTGATTTTAAGACACACACACTAGTAATTTAAATTCACTAGAGAGTTAGCTATTTAGAGGAACCCTGTTGTAAATCCTTTCACAAACTGAAGAACATTTAAGTAATTACCCTCTAATTCATGTGCTCTGTAAGGTCAACTATTTAAATGTCTGGTTTTCTTAATTTGAGGCATACCCACGTTTAAAGAGGGTCTTTAAAACTCATTATGGCTGACAAATATATTTCTTTGTTTTCTTTAAAAGACAAAACTGTATTTTGGTGAAATAGGCAGAAGATACCTATTATTCTGGAAACTGTTTAAATACTCGTTTATTGCAAAGAGGACTTCTGTGGAGGTGATGGAGAACAGATATGATCAAGAATCAAACTGTCTTATATTTAAGAACATATTGTGAACACATACATGTGAAGCCTTTGTAATTTGTATGCAGTCTTTAAACCTCTGTGATTTATATTCAATCTACTCATAATTTATTTGATGGTTAACCACGTGTTTTTATTTCTCAGTGGACTTAACAAAAGAGCTATCAACTAGTGTAGGTTAATAACAGGAATATTTTTAAATGTTTGAAATATTTTGATATTGGAAACTATTCTTAAAAATATTTAATGAATAAGTTGTCTTTTACATGTTGTTAAGCCAAGATAAAAAGACTCAATGAAAACTTTGCTCCTTATTGGTGACGACATGGATTTGCATGCTTGGTGTTTATTTGGTTGAAGCCAGTGTCCTGGGGAGGCGTATACCAGAATTCACACGCTCAAAAGGAACACACCAGGGGGTCGGAGGAAGCTGCTCCTGAGAATATCTTGCTGTTCTGATTTTGTAATAGGACAGGCTATAAAGATTGGCTATATTAAGGCCACGCACATGTCCCCAGACTTAATTCTTTCCCTAGGTCTGGTTTTATAAACTCTGGTAATAAACCAGGTCAAGAAGAAGGTGTTGGGCTATCAGTGTGAGTAGCTTGGAAAAAATGTCAACAGACATTCTTTGTCTGTTCAACCAAATAAACACCAAGCATGCAAATCCATGTTGTCACCAATAAGGAGCAAAGTTTTCATTGAGTCTTTTAACCTTGGCTTAACAATATGTAAAAGACAACTTATTCATTAAATGTTTTTAAGAATAGTTTCCAGTATCAAAATATTTCAAACATTTAAAAATATTGCTGTTATTAACCTATGCTAGGTTAAGAGGCGGTGCTGCCAAGTTCTGAGAGCAAGGCTGCAAGTGCTGGGAGAGCTCAAATCTCCCGTGTGACCTGGCCAAGGAGCAGAGTCCCAGGCACCAGACCAGGGCCACCACGCATGCCTACAGGAACTGCATTCACCTGGAGTCCAGCACGAATGTCGCCCTCTAGAGCACAGTGCAGGGATGACCTCTCACATAGGTAACCCATGTCCCTGGAGGCCCACCACAGCCCTGCTAGTCCCTCCTCACAGGTTCAGTTCCACAAAACTGTGGTCTAGATACAAGTTGAGGGAAGAGGATTTGCTTGACCCTTCCCAATTCAACCCGGCCATACTTGTTAACATAAAATGCTGGCTACCCTAGACAATGGAACTTTCTAACTCTTCTATGCCACCAGCAACTTCTCCACGCCAAATGTCAGGGCTGCCTGGTAGATGTCACCTTCCAGGGTAAACCCAAGAAGTAGCTGGCAAGGCTAGAGATCATAGAAGGAGCAATAGCCAAAGGCACAGTGCCGTTCACCTGACTCAGGCAAAGCCATATATTTTAAAAGTCTGAACTGTGCAGGGACCAGATTCAAACTAGGAGCTGCCAAAAACCCGCTGATATCAGGGGACATCAGGGGCCCATCAATAATACATGACAGCTTCCTAAGAGAGAGGCAAGCATACTCAGTCTTGTAGATGAATATGCAGATGGTTGCTTGGTTCTTTTTGCTCCATATAATAATAATAATAATATCATCATCATCATCACCATCACCGTCACAGCTGACAGATCTTTACCGGTCACATATATCAGCAGTGTTCTGAGCACTTTACACACATTCATTTTGTGTAAAGCGCAAAATGATTTGCACACCAACCTTGTGCAGGGTACAGCCCTTCATGACAGGCTCTGCTTCATGACTGCTCCTTGCACTTCTTACCTCCTGCCCTGGGGATACCCTGGTGTCACAGGTGAACCCACAGAATCCTGCTCAGCACTCCCACATGCAACTGGGAAGTACAAGGGTATTGTACACTCAAGATGAAAGGTGCACAGTTCTGAGGCATGTATTGTAAGGTCCTGGGCACCAAGCAGCCCAGCCATACACCGTGATCACCTCAGTTAGTCCCTCCCTCCCTGCAGGCTTCTCTTTCCCAGCTCTTTACTCTTATGCCCTAAGATCTCATTCCCATAAATTACTCACATGTTAACCTTTGTCTTGTCCTCTGCTTTCAGATGATCTAAGCTAGGATAGTTGGCGTTATGGAATGAATGTTTTTGTTACCCCAAAATTCAGATATTGAAGTCTTAACCTCCAATGCGACTGCATTTAGTGATACGGCCTTTATAGAGGTAATTAAGGTGAAATGAGGGCATGGGGTGGGGTCCCATCTGATAGGATTAGTGTTCTTATAAAAAGAGACCTCAGAAGGTGAACTCCACTCTCTCTCTCTCTCACTCTCTCCCCTCCCACACACATGCACACAAAGAAGAGTTCATATGAGGACACAGTGAGAAGGCAGCTGTCACAGGAAACCACAAAACACATCAACCCCGGCAGCACCTTGGTCTTGGATCTCCAGCCTCCAGAATGGTCAGAAATACATGTCTGTCGTTTAAGCCACCCAGTCTGTGATATTTTGAATGGCAGCCCTAGGAGACTAAGGCAATTGGTAAAAGGATAGCCCTGGAAATAGTATGCTCAGAATAAAATACTAGAGCGGGGTCACCGACCAATCAATCAGATGGCCATAAAGATGTCACTGCTGGGGTGAGTGGGTTTGTGCAGTCAGTCTCTATGACTCTTATCTGTGATTGATTGGGATGGGGGACAGGTGATGGTGAAGCATCAGGTTAGTGACAATCATTAAAAAGGAAACCACACATGTCATTCATTCTGCATTTATCACACTCATAGAATAAGCAGCATCAACCTTGAACCCTGATGTAAAGTATGGACTTCAGTTCCTACCAACATATCAATATTGGCTCATTCAGTTGTAATGAATGTACCCCCCTAATGTAAGACATTAATAATAAAAGAACTGTGCATGGGGGTAAAGGGAGGGGTACATGGGAACTCTCTGTACTTTCATTTTTCCTGTGAATGCAAAATTACCCTTAAAAAGTCTATTAATTTAATTTTAGTCTTAAAAATTAAGACTTTTAATTTAAAAGATAAAATAAATTTGAATATGAGGAAGTTAATAAAAAAGAAAACAACAGGCTCAGATGAGTCAACTCTCACCTCAATGTAGGCTCAAAATCACAGTCAAGGTCTTATGAAGAGAGGCAGAGGTGCACAGGAGACTGCACGTACAGCCAGGATGGGTCTGCTATGTGGAAATCAGGGCAGTCACAGGAAAGCATAAGTCCCTGAGACTTTGTAGAGGCCAGGCAGGCTGGTGGATGAGCTGAGCCTGAGAATCTTGAAGGTCAGATCCCCTGAACTCTCTGTACCGGCACAAGCAATGCCCTGCTCTGTGATGGAAGAGAGCAGCCTTCCCCACCTGGATCCCTGCAGACATCTCACCTACAGCGTGCTTCTCAGACCACAATGCCTGTCCTCCTCAGGATCTGTTCCCACCCCACCCGCTTTGCCTCAGCAGAGACTGTGTGGGAAAATAAAGTCCTTGATGTGAATGGAAATGACTCACACGCCTCACACGCTGAAAGGATGGCAGGACTTGGTGGACATGCACCAGCAGAAACCAGAACGTAGAGGCACAGGGCAATAGGGTTGTAGGGCTGGTTGGGGAGGAATTGTTGACATGGGCAATCGCTTGTGAGTTCCCATACCTGCTTTTGATGATTCCTTGAGGTTAGAACAAGGTAGGTAGCGACATACAGCAAAAAAAGGGAAAATGACCCAGTGCAGTGGCTCATTCATGCCTATAATCCCAGCACTTTAGGGGGTTGAGAAAGAAGGGTCACTTGAGGCCAGGAATTTGAGACCAACCTGGGCAACGTAAGGAGACCCCAACTCTACAAAAAATAAAATAAAATGAATGAGCTGGGCAGGGGTGGTGCATGCCTGTAGTCCCAGGTACTGCTGCAGCTACTTGGGAGGCTATGCTGGGAGGATGGCTTGGGCCCAGCAGTTCAAGGCTGCAGTAAGCTATGATTGCGCCACTGTACTCCAGCCTGAGTGACAGAGAAAGACTCTGAGAAGAAACAAAGAAAGAAAGAAAGAGAGAGAGAGAGAGAGAGAGGGAGGGAGGGAGGAAGGAAGGAAGGAAGGAAGGAAGGGAGGGAGGGAGGGAGGGAAGGAAGGAAGGAGGGAGGGAGGAAGGGAAGGAAGGAAGAAAGGAAGGAAAGAAAGAGGCTGGCCATGGTGGCTCATGCCTGTAATCACAGCACTTTGGGAGGCCGAGACAGGTGGATCACGAGGTCAGGAGATCGAGACCATCCTGGCTAACACAGTGAAACCCTGTCTCCACTAAAAATACAAAAAAGAAAAAAATTAGCAGGGCGTGGTGGTGGGCGCCTGTAGTCCCAGCTACTCGGGAGGCTGAGGCAGGAGAATGGCATGAACCTGGGAGGCGGAGCTTGCAGTGAGCCAAGATCGCGCCACTGCACTCCAGCCTGGGCAACAGAGAGAGACTCCATCTTAAAAAAAAAAAGAAGAAGAAAAAGACATGAAGACATGGCAGAACATGTGAAAAGGACACAGTGAGAAGGTTATGAAAGACTGATTAAAGTGAACAGCCTGGTGCCAAATGCAGTGTCTTCACAAGACAGATCAAGTCCTCAACATTGGAGCAATATGTCACCCACAGCAGTGGCCATCCTAACACACATCCTTGAGTTGGCCTTCCCTTTGTCCCTGTCCCACCTCCCCTGTCTCTCTCTCCTGCTATCTGGGAGCTCTTTCTAAGATAAGCAACTCAGAAAGATAGATCTCTTTGTTCACACTCCACCGTGGGGAGAACCTGGGCTGTGACAGATTCTGTCATTATCCCCATTTTGCAGATGAAAATCTGTGACACAGAGAAGCTGACTAACTTGACTGAAATCACACAGCTAATGAGTGGCTGAGCAGGGCCGTGACTCCAGGCCACCTGATTTTCAAATCTGTACCTTTCACCATTATGCTTAGTCAAATAAGACAGGACAAGTTGGAGAAACATAGACCTCATTCCTGCATATCCTAACCCATAAATTCTGAAGTCTTGAAACAAGTTTCTCAATCGCCTCAGTCTAAAATTTTTCAACTAATTTTTAAAAAGTGGAATGGAACTTGTTTTAAATCATCCAAATAAGTATTCCTTTGCTTCTCTTCTCTTTGACTTTGTAGATCCGGTTTCTCTTATCTCCATGATACTTTACCACCTTCTCCTCAACAATGACAAAGCCATTAAAATTATTGGTAAAAAATTAGAACTTTAAAGCAGCTTGGAAAAAGTACTATTCAAAGAGGCAGAGCAAGTATTTGGAGCAACTAGACTGTCACAGGTAGCACTGGGTACAAGATACGGGTATTTATTCATCTAAACCAAGCCCTAGGACCAAAGAATAAATTGGTTAATTTTTTTCATTGAATTCCCTTTGAAAACTTCTTATTTCATAAGAAAAATTCTTATAGAAGAAAAATAAGAATTATTCTCATTTCAAAAAAAAACAGCAAAAAATGTAGTAGCAAATATCTGTATCAATTGGAATCTTCTTCCTTGGCTTTGTGATACCACTTTCTCCAGCATTTGCTGCTTCATTATTTTCCTGGACTCTTTTGCTCCCTTAAACTTTCTATGACCATGACCATCCCTCAAATGTGGGTCCACCTTGGGAATCTGACCCCAGTGCTTGTCCTTGTTGTGCTCACTAAGAAGTCTTTCAGCTGGGCGAAGTGACTCACACTTGTAATCCCAGCACTTTGGGAGGCCGAGGCAGGAGGATTGCTTGAGCCCAGGAGTTCAAGACCAGCCTGGGCAACATGGAGAGATTCTGTCTCTACCAAAAATAAAAAAAAAAAATTAGCTAGGCATGGTGATGCACACTTGTGGTGCCAGCTACTTAGGAGGTTGAGGTAGGAGAATTGCTTGAGCCAGGGAGGTTGAAGCTGCAATGAACTATGATCAAACACTGCACTCCAAGCTGCGTGACAGAGTGAGACCCTGTCTCAAAAAAAATTTTTAATTTAAATTTAAAAAAGAGGCCTCCTGTAATCCACAACCCCTCGTCCTGGGCCCCAGCCCCCAACACATACACACACACACACACACACACTCTCTCTCTCTCTCTCTCTCTCACACACACACACACACACCCGCATACACTCATTTCAGCCAAAGCCAACTACTTACTAAGACACCAAACTCCTCCATGTCTCAGTTCTATGCAAGGAAACAAAAAGAGATTTATTTTCCTCTTTCTCTTTAATTCTTATGCATGAGCCCCAAGGTCTACATGCGATTTTAGGGAAAAAGTTCATTTTAAGGACAAAGGTTTTTCATCTCTCATATAGTAGTCCTGCACCTGTATGCTCAAAGCCAGTTGGTCTTCGGCTACTCTGTAGTTCAGCACCAACCACAGGGAAGGCTGTGTGTCAGACCCAGGGCCTAGAAATGTCTCCTGTCCCTTCTGCTCACATTCCACTGGAAGGAACTCAGACACACACCTGCAAGTGGCTCTTGAAACATAGCCGCCAACTGAGAGGTCACATATTGGGCTACAGCTAGCTCATTACCTTGAGAGAATGGGAAGATAGATTCGGTGGGTAGTCAGCCATCTGGCCACTGGGATATGTCTACAATTCTTGGGTTCGTGGTGCAGCAGAAGCTTTAGTCCACTTCCCACAAAAGAAATGAGGAATAAAGGGGAAAAGCAGACCTGATTAATTCAAATAAACAATAAACAAAAAACTATTTTACTATGTACAAGATTGTGAGCCTGAATGTTCCACATATTTTCTTTGGATCTCTGTTTTACTTAGAATAACTTTTCTGAGAATGAAAGGCACAACACCTTTCTAAGCATATGGCCCTGAGACTCATCTAAGAAGAGTAATAATGGATAACAAAAATGTATCTGCATGACACAGAGGGTCAAGGACATACCCAGGATGCCTCCAAATCTGAAAATGATGCCAAGTTTGAAATCAAAACAAAATCTAAGACTCTCCAAGGCAAAACATAAGGGCCTTAGACACACATATGGTTTCCATCTCTAACTGAAAGAGCTGGATCTAAACAGAGTTTCAAAGCACATATGCAGTTTCATAAATAGAATTAGGTATATCAGGATACCTTCCAACCCAGAAGTTTAGCAATGTCCTTTGCACAACTAAAGATCTGCTGTTCTGAAATCTAGTCTTTACTAAAGTCTCCTGGCTGGTCTTGAATCCTCATAAAATTCGGTTTTCACATGTGTTGGGGAAGCTTTAAAGACTTGCTTTGTGAGAAGGCTAATGAGAATGCCAGAATTTTCATTTTGGGGTAAAGAGTATAAACTAAGCCATCCATAATTTGAACATTTGAAAAAGATCTCCAAAGCATGTCTTTTGGGGACTAACCTCTCAATAAAATGTCCTTTCTGTCAAAACAGTTTGACCAATGAGACAGTAATCACAGTTAAAACTAAGCCACTGCTATGGTGAAGAAGAATTTACAAAATCTAGAGTTGTAGCTGTTTCAGATTCCATTGTCAAAATGCAATACCTAGCCTGCATTAAGACCATAAATTTGAAAATATAAAAGAAAATTTAAAAAGTATGAATCTGAAGTGAGAACTTAATTGTTTCTGTTTTCTCCAAATTTATTGAGCCACTGGTCAAGTCTCAAATTTATCAAGGTAATGGCACACACATGGGGAAGGTCCTAGTTGAGAGATTCTGTTTTCAGAAATTTTGTACCCTGCCTATTTCATTTTATAAGATGTGCTATATACACACACTGCTTCCCAATACACCTGTTTGAGGTGGGATGTTGTGATGGTTTACTTTTCAATTACTTTCAGTTTGGGATTGGATGACTTATTTGCTCAAACTCATGATAAAATTATTCTAATTGCTGTGGTCCTAGGGGAAAAAATAAAGTAAAAGAAAGCTGGAATCATGTTTGTCCTTCAAATTGGTCAGTTGATCCAACTTTCATAATTTTTGTAAATTTTTACCCGACAAGCACTAGATAAATAGAATAGTTACTTAAATTATTCATGAAAACAATTCCACTTGAGGTCTCTCAATTTAACTATATAAGCTGTACAAAAAAAAAAAAAAATCCTCCAAGAATTTCCAACCTGCTCCTTTGTTTGACAGTAATTGTCTGGATTAGTTAATCTACTCTGTGAGGAGAAGGCTGGAAGCCAGCCAGTGTGCAAGCCTTGTGGTTAACTTCTTGAAACTGTGTTTTCCATATGAAATCAGGATAGTGCAATTGCTAGGTGAATTCAAAATTCTTTCAGACTCATCTACAAAAATATGGTGAAGGATGTATAAATACCTTTTTGCCAATGTTCATGTTCTCCTCTGGAGCACAGGTTTTCTTAACTTACAGGGTTTGACAGTTGGGAGCATCCTTCATTCACTCTCACTTACAGTTGATGACAATGAGATTAAGAGAGGTGAAGTCACTTGCCCTGTAGGGTTCACAATGCTTTCTGACTCCCATTCCAGTGCTCCTTATCATACAGTCTGCTGCCAAACTCGTCCCAATATTCATCTTGAGGAAAGCTAGTTGTGGGAATCCTGAGATCACATTGCCAATGCCAGAATAACTTTAGTTTGTAGTTAAGCATTTGAAAAGCTGGTAGGAAGTCACAGAAATGGAGAATGTGGCCATCGCAAGACACTAATGAAGGAAGAGGAAATTCTCAAGGGGAACAGGCTCATGCACAGGCTGCTCTTCTTCTGAGTCAAGCTAGCAGGAATTTTTCTGGAGAGCATCCTGGAAAGAAAAGGAAAGATTTCTTTGCTCATTCTTTCCTTTCTCAATAAGACAAGTAAACGTTGGCAACCCACCAACATGGAGAATTGGCATAATAGTTCCAGGACCCCTCACGTATTCACCTGTCAGAGAAGGGTTACTGAACACAGTTGGCAGTGCCTGAAGTTCCTTGTTGAGGGGACAAGTCACGACCAACCTTTCCCTTTCTGAGAGGTTTCAGATGAAGGAGGATCCTCTCAGTCTTTGAAGATGAAGCTCCAAGAATCACAGAAAGGTGGCATTTAGTTAGACAAGACCTCTGGCCCTTTGGTTGGGAGTATTAGAAAGAGGTTTTCTTTTAACAAAGCACATCCTCTTATATCCCAACGCTGGTTTCATGCTGCTTTCTAATAAAGGGGTTTTCTAGAAGCAGCACCTGTAACACACCAGAGCAGGACTTTTCACTTGCATTTTCACAGTTAGTTTGGGTTCTTCAGGAGCCTCCTAGATGTAGAGCTGCTGTTCTGTGACTGGAATGTCCGCACCCACAGGAACTGGATGAAAGAATATGGAAAAGAGGATTAGACTACACACAGCATATGCAGGCTTAGCTGTCCCAGACCTTGCCATGTGTGTGTCAGGTGGTGAGCTGCACTGGATGGCACTAACCACCTCTCTTCATAGCCAGAATCTCCACTGATAACTGATATGTTCAACCTCTTAGCACATGGTCACCATTGGTTCAATAAATATTCACTTTACGCTTTATTAGGCACTCTGTTGGACACTCTTTAAGCTTCCAAGAGTAGAATATGTGAATTCTCTGCTTTCCAAATCTTGTCGGGGGTTTCCTTCCCTTCTTCTTCTTCTCCAACCTCTTGTCCCATTTTACCAATATTATGAACAGATTCAGAGTAGAACAGAATGGACACAAAGTATCTTCCAGGGATTTTTGAGCCTGGTGTGATATATGTTTAACTGTTATGTCTGGTGATTACTAATGGAGACACAGCCTCAGATTCTCTGCTGCTTTGAAAGGCGGAATGGTAGCATATGGATTCCGCACTGCACTCTCCTTTTAACTAACCTGCAGGAGCACCTGTGTCAGGCTGAATTGTTCCAGAACAGCATATCAATTAGGCAAGCAGAGGCTTGAGGGGTTTTTTGCAAACCATCCTACCAAATGCTTCTCTCCAATTTTGTCTGTTGGCACTTCTATTTCAGTACCTCTCACCTTATTACCTAGTCTTTTTGAAATGATGACCACTTAAGAAAAAAACAACAGAAATAAGTAAAGAATACAGAAAATCATCCCTTTCTTCTTCCAAAACACCCCTTAACCAGCAAACCTTTGGAAGCTACTAAATATCCAGAAATATCCCAGGGGCAGAGCTGAGTAAAAGCTATATACATTTCCATATTATCTGTGTTTGTTGGGACACACTCTGCTATGCTACAGTAACAAATAAAGTAGCAGGGGTTCAACCTTATAGAAGATTATATCTTGTTCATGCAAAGTCTGATGCAGGTCAGCAGGGCTCTCCTCCATCTGATGTCTCAGTGATCTAAGGTCTTCCCATTCCGTGCTGCTACCATTTCAACACCTGGCTCCCAGGGATAGAGTGAGCATGGGAGACTCTTAACTGCCTCAGAACAAAAATGATATGCCTTTTTACTCAAAGTCCACTGGGTAGTGCTGGTTAGATGATCTTGAACTACTTTCAGGGCAACTTGAGTCTTCTCATGTGCTCAGGAATGAATACCTGGATGTGGTAAGCACTAAGTATCTCTAGGGCTTCCATCAATGGCCCAACTCATATATTGTGAAGCAGGTGTTTTCATTACAACCATCTTCACAATTGTTAGCAACTGCCACATCTGACAAGTAGCCAGTCCCATTGCTTCAGGGCCAATGACCTCACCATAATCTCAAGGCCCTGCCTCCCAGGCCCACATGAGGGACCAGGGTTTCTCATCACCACTTTCAACAGCATCATGGCATTGCTTTTTGACCTGGAGATTTAGATTAACTTCTGCTCTACCAATACAGTCACCAAAACGTCAAGAGTAACAAGAGAAGGAAACTTAATTCTCCAGGATCTCTTACAGCATAAGAAATCAGGTCTTGGTGAGAAAAATACTTTCATAAATTGGTTGGGTATAAAATTCACAAATGTTGAGGAATCATGTGTTAGACATAAAGCTGAAGTCATCCCAGAGGAGGGAGAGAAAAGGCAAAAACGGTGGGCCTTTTCTAATAAAAGACTGGGGGGATTCCTAGGAGGGGGTCCTATCTCAGAGAATGATTCTCCGATAAAGCTGCTAAACTGAGAAACAGGCTTGAGAATGACCTTCCATGAAAACAGTGGCATGGACTAGGGAGGTGACATTCAGGCAATGAGGCTAAGGGAGGCTGAAGGAAGAAAGCACTAAGGAAAAGAAATTGCAGGAAGGACTCTGAGTTCTTCCAAGGCCACGGAATGAGGATTCCAGTAAAATTTGACCAGATCCTCCTAGGCAGGAGCCCAGCTGACAGCTGGCTCACACAGTAAGGACCTTAACTCGACTGGGTGTGGACTGGTGAAGCCCTACAGCCAAGCCACAGGAAAGGAGGGGTAGCTGGGGCAGAGTAGTTGACTCGTTTCAAGCCACCCTTCAGGTGTCTCAACCTTACATGTCCTGAACATCTGCAGTGAAAGTAACCTCCTTTCACCTCTTAGAAAACATCCCAGTTGGCTTTATATCATATAGGAATTGTGTTTAGCTTCCTCCAGCTCCCCTCCCCTCCGCTTTACACACATGCCTTGAGAACTAGGACCTAGAGAAAGGTGCCTTCTCCCCAGGACTCAGCCCCGTGTCAGGCCTACCATGGAAACTTATTCACCTTCTTCCCTAACCTATAAGATGGGCATGGTGACAGAGATCATACAGGATACAGGAGAGGTAGTGTGGCATAAAGACTGGCAGCAGGGCTAGGGCATAGGATCACACTGGTGTGTACCACGATTTTGATCCTAATTTCCAGGAAGAGCAATCATCTCTTAGAGCTGTGCTAGAGACTACGTGAGAAAAAGAATATAAAACTGAGTGTAAGAGCTGGCATTTAGTGAGCCTCAGTGAATGCTGTCTGTTTGAATAGGTAATGCCCTCTGAGAGGGTGGACAACAGAAAAAAAAATATCTTGGAGGTGAATCACCCGGAAATCAGCTCAGTTGGGCTGGGAAAATATTGGGGGGGAAAAACAAATCAGCACCGGGAACTCTCCAAATGACCTGGAGCAAGAAGGTCTCGGCATGAGAAAGTCCTCTTTGTCTTAGTGAGAGACTTAACAACTGTTGAGAATGCGGGCATCAGCTAAGTGGACTGGGAGATGCGGGAAGGTAGGGGAAGGTAGAGGCACTTCCCAGAAATCTGGAAATTACACAAATGACAGAGATCATTAGTGGTGGCCAGTGTGCTTCCCACTTCTTTCATAGTACTTGTTTTTTGCAGGCACTGGCTGACTGAATAGAGACAGCTAGGTATAGTCCTAGACCAAGGCTCAGCCCATGGGATGTAAGTGAAAGTGTGTGCTGCAGCTTCTGGGAATCTTCTTTAAGAGACAGCAGGTGTCTGCTCTTTGCCACGTCTTCCTCATTCCTCTTTCTTGCTGGCAGGAATGCAGGCGTGATGGGCAGTGCTACAGCAGTCATCTTGGACCTAGAGGTATCCTGGGGGAACAGAAGCCCATGTGGAACCACAAGAAAGAAGAAGCAATGAGCAATGGAGGCCAGACACCCCAGCGTCTAGTGTGTTAGATAAGCAAAGGTGCCCTCACTCCAGAGGACACAGAAAAGAGGGAGGGTGGTGTCCAGATTTTTATGTAAGAAGGAAAGAAACCTCTATCTAGCTAAAGCCACAGTTATTCTGGATCTCATTTTATGCACAGTCCAACTCAATCCTCAAAGGTAGTAACTTACTCTACCTATGTGGCCGTTGATGACATTTCCACTTACCAGCCTTGGCTGTTCATTATATTTCTATTCAATTGTTCTGGGATGCTAGCATTTATTATAACATTAATCTTATTTTAACAGTGTTATAATCTCACTCCCATTTAACTGCTCTTCAAAATGAAGATTGAATGTCAGTTCTACTATTGTCCATCTTGCCTGGATATTGTAACAGTTTTCACATACCTATTTTAAAACAAGTGGGGCTTGGGGGAGCTGAAACGGAGCTTCCCAATTTTGCCCAGAGCTGGCCTAAGGAACACCTTATTCAGCAGTGGGAACACATACAAATAAAATACTATTTTTAAAGGGCTCTGGCCTCCCTTCATCCAAAAGAACTTCATCTCCTAACACGAACTTGGCATTCTCTGTTACTCACCCAATGTAAATTGGTTTTCCTTCTGGGTAAGCATTGATTTGCAGAGATCACCAGGTGCAGGGCAGCTCCTGATCCCAGGCTGCCTTGGCAGTGGCCGCCCTGCACGTTCAGACCGCTCCTCTGCCTCTGCGGACTGGGAGAGACTGCCTGCTGGCTCTCCGGACCATGCTACCGACCCAGGCCGGAGAAGGAGAAAGGAAGGCGGGAGAAGTGATCCCAGCCAGGTGGTGCTCGGCACTGCCACATGCCATCGTCCTCCTGACCGATGGGAGGTCACCTGGTAAGGGACGGGGCCCCCACCCCTCGGCTGTGACTGCTGCTGTCCAGCATGCTTGGGATTCCAACTCATCTATTATTTAGTTGGAAGGGATGTTTTTAACACCTTGTGTGTTTAGGCTGTTTTATTCTTTCACCAGCCTTCACAGGTATGAATCTACGTAATCTTCATAACAACTTTTAGAAACTAGGTATGGAAGATACTGTTCTCAGTATTTCAAATGGAGGAAATCAAGGCTCTGAGAGTCGCCTCCTATAACTTCTGTAGGTGGAGCCCTGCTACCTCTTGCCTGGCCTGAGGACAGCGGCGAAGCTACGACAAGTGCATGGATAGCAGCTGGGAGGGGAGGCTGGCAAGAGGCTCTCGGTTTCCCCCTGCATGCTGCCTTCCCTGGCCCCGCCTCTGCTTGGAGTCCCCAGCAGGCAGTGTCAGCCCCACACAAGACAGAGATCTGGGGCCTCACACCTCACCTTGCCCGCCCCTCCAAGGGCCCAGCAATTACTCGAGAATCTGACTTTGGTGATTTAATTGCTTTTCCCTTAAATATGAGAAATAGGTGTAATTTCTCCTTTTGTTCTTTTACTACAACCGGAGTGGTAAATACTACCTACTGCCAACAAACACGGGCATCCACTCTGTCTTCAATGCCTCTTCCGTGAGACATTTGAACTGAAATAAGAGTTGTATCATCTAGAATGAATAACCAAGGGGGCCAAGAAAGGCCTAGACTGAAGAAATAAGTCAACATGTGCGTTCTCCGGCACAGGCCCCTCCATGGAGCCGGCAGTCGGCTATGCAGCCAGGGGACGCAGATCCACAGCTCTCGGGCTGATTCAGGACTGTGCAAGCACCGCAGAAGCCAGGGAGCTGGTGTCCTGGGCATCCTGGCAGTTCTTTTCACGTTGGCGCAAATGAGCAATGCGCACGAAGCTGCTCCATCTCCTCTGCTGCGATTTCGCTGCCGAAGAGCCGAGGAAGGTTAGGATGCAATTAACAGAGCGGAGTGACCTGCGACGGGGTTAACCTGCGGAACAGAGGCAGCCATAAATCAGCATCCCGGCCTCACGGACGCGCCAGCAGAAGGAAGTCACGCAAGGGGCTTTAAGTCAGCCAAATTGATAGCACCAACAGATCTAGATGGTGTTTTCTTTTCTAGAACCTAGAATAGGTCTTTAGAGACAGATGGACGCTTGGTTTCCGAAAACTGTAAAACAAGGATGCAAGATGCAATATGCACAGAGAATTAATGTCAGTTGTGTTTATGGCTTTTTTTTCTTGCCAAAAAAGAGTGAGATTCCTTATTGTCATGTGGTGAAAGATGTGCTCTGTTTTCTTTAAAATCTAATCATACTTTTGGTAACAAAATGGAAAAATATGAACATTCCTTTTTTTTGAGAATTGATAAAAGCTTATCTATGAACTGACATTAAATAACCATGATGTCAAAAAAACAAGACCATTTTTTGAGTGCTTATTATGTGCCAGGTGTTAACCTACCTTAGCCCTTTTATTTTTTCACGCTTCTCAGAGGTAGGTTTAGTGGGGACCATTTTGCAGGTGATGAAAGTGAGGCCCACACAAATGAAGTACATTTTCTAAAGTCATACCTCTAATTAGTGTAAGAAATAGAATTCCAAAGTTCAAAAGATACAAACTGACAAGTTACTATTTACATTGCAATTTTCATACCACTTCACATCAGTATTGGTAAGAATTTTACACAGGGTAAAGGTGTCATGGTATAAACTACCTAACTGGTTTTTTAGTTGTTTGTTTGTTTTGTGACAGAGCCTCACTCTGTCGCCCAGGCTGGAGTGCAGTGGCACAATCTCAGTTCACTGCAACCTCTGTTTCCTGTGTTCAAGCGATTCTCCTGCCTCAGCCTCCTGAATAGCTGGGAATACAGGTGCCCGCCACCATGCTCAGCTAATTTTTGTACTTTTAGTAGAGATGGGGTTTTGTCACGTTGGCCAGTCTGGTCTTGAACTCCTAGGCTCAAGTGATTCGCCCACCTCGGCCTCCCAAAGTGCTGGGATTACAGGCATGAGCCACCATGCCCGGCCATCCTAACTGTTCTTGAGGACTGATCCTGTGCGGGTTATCTGACTTGCATTGTTTGAGAGAGTCATTGAATCCTCACGGTCAGAACTCAGTGTGTATTGTTCTTGCTACTCCTTCATGAATCCATCTTAACACCCGTGCCGCCTCTATATTTCCATACCCATTGTAGAGGTAAAGAAAGTAAGGCTCAGAGTATGCAATTTTCCCACTATCTCACACAGCAAAGAAGTGCCAGAGCCAGGGACACACTGAAATGCTCTCGAATTCTAACGCCCACATCTCTCCCACTTCTTCACACAGATTCCATCAATAATTAAAGACAGAAGAGAGCCTGTGGCTGTGCCTTCCAGACTCCTTTATTTACTTATTTTAAAATAGAGTTAAGCCGGTCAGTAGCATGCACCTGTAGTCCCAGCTACTCAGGAGGTTGAGACAGCAGGATCGTGTGAACCTAGGAGTTCAAGGCTGTAGTGAGCTATGATCAAATCACTGCACTCTAGCCTGGGAAACAGAGTGAGACCCTGTCTTAAAAATAATAATAATAATAACAACAATAATAATAATAGAGTTGACCAAAGTCAGAAGTAGGTAAGGAAGGAATCAGGCAGGTAGACTCCGGTCTTGTGAATGCCCGGTGGCTGAATGTCCAGAAGTTTCTGCCACAAAGAAGGGAGGCCAATACCTTGGGTGTTGAGGCTGCAAAAGGAATACCATAGCATTTCATGCAGAAAACTACACATGGATTCAGGGAAAGAAGATTTGGATAAAAAAGGATTGGACCTTTGACGTGAAATATGAGCTCCGAAAGGCTCACAAGTGGCCAGGGTTACTAAATAATTAATCAAGAGCAGGTGGGTGGCAGTTTGAAATGTAAATGGGATGGAGGAAGGTGTGATGCTGTCATTCAGGAGAGGCTGATGTGGCTGGAGCTCTGAGCCACTGTACCAGCTCCCGGGAAGGCATGGGCGCAAAGGAGCAGCGAGGCCGTCCGACAAAGGGCCCCAGAATCCCTAATTCTTGCCTTTGACCTGCGGTTCACTTTCATGTCCCTGTCCCTAAAGAGATGTTAAAAAATGATGAAGAACTGGCTAGGCATGAGGGGGGGGAAGTGAAGCCAACTAAAGAAATGTTACCTGTGTCAGGCAGCAGCAGACACACTTGAGAACACCTTCAATTTTCCTTACATTTTCCTGCTTCTTGAAAGAAAAATGCATCTTTTGTCTGTCCTCTCCCCCTTTCTTCCCAAATTCTCTAGAGTTCTTCCTGCAAGTGGTTCTGTGTGACTCAAAGGCAGACAACAGCTGCAAGCAAAGGAACAAAAAAGAAGACTGACAATAGGAAAAGGGGCAGGTGAGAGAGACTGCCTTTACCTTATCAAACCAGAAAATGCCGTGGCTTAAATAGCAAGAAAATAAAGTCTGCAGAAGATGAAATGTCTCTTTTCTGACTAAACAGTGATCAAAAATCTCTGTTCTAGAAAAATATGACTGCTTGGCATTCAAATCACAGTGTCTTAGATCCGGAAGTAACGCTCATGCCTAGCATAGCCTGGTACTTACTTAGTGGGTGCTAGATGTATATTCATTCTTTTTTTGTGTCCCTTTTCTTGTCTATTACACCTTCCTGCACAGGCCAGCCAGCCTCCCCTTAAATTGGCTAGTCTCTCCAAGCTTCAGTGTAAGCTCTGGAAAGCAGAGACAACTCTGGTGCCCACCTGGTAGGGCTGTGCATGTCAAGGGCTGAGCCCATGCCTGGCACGGGCATGAGCTGGTGTAGTGATTGTTGTGTTTGTTATTCCAGACTTAGGAAGCAAGATGTGCACCACTTGGTTTTGTGGGGAAACTGCCAACACTTCTGGGCAGCAAAAGCACAGGGTTCCAGGCAGGGGTGGCAGGAGAGGCAGCTAGTGAGGAGGGTGGGCCAGGGCGTCTGCTGTGTGAGGAGGGACTTGCTGAGGCCTGTGGAGGTTGAAGGGGGGAGGCAAGGGTGGCACAGCTCCCACTGGAGAGCAGGCTCAGGAGGTCCTCACTAGGTACCCTGAGGATAGGCGTGGAGGGAGGGAGTGGAGAATGTAAAGGACCCTGAGGAGTGGGGCCATTTGTGCTCCCCAACACCACCTCACTGCCTAGGCCAGGGGCAAGGGGGCTGGGAGGGGTAGGGGCCACACTGCCAGCTCCTTCAGAGGCTAAGTCTGTGGAGGAGGTTTTTAGCAGCCCGGAGGTAGAACCGGCGTTTTCTGCTTCTTCTCCCTCCTGACAGCTGCTCCCCACCTCCTGCCCCTTTCCTTCCTCTCCATTCCTCTCTCTCCCCGTCTCCCTTTCTCCTCTCCCTTGCTTTAGCTTTCTTACCTTCCCTTGCAGAACAAAATCAGAAACGAGTCCCTCCCCTAGAAGTCTCCACCCACCATATGGGCATTTCCATTCATTTTTCTGACATTTCTGCATTTTGCAGGAGGTTGTGACCATGCAGGCCAGGACCAGGGGCAGGAGCAAGGGCAGCTGAAAGGAGGCAAGGGCAGCTCTGCGTGGTTCTAGGGGGTTCTGCTCCCATCCCACCTCCCTGTCTTCACCCTGCTGCACCCACGCCCGTTACTTCAGATATTGGCCAAATGGAAATCTGTTGACTTGCACAGCTCTGGCTCCTTTCTGAATAGGATCTCATAAAAACACACAAAAGTAATCCGTAATGGAAATAAAAATAGAATAGAGCCAAGTGCTGCAGCTTTTCCTCTTATGTAGTACAAATTGCTATGATGCACACATTGTTTCAAATTTAAAATCCTGGTTCTTAATGCCTTTCCATTCAGGGAGACAATATCACTTAACTCTTAAGTTCACGGACACTTCCTTTCCAAGAATTTATTACATGTGGTGTGTATTTCTTTAGGAAGTTTATCTGCTTCATAATTTTAAGAGTCTATAGGCCAGGACTTCTAAAACTCGGCAATTTAACTATTTCTGCTATAAAATATACATACAGAAATTGTATCAGCTAGAAAAATATTAATTTTGAGAAATCAAAAGCTAAGTTAGATTTGATTTGGGGAATATTTTCCAAACAAAAGAAAATAATCCTAAAGTCAAAACTCTGAGCTTTTTATTATATTGCAAGGAAAGCATATAGAGGAATTGGGTTGTTTAGTGTGTGTGTGTGTGTGTGTGTGTGTGTGTGTGTGTCTTCTCAAAGAACTGTAGATTTACACACAGAGCATTGTAACCAACTTCATCCCCATCTAGTATGCAGTGAGAAGCTTGCAGCTTAACCTTGAGTGAGGAGGATTTAAGTTCAATATCAAAAAAAGAGTTCCTGGCAATAAGGGTTGTAAGGACATTTGTAGAGGTTGCCTAGAGGGACTGGCCCACCCTTCCCTGGAGAGCTGTGCCACTTGTGTAGATTCAGTCTGAGATGACAGCCAGGAGAAAATTTCCCAGGTTATCTTATCCCAAAAACCCTCCCCAGGACCGCCTGGACTTACACGTGGGTTAAAGGGTAGATTGAGTGTACCAAGGCCAAAGGCCAGCCCAGACACTTGCCAGCATGGGATCTTGAGCAAGTCATATGCTCAGAATCAATTTTTCAGCTACAGGAGAAACATGGTAAGAACCGTACATCCCTCCTAGGTTTGTGGTGAGGCTAAAGAGGGTGGAAAAGTGCCTAATAGTGTGGAGCCTCCTACAAGTGTTGGTCACTACTAGGTGCTGCATGAAATTCACAGATGGAAGGTCATGATCCCTTTTTAATCCAAAGGGATTAAAAACCTGCAGAAGTCCAAGAGGAGCAGATCACAAGGTCAGGAGTTCGAGACCAGCCTGGCCAATATGGTGAAACACCATCTCTACCAAAAATACAAAAATTAGCCGGACATGTTGGCGGAAGCCTGTAGTCCCAGCTACTCAGGAGACGGAGGCAGGAGAATAGCTTGAATGAGGCAGAGGTTGCAGTGAGCTGAGATGTTCCATTCCATTCCAGCCTGGGCAACAGAGTGAGACTCCATCTCAAAAACAAAAATGAAAAACCTGCAGAGGTACTAATAAAGTTTGCAAGTCCTTGGTCTAAGTTGCAATTTTTTTCTCCACACCTGAGAAATCTGTTAAGTTGTACAAATAAATAATTCAAAGGCCAAAGTACCACATATCTCATCTTAGGTGATCAACAAGTTCACGCCAAGCCCCAACAGCCCAGCGCTAAGGAAGGCCACAGTGTCCATGTGAGCAGTGACTCCCAGCTAAACTTAGACTCAGTATCTGTCCATACAGAGGATCAAACATCCCAGAGTTCCACCTCGAGGAACTTCCCTGATTGACCCCATGAGTGGACTCCTCGGTAACATTCCCGCTGTGAGAAAGCCTGCCAGACCTATCAGGGTCTTCATGCCAGAAAGGATGCAGCTCCAGGAAGCCCTGGCTCTCGTGGCCAACTCTGAGGTGGCAACCCCTCAAAATCTGACCAGAGAAAAGGCCAGTGCAGCAGTGCAGGCCTCATGAGCAAGCACCACCACCGACTTGCCTTAGGAATGCACTTCCTCTTTCCCCTCAACCTCCCTATCGTTAACTGACTGAAAGCCACACTCACAACGAGAACAATATCTGGGTATCTCTGGTCATCATTTCGCTTTCCTCTGAAGCTGGAATAATTATCCTACAGGTATCAGCTGTGGCAGAAGGTGGCCGGAGTTTGTGCTACAAGAATATTCCCAGGGGTTGCAGTGAACCGAGATCACATCACTGCACTCCAGCCTGGGAGACAGAGCAAGACTCCATCTCAAAAAAATTAAAAATAATAAAAAAAAGAAAGACAAATATCACATGTTCTCATTCATATGTGGGAGCTATAAAGGTGACTTCATGGAGGTAGAGGATAGATGATGGTTACCAGAGGCTGTGGCTGGGAAGGGTAGAGGGGAAGGAGGGATTAAAAATGGGTTGATTAAGGGGTACAAAAACACAATTAGATAGAAGAAATTAGATCTGGTGTTCCATAGCACAATAGGGTGGCTATAGTTAACAATAATTTATTGCATATTTCGAAATAACTAGAAGAGTAGAATTGAATGTTCCTAACACAAGGAAATGATAAATGTTTAAGGTGATAGATATCCCAATTACTATGATTTGATAGTAATTGTATGCTTGTATCAAAATATCACATGTACCCCATAAATATGTACAACTATGATGTATTCATAAAAATTAAATTAAAAAAAAAAGAATATGTCCAGGGATATAACCTCAGAGGTAAGGTAGTATCTGGATGAGAACTTACTGGGCACAATAAGTGCCGCACCCATCTTGAGGATGGAACCGAGGACAAAGCTGGTCTATCTTGTCCCCACTCACCATCCCTTCCCTGTTGCTGGTGTCTTTCTACAACATAAGTCTCAGGCCCCTGAAATGGCAAGAAACCTCCAATTTACAGGAGCCACAGGACCCACCTCCAACACCTGGTAGGATGAGCCCCCGCAATTCCCAGCCCATAGACACAGGGAGGCCTCATCTTCTGGAATCCAAGTACAGTACAACCTACCATCTTCCACCAGAGCCATCTCAGGTGTCTCACTCTCATCACTAAGAATTTAAAATATGATGTCTTTTTTGCATAAAGTAAAATTCAGGAAAAATAAAAATGTTTATGGTCTACATATTTTTAGGAGTTACATGTGAAATATACATATACAGAATGTCTTCAGTACCCAGGAAGGAAGGGTAGCAAAATGCTTTCTTGGTGGCATTGCCTCCTCCAACTACTCACAAAATAGTGAAAAATGAACACCCTGCTAGATCCTTTCCTGAGGATATGTGTGGAAAGGATAGAGGACTATGTCTGTCTCTCAACCTCAATCCAGGACACCAACTGCATGCACATGGCCTCAGATGCCATCTCTCTGGGCCAGCCTCTGTCCGTCCTGGGCTGGTAGATGGTTCCTCAGCCCCAGCCTGGCAGGGTCAGCTCCAGCTGGAGAGACAACTACTGCTCAAACTTAAATGAGGGAGGTTATGTTCAAAGCACTCCACCACCTGAACTGAGGTTTTTGCTCCTGAAATTACTAGATTGATGTTTGCATTCCTAAAGCTTGATGACTGCATATTGCTTATCACTGTTATAGAGAAAAGATATTCCTGACACATGCCGTAACCTACCTGAATGTGAGACATTTCCATTTAGAAAGAGCCCGTGAACTCAGCCCTGGCCCTCTCTCTACCTGGTACCTCTTCCTTGAGCTTCCCCAAAACTCACACTCCTTTGCCAAAGTGCCTAAAAAGAGTAGAAAATGAAATGATTAAAACTGAAGAACTCAGGAGGAGGGCATGGGCCACAATATAACATGTTCTGTACTCAGAATCCAAATATCAGAGTTCAAAAACCACACTCACCCATGACCAGCTGTGCGACCAGGAACCAGCCTTTTTACCTGAGTCCCAATTTTCCATGCTTATAGCACAGAGGTTCCCAAATTCTCTCTGCCTTCCACGGATCTAGAGGTAAGGCTTAGATAAGATAAAGCACTTGACAGTCCCCAGACCAGGTCCTGCCCCCGCACAAAGTGCTCAGTGCAGGTTGATTGTAAAGTACTGAGGGAGCATCTGGTAAAATCACACCACTGATGACAGCAATCAGGGGTTTAACGCTGCTAAAAAGTCTGCACCAACCTGTAAAAGAGATGGCAAGATCCTCGCTCTTCTCTGAAGCCACACCCTTTGCCTGTGCCTGGAGCTTGCTCTCTGCGGGAGAACCTGGAGCTGATCTCCAGAATACAGCTTCTCTCGGCCTTTTAAACCAGGGCCCAGAGAGGCACTACCAGAATACCAGATTACCGGGGAGGCAGGGCAGCCGAGGCTCCAAAATGGAGGAGGAGCCCCTTGCTCACAAACCAGGACCTGCTGCCTGCCTAGAAGGGCTCTAGCAAGAGACGAAACCCCTTAAGCCACAGTCGGGGAAAAGGATCAGACAGTGAGCTCCTCTCCGGCCCAAAGCGCAGTGAGGACAGGGACAACACATGGATAGGAGTGCTCTCCTGTGACCAGGACAGAGCTTGGCACTAGGAGGTGCTCACCAAGTACTGAAGAATGCCTGAATGCCCTAGGCAGAGGAGGTGTCGCATATGCCAGCCCCAGGGCACTGATGGGAGAGCCACAGAAAGCCCCAGGATGCAACTGTCCCACAGCAGTGGGGCTAGAAGTAGAGGGAGGAGGGCCTCCAGGGGAGAGAAGTCGCCAGAGAGCCTCTGTTTGCTTCCTGCCACTGCCCACAGCCAGCCCTGCAGCAGCGTTTTTGGCTCCCTTCCTCAGCCACATTGCGGAACAGGCAGGCCCGGCTGTGGCACAGTCTGAAATGCCCAGGCACAGCACGACTGCTAAATTCTCGCACTCCCTGGACTCAGCTCAGCCCCACACCGCTCATTCTTACTCTCCAGTTCTGGGGACAGATTTTACAGCCCGTTCGCGTCTTCCCAAGCCTCGCTCAGATCTGGGCACGTGGCACAGGAAAAAGCGCCGCTGAGCGGATCTAAAGAACAGCGGGTGTCGGGGAGCCGGAAAGCAGGAATCATCTCAGCAATCCGTCTCTGGATTGGGAGGAAGAACATGTTCCTAAACACATTTGCTCACTGCTAGGGAGGCGGCGCCTCTTCTGAGGGAAGCCACTCCCTCTTCCCACAGCCTGCTCCTGGCTTTATTGCTCCTCTCAGTCACTGTCACTGCCGTCACCTCCTCATCAAAATCTACCCCCTTCTCCCTCTCTTGTTCTCTCCCCTCAGCCCTGCCTATCTTATTAACACTTTCCAAACACGTCTCTAATCCACTCCTCTCCCTCTCCCCAGCTCCAGGACACCCTCACAGCTGCGTCTGTGGACTGCTTCAGTATCCTCCCTGCTGACCCTGTGGCCCACAGCTCACCAGCTTCTGTCCTTCCTTCTAATCCGTACACCAAGATGTCCCAAAATGTTCTTTGTGAAGAGTAAATCTAACAGTGCCTTCCGACGGCTGAAGACCATTTGTGACTCTCCACGGCCTGTTCTCAGCCCAGGCTTCTGTTCCCCTAGCAACACCAAACTATCACCTTCTGAGCACTCAACAAAAACCCTGCTAAGTGCTTTCATGAAACTTCCCATCGAATCCTCACAACGTCACTGGAAAGAGGCATTGCCGTCTGCATTTTACTTGTGAGGAAGCTGAGACTGGAAGGGCTCCATCATTTGTAGACAGCAAGGCAGTAGTCCAGCTGGGATCCTCAGCCAGGCAGGCCCAGGCCTACAGGCACTGGCCCACCCCACCTCCGGTTGCTCCCAGGGCCACTTAGAAGTTTCAAGTCCTCCCCAGCTTCCCAAGGCCAACTGCAAGGAGTTTCTCAATCCCTTCCAGGTGTCCCCATCACTAAAGGATGTGTCCGTCTGCAGCTTAGTTGTACGTCTGTTTTTCTCCCCAGGCTGGATGCCTTGAAGATAAGAATCATCTTGAGTCCCTAATGCTTAGCACAGAGCTGTACTCAGGAGGGTTAATTGAATTAATTAATGGTCAGCAAAATGAATGAGTGGATGAATGAATATCACACATTCAAGTGATCACATTTCCTGTCTCTTCCACAATAAGGCTCAATTGATTGGTTTGGCTATGTTAGGAATGTTGGACATAGGTATACTGGTTACAGAATAGTATCAGAGCAAGGTTAAATTTTCCACATTTAAGGGTGGAATCACCCTCACAATAAACGTGTTGTTTTTGTCAGCATTGTCGCTGTTGTTGTTTACTATGGAATGTCACCATGCTTGAATCTTAAGCAGACGGGCTTGGGCTCCATTCATAATTTTCCTGCTTTAGAAAAAGTTATGATCACAGAAGGGGACCTTAGCGCTTGCCAACTGCCAGAGCCCAACAGCAGCCTTGGTCTCAGCACAGGTGGATGTGATTTTCTTTACCGGTGATCTGTCCACGAGCTGTGCAGTTTGTCCCACTGATGATGTGGGTGAAGGATGAAGCCAGGGCTCACCCTTCTAAGGGGGACATTGAGATTCCTGGGCATTGTACCAATTCAGCCATATGTCACCCCAGAAAGTAACTGCTTTTTCCATATATGATCATAACTAATGTTGCAAAGCCTGTTTTGCCTGGATCCTTTTACAGAACCTATGCAAAATATGCTGTGCGCTTTCACTCCAGATTTCTTTCTTAGGATGAATGGCTCTGCACATACACGGGAACAAGATCTTATTCTTTTCATCAGGAATGATCATTATTCCATAGGCTAATTCCCTGCGCATTAGTTATATGGGGTGAAGTTCTGGCTCATATGCAGGAGCTGATGGAAACAGAGTCCTAGTGGCCAAATACATCCTAATGTTCTCCTTTCAATTCTTTCATTTTTGCTGTCTTTACCTTTTAGAAAATGTTAATGTATTCCTGATGAATTCAGTGTGAAAAAAAATATGTTTATCAGCTTGGGTTTAAAATTTTTATTCATAATAAGAATATAGTAGCACTGCCAAGACCCTCCAAAGCCAATCCTGAGATCTTCGCCAGCTCTTTGGGGGCATCGTAAACAAGCTGACCATGCAGAAGAGTTACAAGAAAGGAGTTCCCATGCCAAAACAATAGCAAGTGTATTTTCATTAGGTATTGATGCTTTGTTCTTGCCACGAGTAGGGTTGAAGGAAGTGTGTTCTGGTAGCAAAAACCCTGCAAGTTGTCATTTGGTAACTGCATAAGTTGTGCCTTTAGCCAGGGCCAAATGGATGATAAACTTGCCACTGTTAACAGTCTCTAGTTATTTGGAGCAATCCACACTTTTTCTTGCAAAATCACACACTCAATTTCTTGACTGCGTTTCCTCATCTATAAAATGGGAGAGAGGGAAGATAAGCTCTGTGGCCCTTTTGCACTCTGCAATCTCTAAGTGCCTTTGCATTTCCATCCAGCCCCGCCCCACCCCACCCCACCCCACCCCACCCCACCCAGGGGATGGATGTCCACAGTCCCCCACCCCAGCCCTGCCAGCATTGCAAAGCCTGCTGAGGATTTGCACAAGTAAACCCACCTCAGCAGCTTCACTGCTCCCCTTAGTAAATAACTGCATACAGAAACCCTGCAGATTCTCAGGCTGCAGCCAGCGCCACAGCTGGGTTCTTTAGTTTGTTGTGAAAAGAATTCCAGCATGACACAGCTCCTCTCAGCACAAAGACATGCTGAAGCACTAGGAAAAAAAATTTTTTAAAGAATGCTTCTGAAAGCCAGGCAGCCAGGAGAGAGGTGTAGGCTCGGGCCAGCCTCCTCCCTGCCGGGGCCTGGACCTGTTGCCTGGGCTCTTCTCCTCTCAACAGTAAACAGAGCGGTTCACGAATCACCAAGGCTCAGAACGGCGGGTCTGGCCACAGGGGTGCCTCAGACGCCTCCCGGGCATCTGCAGCAAACAGTGCCACCTGCACTGTGGTCAGATCAGGGACAACCGGTCCCCCCTGTTGTTTGATTTCTAAACCTGCCTCCACCTCCCCAAGGCCTCTGAGAGCTGAGGGCTTGCAAATCAACACAACATTTAATTAACTGCACATTAAAGTTTCCATCTTTCAAAGAAGGGAATTAGGGACAGTGCACTTTCTGAAGCACTCATTAATGAAAAAATAAATTCTAAAGCCTCCTGAGTTTGGGGTGGTCCTTACCATTCTAGGTGGCTTCCTGCTTTAATGCTCAGGGCTGGGCAAGTTCCCTCAGATGAGCTGCAATCTTCAGGCGTTTTTAACCCTCTGACAGCCAGCCTTGGTTTTGCCCCACACCACGCACCCTGAATAATCCTTAAGAGTTTTCAAGAAATATCCAGAAATGTTTCCAATTATATTGAATTATGAATGCTTTTTTATTAAAAGATATACAGTTGTTACTTTTAAGAGAGGCATGAATAATATAATTAAACAACTGTCTATACTACCTATGGAATGGTTGTAAGCTGCTATTACCCTTGAGAATGACGGAGGCGCATGTACTGCTGGCATGGAGGGACATGGCCATCAGCTTGACAGTGGGGAGTGATAGAGATGGGAAGGAGAGCAAGTGAAAGACAGACCCGGGCCAGGTGTGGTGGCTCATGCCTGTAATCCCAGCATTTTGGGAGGCTGAGGTAGGTGGATCACTTGAAGGCAGGAGTTCGAGACCAGCCTGGCCAACATGGTGAAACCCCATCTCTACTAAAAATACAAAACTTAGCTGGGTATGGTGGCACATGCCTGTAATCCCAGCTACTGGAGAAGCTGAGGCAGGAGAATGGCTTGAACCTGGGAGGTGGAGGTTGCTGTGAACCAAGATCGTGCCACTGCACTCCAGCCTGGGCAAAAGAGCGAGACTCTGCCTCAAAGCAAAAACAAAAACAAAGACCCGAAGAAATCCAGTGCAATTCATCTCAAGCAGGGTAGCTCTCCATGTACCAATTCAGGCTGTGGCTAGATACACACACACACACACACACACACACACACACACAAACTCATCACTTACTCACACATCCTGCCTGGAGGCAAAAAAAAAAAAAAAAAAAAAAAAAAAACAGTGAATGGGAAGAATGTTGCTCATGAGGCCATGGATGCTGCTCCTACTTCTACCACAAATCCACTCCCTGCTTTTTCTACTCATCTGAAAAACCATGGTACCTACCTGTACCTGCATCAAGATCACCTGCAGCTCTTTCTATGAGTTGCATCATTTTTAAAAGGAATTATGTTGCAATGCTTTGTTTTGTTACTTATCTGTGCACATGGCTTTTCCCAATATTATCAAGTTTTGAGAAAAAGGAAGGGATCTGATTTAATTTCGTATTATGCCTTGTGTGTATCTAGTCATGCTACACATTTTACTTCACTTCTATTATGTGCCAGACACTGCACCAAGCATCAAGGATATAGATGCTGGTCCTGCCCTTCTAGAGATGGCAAAGAAATAGCAGATAAATGAATGGATTGTCAATTAGAATTATGGTTAGGTAGGGACAAGGGCCTAAGATAACAAATGATAGAGAAGAAGAGACCAACTTCCAATGAGATGCTTCAGGACAGCCTCTGGAAGGGATGTTCTGGGTCTTCCCGCAGAAGGAAGAGAAAGTGCTAGCTATGCAGCAAGAAGGGAGAGTGGCATCCCTGGTAGAGGTGTCTTGCACATGACAGACACACAGTCACTTGATTTGTTGATAAAAGTTAATATAATACATCTAATAAATTCAAATTACTAATGCAATCTAACCACAGTAGGCTCGTCTATAGAAAAAGCACCCAGTAAATTAATTCTTTGCTATCCAGGAGGTGACAGAGCCTTGTGTAAGCAATGGGCTCCCTCAAGGAGAGGGATCACTTAAGATCACTTAAGATGGGTTCATTTAAGACACCAAAACTAACCAAGCTCAGAGCCCTTGTACCCTCAGCCTTTCCTTTTCCTCTCATCTCAGCTCTCTGGTCAATGCCCAGCATTAATTTATGCAGTAACTGGAACACCAGAGGATTCTAGGTGTTCATCCATAATTCCCTTAAATTCACTATTTCTATCCTGTCTTTGGAGTTTTCTCTCCAGTGTGACATCATGGAAGAGGCGGCATCTCAATTTCTTACACATATTCCTCAAGTAGCCCGCAATGCCATCACACATTGCAAGAACACAGAGCGAGGGTGTGTCCTCATCAGACACCATAGCTTGTGCAGCTGGCTGTGGGTCATTGAAATGTGTGTCCCATCTTGTGATGAGAGAGGGAACTGAATGAGTCCAAACTGCTCAGCCACTTGGTTCTCATGGCACAGGTGCCCCATTTCCCTGGCCTCCCATTAGGCTTTGTCAAAAGGGGAATGTAGGCGGAGATGAGGCAGGAAATAACTAGCGAGGTGAGTTTTCCTGGCTGGACCCTGACAGATACAGCCACCCAGGAGATGAGAGCTCTTCTTATCTTTTCTCATTACTTAATAATTGTTGCCTGTGTGCCCAGGCTGTCATGTTGCCCTTGGCGTGGAAGAAGGAAGGTAGATAAAGACTAAAAAATCTGTATCTGTAGTCACCTGGTGTGCAAAAGCAGCATCTGGCTGGAAGCTGTGCTCACCCACCCCTTGAAACAATCCGATGCTATTGTTCTCCTGTCCCCCACCTTCCTTCCTGTCTGTCACCAACCCTTCCGGGGGCCTTCTCTATGTCAAGCCCTGTGTTATACTGTTAGAACCACACATACGATGATGGACACAGTCCTTACTCTCAAAATTCCAGCCTAGTGAGGATGCATGAGCAGATGACGCGGACAGAGTGCGAACTACTGTGATCGAGGTAGACAAAGGGTATGAAGGGGCACAGGTAGTGGTCTCATTATGCAGCCCAGGGGGAGCTGATGGTGGGCTTCTCTGAGAAGTAGAGGCCAGGGTCAACCTGTGACTGATCAAGAGATAAGACTGACACTGAGTAAACAACAGGAAAATATAAGAGATGCTGCATCAACAGGCACATTACTGAAATGTACGGTCCTTATTGGTTCCCACACAGGCCTGGGGATTGGTGAAATGGATTCTGATGACTGCATCGGAATCAGGGAAGGCCCCCACTCCCATCCACAGAATCTAGTCCAGTGGGTCCATGTTGAAGCTCAAGAATCTATTCACTTGGTTTAAGTCCTAATAGGGGGTGTAGTAGGTACCTGGTTATCTCATACTCGTTAACATTCCTTTGAGAGTCAGGGAACTACTTCTCCCTATTGAAACCATGAGCAGGGATCAGCCAGTACAATGAATATGAGTCATTCACACCCAGGAATAGTATGATTGAACCCCACAAATGGTGGCCAAATGCTTTCTGGTGCAAAATTTTGATGGATGATGCTTCTTTAGCCTGGGCAGAGATTTAATTTGTGTTGCAGTGGAACGCTTTCAATTGTCAACGACAAAAGGTGATATTTCCAATACTCCTTGAGAACAGGCTTCAAAGGCATCAGCTCTTTTTTAAAAAAGCGTTTCAGCTTTATTTTGATGTGGCAGAAAAGTTTTGCATGCATCCTCGCATCTACTGTTGTGACAGCTGCGTTTAATGAGTGCAAAATGATCAGAAAAACATCCTTTGCTGTGGGTTGCCAGTTGGTGACAGGGGAGAGGTGATGCTGTAATCGGAGCAGTAAAGTCAGGTACACATCTGCGGAGGCAGATTTCTGCTATCTGGTCTGTAC